>NC_000001.11:180760344-181063374 GCF_000001405.40 Homo sapiens | reverse complement strand
GATTTAAATATCAGTATTTGTGGCAGATTATTAATAAGAAACTGGGGTAAAAAAAACTCTGTGGCTTGAATGAAAATATGGTGTATACCATGCCACACAGAAAAAACGAATAATTCCTTGTGGCTGGGGGCAGTCTCTAAAAATGTCATCATTAGGCCCAGAAACATGTCATCTTGTAGACTAATTTCAAGTCTGTGAAGCTGCACTAGTTTACAGATCTTTGAAATTTGATCTCAATTTCAGTTGCAAAGACCTAAATTGGATTAGAACAGCTTGCCTGTCTTCTTCAGGGATCCTCAGGGACCAATGACCATTCAGTCTTTTAACAGTAAGGTGAAGGGCTGCCCATGTGCTCGGCCTTGGTGGGTTACATCTGGTTTGGCAACTTCCTGTTGTGTGTAACACAGGGACTGTGCATTCGTAGCTGTTTCGTGAGTAATATGCAGAGTGCATGTGTTGGGTATTTTAAAGTACGTGAGAGGGTTGTGTTTCAGCAGCTGATGGGATGCCAAATGTTTGACTTTTTATTATTCCAGCCCTTCAGATTTCCCCAGAATTGTCACCTTCTAGAGCGTGTGTCTTGCCAGTGTGTTCCAGGAATTCTCTATTTATGCCACTGTGATGTTGCTCAGAAAACAACAGAGCTTTCGGTTAGTTCAAGTAAACTTAGAATCTGCGCTGATGCCTCAGAAAGGAAGAAAGGCCAGGACGGCCTCGGCTTGGGTGGCACTCTTATTTCTCCCTTGGTTTCACTTCCTTATTTTCGTGGCTTCCCATTTCATCCTGTAGCCTCCTCTCAGAAGCTGTTTCCCCCCTTCCTACTCCCTTCCCACCCCCGGGTTGTTTCCCCGGTTGTTCCCACACTCTAGCCCATTTGTGTCCTCAGAGGTCTGGCCGCTGCCACTGCACCTGCCTCAGACCCAGTGTCACCTCGCCAGGGCTTCAGCCAGCCTGACCTTCCAGCTGCCACCCAGCAGCTCAGCTTAGGGACTCAGAACCTTCTGGCCCAGACCTTCATACCCAACTCCCGCCCAGGGGCAAATGCAGAAGCCTCTGCTGGTGCAGCCAACACGGAGTGGGGGCAAGGCGGAGAGGAAAAGCAACAGCTCAGGGTGTGGTAAGAGTGCTCAGGGTGCTTCCCAGCTCAGGGCATTGGTAAGAGTGGGTGGAATTTGCATGTTAAGAACTTTCATTAACCAAATACCCAAATGGTGACAGAAAAGCAAATTCAGACTAGTTACATTTCTGGAAGGTTTCAGATATTTGGGCCCCCAAGATGGCTGAGAACTCATTTCTCAGCACCTCTTCTCATAGCCTTCGAGAAAAACAGTACCTCCCATAAGAACCTCCGAATTCTATCTTTGTCTTTAATATGTATGTGTTGGGTGGGGTGGGGGTATTGATGGAATGTTTCAGATCACTAATCTCACAGACAATGCAATGACAAGATAAAGTTTATTAGATGGAGAATGTTAATACAGCTGAAACCTTTGAAGAATTCAGACCAGTCCTCAAACCATTCATCCTGAGTACCTGGAATGTTATATGATCTTGAGTGGGATATTTCCCCTCTATGACTTCAGCTGTAAGATGACACTGTTCTTTTGTACCAGTACATGAAGACTAGCTAATTAAAATACTATACTAGTTCATTCAAAAAGTATTTACTGAGTTGCTACTACGTACAAGGCATCATGCAAACAGACTGTGCAGTATTACATAAAATTTTTAAAATAGATTTCCATAAATAAACACCATGATAGGATTATGTAACATCTTCCAGGGAATTTTAACCGTTTGGATGTACTACACAGTGGTTCTGGTTCTACCAGTCTAAATGAATTGACTTGTTTTTTTTTCCACCATCACTCCTCCCTTTCAATTCAATTCATTCATTCTGGTGTGCAGCCCATTTCTGTCTATTTTCTAATGATATGACCAGAGCCACCATGTAGGCTTGTGCCCTGCACAAGGATAGATACCCCACTGGGGAACAAACGGGACCAAAATCTACTCTGTGTTCTGCTGGCCAAGCCGGGTGACCTGGCCTGGGCTGGCGTCCTCCCAGAAGAAGGGTTCATTTTTCCAGTTTGCACACATGTGCTATTTGTGGGTTAGCTGAGGCCCTGCTTATGTCTTCAGTTGGTTCACAAACCAGAAACAGAACAAATGGCCATCATTTGATTACAAATGTAATCAAACTAGATTTACAACCAAGGCTTGCTGAGTGGCATTATGGGTTTTATCCTGTTGCATGGCAAGCCGCTCATGCACGGGCTGTGCTCAGTGTCCTTTTTCCTCAGCCATGCCAGCCATGGGGAAGCAGGAGGGGAGCTTGTTGGAGAAGGTGGCCTCAATGAGAGCCTTGGTGCATTCCCCTGAAGCCACAGTTTGGGGCTTCTCCCTCAGCAGGGGTCTCCACAGTCTGAGTGTTTTCAGAAATCTTATATCCAGGGGACCCCAAATCTTATGTCCAGGCCCCAGGGTCTGAACTCATATTTAAGTACTGAAAGGCATCAGCATCTCCCCTCTGGTTGAACTTGACCTTCTTACTGAGAACCAGCCAGGCAGGCATCAGAAGCCTCAGGCTCCAGAGGAGAAGCTGGTGGGCAAATAGGTCAGGAGCAACTGCTTTCACCATCAGGGATGAAAGTTGAAGACCAAGAACACTTCCTTGTCCTGTGGTGCAGGGGTTGGGATGGAGGGGTGAGTCTTATAAATGGAAGAGAACTAAGTGTTGTGATTTAAAGGAAGAACATTTGCCTCCTGCCCCCAAATGCTCCCAAACTCTCCAAAATTCCACAGATTCCTTTGGCTTAACTCCTTTCACAGAGGTAAGCTAAGGTAGTCAGTCTCACTGTAGTTGCGGTGAATTCATTTAATGATCTTGGTTTCCTAACTGCTAGATAATCCAGTGGAGCCAAAAAATTTTGGTGGATTGAGGGAACCTACAGAGGTTGGGTAGAGATGTGTTAGGAGTTGAATTGTTTCCTCCAAAAAATTCATGTTGAAGTTATAACCCCCAGTACCTCAGAATGTGGCCTTCTTTGGAAATAGGGTTGTTGCAGATGTAATTTGGGAAGGTGAGGTCATCCTGCAGTAGTAGAGTGGGTCCCTAATCCAGTATGACTGATGGCCTCATGAAAAAAGGAAATTTGGACACAAAGCCATGCATGCAGGGAGAACACCAAATGAAGACTAGAGTTACGCAGCCAGAAGGCAAGGAACAACCAGAAGATAGGAGGGAAGCCTGGAACAGATCCTTTCCCAGTCCCTTTAGAGGCAGCATGTTTCTGCCAACACTTCATTTTGAACTTCTGGCCTCCAGAACTGTGAAACAATAAATTTCTGTTGTTCCAAGCCACCCAGTTTTTGTGGTACTTTTAAACGACTACCCTTGGAAACCAGTACAAGGTGGAACGGGGAGACGATGGAGAACATGACATTGTGACATGTTGCATCTTTCCCAAAATGGCCACAATGATATCTCCCAACTACATGCTCTTCTTACAATGTAACTCTGACAATCTTCCTATTGAGTGTTGGGTTCTATACACCCTCTTTTTGAACCTGAGCAGGATTTTATGACTTCTTCACCAATGAGAGTATCACAAGAATGACATTTTGTGACTTCCAAGATTAGATTATATAAATGCTATGCACTTTGACTGTGATCTCTTGGGATACTCACTCTGAGGGAAGCTAGCTGCCATGTAAGCAGTGACTGCCCTGAGGCCACCATGTTGTGAGGAAGCCCAACCCACACAGAGAGATTACATGGAGAGTTCCTGAGACTACATGGAGGAGATGTAGCTGATGCCTGGCCACCACCCCTGGCTGCCCCATTTCTGTTCCAGCCACCACTTGCCTCCAACTCCATGAGAAGCCAGAACTGCTTACCCAAGCCATATCCAAATTCCTGACCCATAGAAACTATGAAAGAAAATAAAATGGGTATTGTTTTAAACCAATAGGTTTTGGGTTTTGTTACACAGTCTGTGGGGTTTGGGGCAACCAGAAGCTAGAAGGACAATGGAGAAAGGGAGGCCAGAGTGAAAAGGAGATGCAGAGATGTTACAGAGACATACAATGCTCAAAGATGGCAATTTCCAAAGAAAGAGAGGTGAAGGCAGCTCAGGCAGTGGAATCATCAACCTCTAAAAAGCACAATGTACTGAATGTCCTGAAGCTATTGGGGAAAAAAAAAAGATGAAAAGGGCAATGCAGTTAAGTGGGAAACACCTGGGCTGGGAGATGCCTGTGCTTCTTCCTAGCTCTGCTGCCCACAGCACATGGCTATGGGCAAAGCCCCCTGTCCTCCTTGGAGAACATTCTGTGAACTAATACACTGTGTGTGAGAAAATAGCAAACTCCAGAGAGCAGGTGCTAACAAGCAAGAATGTGTCCCCTTGCACCAATTCTGGGGTCATCAAGCACTCTACAGATTGTGATTTAGTTGTTCTTATGTAGATTTTCCTGCTGGAAGGTGTACTGACCAGCTGAGACAGATATCTGACCCACTTAGCAATTGTGTTTCTCACAGTAAATTAATACATTGGCACTCCACTTTATATATCCATCTGATCACTTTGTGGGGACACTAGACCTGCATATGTGAGGACAAAGACCCCAGACAGTGGTTTTCAAAATAAGGTGTGACTGCTCTGTGTGACTCTGGCAGAAAATGATCAGCTGGCCTCCCTAGTGGACAATCTGTTCCTCATAGCTACAAGTGCAAAAACATCTTCTCTCAGGCCAAAAAAAGAAGAGGAGAAACCAAGTCATTCCTCAGAAATAAGGAAAGGATCACAACTTGGAAATCATGGGAGTAAGAGGAGAGAGGAAAGGAGGACTGGCCCCTGATGGGAGAGCTCAGAAACTCTCGATGGAGTCTTGTTGGATTTTTCACCCTGCTCTTTAAACTGCTTTCTCTCCCTTAAATGTACCACATCAAAAACATCTGCCATTTAAATTTACCACATCTTGGTCTATATGCACATCAAAAACAAACAAACAAAAAAAACAAAAACAGGTAATAAATACAGTGGAGTTAAAAAAAAAAAAAAGAACAGAGTTGAACAGGTTTCTCATCTAGTGTTCTTGATCCAAAATATTCAGTAAAGAAAATTCAAAGCCAAAACATAGCTGTGGCAATAGCACAGTTATTTGTTTTTAATGTTTAGATCATGGTGTCAAATATTTCATAGGTTATGATTACTGAGCATCTGTACTCAACAACCATGAAGTAATGAAGCAATAACAAGGCTAAAACAATTAAGAAGTAATATAATCTTCAACCATCTATAGTAAAATGAAGGTTGCAGAATTTTAGGTATTACTTACTTATTTTATTTTTATTTTTTTGAGATGGAGTTTCACTCTTGTTGCCCAGGCTAGAGTGCGATGGCGCGATCTCGGCTCACCACAACCTCTGCCTCCCGGGTTCAAGCGGTTCTTCTGCCTCAGACTCCCGAGTAGCTGGGATTATAGGCATGCGCCACCATCCCCGGCTAATTTTGTATGTTTGGTAGAGACAGGGTTTCTCCATGTTGGTCAGGCTGGTCTCGAACTCCCGACCTCAGGTGATCTGCCCACCTCGGCCTCCCAAAATGCTGGGATTACAGGCATGAGCCACCGTGCCCGGCAGTATTTTTTTTTTAATCATCTCTTTATATTATGATTCTTTTAGTATTATAAAATCCCCCAGGAAGAAACATAAATGCTACAAGTGCATAACAGAATGTTTTGTCATCACATCCTTGTCCTTGCCTCCTCTTCATCCATTTGGACATATTATGTGTTAGGTGTAGGGCAAGGCCTTGGAAACACAGAGGCTTTTTATCTGTGTCTTTGATGAGAGTATCCTGCAGTTGCAGAATCAAAAGGCATTTACATAGATACATTATCACCTGTGTCTATGTAAATATGTACCTTTTCACTTTAAATGCCCACCCAAAAATATATTACATCCTAACTATTCTGATTGTAAGAAGAAACCATTCCAGAAATAAACTTGCCTACATTCTCTTCACAGTGCAACACTGCTTAAAAGTGGCACGGAAATTGCCCATGGCAACCCTAAAAACAAAATAAACACAACTGTGCTTCTATGCAACTCAACAGGCACCGGAAAAGAGAGATGTACAGTGGTAGCTTCATATATGGAATTACATGGGACAGTGGAGCAAGGAGGAAGCCTGGCAGGTGAGCTCTTAGAGGCCTGGCACACTGAGGGTATCTTTCTTTTTTTTTTTGGAGACAGAGTCTTGCTCCGTTGCCCAGGCTGGAGTGCAGTGGTGTGATCTCGGCTCACTGCCACCTCTGCCTTATAGATTCAAGTGATTCTCCTGCCTTAGCCTCCCAAGTAGCTGGGACTATAGGCACATGCCACCATGCCCAGCTAATTATTTGTATTTTAGTAGAGACAGGGTTTCACCGTGTTGCCCAGGCTGGTCTTGAACTCCTGAGCTCAGGGAATCCGCCTGCCTCAGCCTCCCAAAGTGCTAGGATTACAGGCGTGAGCCACTGTGCCCGGGCTGAAGGTACCTTTATCTGAGGCTGTAATGATTAAAGCCAAAGGTCAAATGTCACAGTCAAGGTCAAGGGAGAGCAGAGGTCAAACCTGAGGTGCAGGACAAAAGCCACTTGTCAAAGTTCAGGTCACTGAAGTAAGCATTAGGGCTCAGGTGCAGAGTCAAACGGGGTCAGAGAAGTAGGACCGAGGAATGTGTGACTGGCAGCCCCAGGGCAAGTAGCTCCACATGGCAGGGCAGTAGGTGAGGCCTCAGGGGTTGGGGATAGTAAGGAACATTAAGGGGATGTTCATTCTCACCATGGGCTTTTATTGATTCCCAGTGCATATGTATGAAGACAACCTATGTAGGAAGGCAAGTCATGCCCAGCTACCATGAGCCAGCACAGGAAAGGCAGAAATGAGAATTGAGCCCTCTCCTGACACCAAATATACTGTTATTATTATTATTATTATTATTATTATTATTATTATTATTTTGAGATAGAGTCTCACTCTGTCGCCAGGCTGGAGTGCAGTGGCGTGATCTCGGCTCACTGCAATCTCTGCCTCCCGGGTTCAAGCAATTCCCCTGTCTCAGCCTCCCAAGTAGCTGGGACTACAGGCACGCAACACCATGCCCAGCTAATTTTTTGTATTTTAGTAGAGACAGGGTTTCACCATATTGGCCAGGATGGTCTTAATCTCCTGACCTCGTGATCCGCCCGCCTTGGCTGCTCAAAGTGATGGGATTACAGGCGTGAGCCACTGCACCTGGCCATACTGTTATTTTTACATTAAAATAGTGCAGCTGGGTCCAGGTCTCTGTAGTTCCACTGGAGGTGATGATATGTCTGATAATTATTTCTCTTAATTTCCCACAAAAGACAAAAAGGGTGAGACTACCTCCATAGATCCAACCGGGCAGATTACCAAGATTCCAAGCTCCCAGGCAGGGTTGCTGTGAACAGCAGGGGACTTTGGCTTTCTCTCAGGCCAGAAAATGTATAAAAATAATCAGTCCATTCCCAGGCCATTGTAGAAACCTGCCGGCTACTCTCATGGAGTGATCCAATCCTACCTGTAGGGTCACAGTCATGGTGCCCATGATATTCAAAGCGCTTGTACAATAAATGTTCCCATGAAAGATGAATGAGAAAGGCCATTTTATGAAGTACTGAGGTTCCCTTCACATGGTGTTCAAGTGGAGGCTGGAGGCTCAAGTCCAAGGCATTGCAGAAGACAGTTCCTGCTCTGGTTGAAAAGATTCCTTCCTGCTCTGAGAATCTCCAACTAGTTGCAAATCATCATTGACAAATAGAATGTAGGGAAGCGTTGTGTCATGAGACAAGCTGTATTTAAAGTCAACTCTGATAAAACAGTCCATCAAAAGAGACTGAAAGCTGACAGTCTTTTTGGAGCCAAAGAACAAAGAACATTTTGTGGCTCCTCTGTTGCTGCCATAAATGCTCAATCCCATTACTCTCATGTATGTTGTGGGTGTCGTCAGGACCTTCAAGCACTAGGCTTGACTCTATGGGGGACAGAGGATAACATGGCTCCTAGAGGAAGGAGAACTGGAAAAGAGGGATCTGCAATCATCGATCTGGTGTTGGAAGGTAGATGGCTCCATTTTGCTCTGAAAGGAAAGGGGTTTTTAGTCAGATTACAAGAATGTTTCCTCACAGCTCAAAAATAAAGTATGCAGTGTTCAGCAAAATCTGAGAAACAGGCATCGACAGTTTTAGCTTGCTTTGTCAAGATTCTCTTAGTACTTGACAAACTTTAGCTCAAATTTGTAAACTCTATAAGATAAAAAGCAGGAACTCACAGTCTGTATAATTATTGAGAGAGGGATGTCATTGTAAAAAAATTTTTTGTTTGTTTCACTATCATTTATTGGATTAGGATTAGTGCTGTACTTTATCTATAAAGAAAACATTAACAACCCATTAACTCTCTGAGCTGATTTTCTTTTCTTTTCTTTTCTTTTTTCTTTTTTGAGACAGAGTCTCGCTCTTGCTGCCCAGGCTGGAGTGCAATGGAGCGATCTTTGCTCACGGCAACCTCCGCCTCCCAGGTTCAAGCGATTCTCCTGTCTCAGCCTCCTGAGTAGCTGAGATTACAGGCATGTGCCACCACGCCCAGCTAATTTTTTTTTTTTTAATATTTTCAGTAGAGGCAGGGTTTCACCATGTTGGCCAGGCTGATCTCGAACTCCTGACCTCAAGTGATCCGCCTGCCTCGGCCTCTCAAAGTGCTGGGATTACAAGTTGTAAGCCACCACGCCCGGCCTCTGAGCTGATTTTCTAGTAAAAGGGTTGGTTTTACTTTGATCTAACAACATGCTTTTGTACAGTTATCACCTGAATTGGAGTTGAGGTCTATGTCTATGAAGGAAAACCAAACTTCTGGTCCACTTTGGGTTCAAAGCATGGTCTCATCGGTACTATCCTGTGATCAATTTGAGCAATTAGTGAAGCCAGAGCCAGGAGATAACCTTACCAGGCTCTATTGTAAGCTCTATGAAAACAGGGATCGTATCTGTCTTGTTCATTGTTATATCCCAGCAACCAGTACAGTGCCTGGAGCACAGTAGGTCATTAATGTATACTTACTGAATGAATTTATGTTATTCCACATTATCAAGAGCCTATATATCTCCTACTTCTCCTCCCCTTTTCCTTACTCTAAGTCCCATTCCCTGAAGGTATCTACTCTTACATATTTAATGTTTTGAATAATGAATTTACAAGGAAAAGGACTTTCATATGCTTGGGATGAAAGAATGGTGGTCAAAATGGGAAAACTGACTGAAGTCTTGAAACAAAGGACACTGCCCCAGAAGTCAATAGTAATTAATAATAAAAAGATGGTTTGGAAAAAGACAAATCAAGATCCCCATATCTTCTCTGACCCAACTTCTAGGGGGACAGTTCCCCTGGACAGATGTACTAGTTTGTTGATGTCAGGCATCACCTATGAAAAGAGACCACTCTCCCTGTAAGCTTTATCCATGCTTTGTGTCCCCTACATGGTGGGAGGGTTGTCCCAGGTCCTTCTGTGATCCCAGCCTGAGAGCCAAGCCATTTCTGAATGGAGGAGGGAGCAGCAGGTGCAGAAAATAAAACTGGAGAGATGCAGGAGAGTCTGCAGCCCCCTGGATCCCTTCCATGTGCCTCTCACCTCGGGGCCTTCTTCTCCAGACTAGAACACCAACTCCAGCCAGCACAATGACAAGGACAATGGACCCAGAGACAGCTTTCATCACAAGAGGGATAGTTTCTGATTCTGAAAGCAAGCAAATGAGAAAAAATCCACAAGTCCCCTTTCCCTTCTGTGTTAACTTTCTGGGACTTTTGTCCCTGTGATCATCAGGAAACCCAACACCATTTTCCTTACTGTTGCTTCTCACTCATCAATCTGACCACTAATGGAATATCTGCTTGTGTTTTCTTGTGTTTAATTTTTTTTTTTTTTTTGAGACAGCGTCTCACTCTGTCGTCCAGGTGGAAGTGCAGTGGTGCCATTATAGCTCACTGCAGCCTCAACCTCCTGGGCTCAAGCGATCCTCCCACCTTAGCCTCCTCAGTAGCTGGGACTACAGGCGCATGCCATCATGCCCAGCTAATTGTTGTGTTTTTTGTAGAGATGAGATCTCAGTATGTTGCCCAGGCTGGTCTTGAACTCCTGGGCTCAAGCAGTTCACTCGCGTCAGCCTCCCAAAGTACTGGCATTACAGGAGTGAGCCACTGCGCCTGGGTTGTGTTTTTTTGTTTTTTGTTTTTTTGTTTTTTTGAGAGGGAGTCTTGCTCCCTTCGCACAGGCTGGAGTGTAGTGGTGCGATCTCGGCTCACTGCAACCTCCACCTCCCAGGTTCAAGCGATTCTCCTGCCTCAGCCTCCAGGAGCTGGGATTACAGGCATGCGCCACCATGCCTGGCTAATTTTTGTATTTTTAGTAGAGATGGGGTTTCACCATGTTGGCCAGGCTGGTCTCGAACTCCTGACCTCAAGTGATCCACCTGCCTCAGCCTCCCAAAGTGCTGGGATTACAGGCATGAGCCACTGCACCCATTCGTGTTTAATTTTTAAATTTTTAATTTGTAATGTAGTAAATAGCAATAGATATAACCCACATCAGCAAAAGCTCTCTGGGGTCCTCAATAATTTTTTAATAGTATGAAGGCGTCCTGGTTCCAAAAAGTGTGAGAACCACTTATTTAAAAGACCCATTCTAAGGCACACTGAGTGAGGCAGTGATCTATCCTCCCCTCCCTGGCAGCGAGCATGGTTTCCTGCTCACCCCTTTCTCCAGGCTCTCTCCCTAGACAGCCACGATCCCCGTCCTTACCCTGGGGGACCTGAAGAACCATGTGGACACCGCAGTGCTCCACATGACAGGAGTAAAGGTTGCTGCTCTGAGGATCAAGCTCAATTGATGCCCACGCCTGATAGGTTCCATCCCCACTGGGAAGAATGTCTCCATAATCAATTTCTTGGACAATTTCTTCCCCGTTTTTCATCCATGTCATGTAAATTTCTGGGGGGTAAAAGCCATGAGCTTTGCAGAAGAGAGCTGTAACCCCTGGAAAAGTTTCTTTGCGATTTACTCTGACCAGTGGGGGCTCTAGGAAGAAGAAGCTAAAGTTAAATCAAAGTGCCTTATGTACTGAGCATATAATATTAGAACTTGGCAACTGGCTTTCCTAATTTTTCTTTATTGCAGGAAACTTCTAAAGCTAAGAATGACCCAGAACTCAGGTTCATCAACAACAAACGTATTTACGTATACCTTCCATGATGGCAAGGTGCTAGGTAGTGAAGAATGTGGAGTTGGCCCATGCTCCATCCTCTAAGGGGGGAAAGTCATACAGCTTTGACTGTTTGGAAAGTGTGCTGGGGTTGTTTACTAGTAACCTTTGAAATACCTTTATGTGTCAAGGAAAACTGACCCATAAAATGTGTAAGTGACTGTTCCCAATAAGTAAGTCAGCAATAGATTGGAGATTAGAACTCCTTGTTCTCATTTCTGTGTTTAGTGCACGTAAATAACACAGCCATCCCCACTCAGTTTTGGCTCCGAATTGCCTTGTGTACTTGCGCTGGCATTTTGATGACTGCCATCAGGTACAAACATATGTAGTAGATCATGCCATGGTTGTGCCTTCGAAGAAACTGATATCATAGAAGGGCTCCAGCAGTGACACCAAAGAAGTACCCACGTGTGACCTTGCTTCCTCATGACTACTCTTAATTTTCCATACAGTCCTGTCCTTAATGTTTCTTGCTGAAATTGGGTCAAACAGCCATACCGAGACCAAAGGCACTATCTGGGGGGGACTGCTTCCTGCTCATCTCTGACTTGCCTCCTGACCCCCACCTTATCATCGGCCAACCCAATACGGAGAAGAGCCTTCACTCCAACAATGCTTTCCTTGTCTCTTTACCGAGGCATGATATTTGGTAGTAGAAAAAGGCTTTCCAACATTAAAAGTAAAATAAATGCTACTAGGAGGGACTGTGCTTTTTGATAGGGCCTGTAAGAAATTAATCCAAGATCCTTTTCTAGGAATGTGTTTTTTCTTTTCTTTTTTTTTTTTGTTTGTTTTTTTAGGAGTGTGTTTTGACCAAAAGGTTGAAAATCCATTAGGACACTGAATGTAGACAGAGGCCTGGAGAGGGGAGCTTCCCATACTCTTCCCACACACATTGTATCTAGGAGTTTCCTGTAGCATCATACAGGTGTGATTAATTTTGAATAACAAGACCATACATGAAAAGTTCTATATGAACTAAAAGTTGACCAACTGAATCATATCTTTAAGGTATAAGAGGAGCTCTTTGCTGAAAGGAATCTTATCATTAATACTTTTTTTTTTTTTTAAATAGGGTCTTGCTCTGTGACCCAGGCTGATCATGATCATGGCTCACTGCAGCCTTGACCTTCCAGGCTCAAGAGATCCTCCCACCTCAGCCTCCTGAGTATCTGGGACTACAGTCATGTGCCACCATGCTCAGCTAATTTTTTTTTTAATAGAGACAGGGTCTCACAATGTTACCCAGGCCAGTCTTAAACTCCTGGCCTTAAGCAATCCTCCTGCCTCAGCCTCCCAAAGTGCTAGGATTACAGGCATGAGCCATCATGCCCAACCTCATTAATCCTTTAGTAAAGCAGAGACCTTCTGTTTGTCTTGGTAAATCCAGATTTTTACTCCTACTGGTGGTGTGTGAGCCCTTTGTTAACTAAACAGTTTGTAAGAATTGCTCTATCTCCCAAAGAATTTCCCAGCTTATCATTGACGGAATGGAAGAATTTGCCTCAATAGATCCCTAAAAACAAGGTGCCCTTGGAGGTACTCCACTCTGTCAAGACAAGGGGAACTGTCAAATCTTGTCAAGATGCTGCTCAAAAGTAACCAGGGAAAGTTTTCGTGGGGGCTCTAGCCATGAGATCACAATAGGCCAACTAAAGAGATGGCTTTCAGGATACAGTGGATATAACCTAGATTAAAAGAGTTACGTATAAAAACAGTTGTTCAGGCAATGTGGGAATGAGGCCTTCTCTTTCTCTTTACCTGTTCTTTGTAGGGTGTCTTTCCCATACTCCAGGAATCTCTTTAGCCAGGCAATACATTCTTCTTCCAGCCAATTCTTTTGATACAGCAACTCATGCTGATTGGCCTCCCATGCCTGCTTGATGGTGTGAGCCACATTATCTACAGCCAGCCAGGAGAGGGTGTCTTTATTGAAGATCAGGAAATCCTGCCCGTCATATGCATACTGCAGAAATCCTGTGGTGCTTCCATCCTCCAGCAGCTCACAGCCAATCATTCTCTGGTAAGTGTGAGACCCTGGAACACACACAGAAGCCCAGAGGGGTCCACACAGAGACAGAGGTGGGCTCTCAAGTGCTGGGAGCAGGGGCATGGCTGGAAGCATCCTTTGGTCTACATTATGTCACCCCCCAGGCCTGCCATGGCATCGCTGAGTCCCCAGGAGGTCCCCCTTATGGAAGCCCACCTGTCAGCAGGTATCTGTGAAGTACCTACTGCCTGTCAAAGGAGTGTGCTAATTCCCGCCTTGGGGAGTTATCCTGTAATGGGAATGACTGATAAACTTTGTGGCTATTCTGACTGCAGTGGAGGAGGGAGAGAGATGCAGGAGCCAGAAATACCCCTGGGAAAGTTACTGTCGATACTCATAAGCAAGTCACTAGGCCTGACTACCAGGAAGTGAGACGCAGAATGGGCAAATTTAGAATGGAAAAGGAGATGCATATCAGAAGCCTGAGTGGAAATGGGATGCAGATACGGATACAGAGATGGGGAAGAGTGGGTGGGGCAAATGACAGAGTGCTCCTGGGGGAGAGAGGGACAGTCCAGAAGATGCACAGGCAGATGGGAGGCCCTGAACTCCACCAACCTGATTCCTCAGGCTTTGCCAAAGCTACAGCAGGTGCAATTCAGCATCCGCTTATTGGAGGCCAGCCCAGGGGTCTCTGCGGGTTGGGGTGGGATGGGGGAAGCGTCTGTCTCTGCCGCATGCACACCTGAGTGATTGTAGTGCCTCTGTAGGCGCTTCAGTTCCACCTTGAACATCTGCTGCCAGCCCCTCAGCAGCTGAGTGTACCTCTCCCAGTGATCAGGCGCGAGGTTCTCTGCCATCCATGGGGCCCGTGGCTCCTTCTGCCGAGTGACACTGTCATATGTGGTGATAGGGTGCGAGTCCACGTACCCAACCGAAATAAATTCAGGGACCCCATGGATGGGATCCGAAACGCCCAGGCGAAAATATCTCAGAGAGTGCGTCCCTGGAAAGGAGGCAAAGAAGGAAGACATGTAGGGTCCCAGATGATCCAGATCCTTCAACTGCATTCATTTAGCCCCACACGAGTGCTCCCTACTCAGCTGTACCCAGGCCTCCACGCCCCAGCTGCCATTTCCTCTTACAGAACCACAGAACCCAGGAACCGGGGCCTGGACAGGACGTAAGAGCTCCAGACCAGTGACTTGGAGCCTTTCTCGTTCAGGTTTGCAAATGCAGGATGGAATTTTATAGGTAATCTCAACTTGTAGACAAAATATAGAGTGCTGCTATGGTTGTAGGGGGAAGGGAGAAGACCACTCATTGGGGATACAGGGGGAGCTGTCCCTGCGGGAGCCCTCGGGAACTCTGAAGGCTTGAAAACCCTGATGACGCAGCCTTCTTCTTTTACCAAAGAAGCCTCTGGTGAATAAATGAGGACCCCCACTCCACCTCTGTGTGTGCACGTGTGGGCATATACACACAGGCACACAAACACATGCACTGAGCATTTTTTTTTTTTTGAGATGGAGTCTTGCTCTGTTGCCCAGGCTGGAGTGCAATGGCACGATCTCTGTTCACTGCAACCTCCGCCTCCTGGGTTCAAGTGATTGTCCTGCTCCAGCCTCCCAGGTAGCTGAGATTACAGGCACACACCACCACGCCTGGCTAATTTTTTGTAGTTTTAGTAGAGTCAGTGTTTCATCATGTTGGCCAGGCTGGTCTCAAACTCCTGACCTCATGATCTGCACACCTCGGCCTCCCAAAGTGCTGGGATTATAGGCATGAGCCACTGCGCCTGGCCGAAATTTATTTATTTATTTTATTTTATTTATTTTTTTGAGATGGAGTCTTGCTCTGTTGCCCAGGCTGGAGTGCAGTGGCACAAACTCGGCTCACTGCAACCTCCGCCTACCGGGTTCAAGCAATTCTCTGCCCCAGCCTCCAAAATAGCTGGGATAACAGGCACTGGTCACCACGCCTGGCTAATTTTTTTGTATTTTTAGTAGAGACAGGGTTTCACCATCTTGCCCAGGCTGGTCTTGTACTCCTGACCTCGTGATCCACCCACCTCGGCCTCCCAAAGTGCTGGGATTACAGGCGTGAGCCACCGCGCCTGGCCTATTTATTTTATTTATTTTTTATTTTTTATTTTTTAGAGACAGAGTCTCACTCTGTCGCCCAGGCTGGAGTGCAGTGGCATGATCTTGGCTTACTACAACCTCTGCCTTCTGGGTTCAAGTGATTCTCCTGCCTCAGCCTCCTGAGTAGCTGGGACTACAGGCGCGTGCCACCATGCCCAGCTAATTTTTGTATATTTTTAAAGTAGAGATGGGGTTTCACCATATTGACCAGGCTGGTCTCAAACTCCTGACCTCGTGATCCGCCTGCCTTGGCCTCCCAAAGTGCTGGGATTATGGGCGTGAACCACCGTGCCCAGCCTATTTATTTATTTTTTTGAGACAGAGTCTCACTCTGTTGCCCAGGCTGGAGTGCAGTGGCGTGACCTTGGCTCACTGCAACCTCTGCCTCCTGGGTTCAAGTGATTCTCCTGCCTCAGCCTACTGAGTAGCTGAGATTACAGGTATGTGCCAGCATGCCTGGCTAATTTTTGTATTTTTAGTAAAAACAGGGTTTTGCCATGTTAGTCAGGCTGGTCTCGAATTCCTGACCTCATGATCTGCCCACCTCGGCCTCCCAAATTGCTGGGATTACAGGTGTGAGCCACCATGGCCGGCCGAAATTTTTTTTTTTTTTAAAGCACAGTGCTTTTCCTATTATGTCAAACCACTGCTGTTAACCATTTTCTTATTCTTTTTCTACTTACTAGTTATAAGGATTGTAATAAGGGTTAAAAGTAAACCAAAATGAAACAAAACTGTTTGGCCCTCCCTGCTGTTCCCACATTGAACTTCTCTCCGCTTGTCCAAGAAGCTTAGGGCCTGACGGAGACAAAGTGGTTTCAAGGTGGCATTATGGGTGGTGGTGTGTCCGCAATTGGTGGGTTCTTGGTGTCACTGACTTCAAGAATGAAGCCGTGGACCCTCGCGGTGAGTGTTACAGCTCTTAAGGTGGCGCGTCTGGAGTTTTTTCCTTCTGATGTTCGGATGTGTTTGGAGTTTCTTCTTTCTGTTGGGTTGGTGCTCTCGCTGGCTCAGGAGTGAAGCTGCAGACCTTCGCAGTGAGTGTTACAGCTCTAAAGGCGGTGCGTCTGGAGTTGTTCGTTCCTCCTGGTGGGCTCGTGGTCTCGCTGGCTTCAGGAGTGAAGCTGCAGACCTTCGCCATGAGTGTCACAGCTCATAAAGGCAGTGTGGACCCAAAGAGTGAGCAGCAGCAGGATTTATTGCAAAGAGCGAAACAACAAAGCTTCCACAGTGTGGAAGCGGACCCGAGACGGTTGCCACTGCTGGCTCGGGCAGCCTGCTTTTATTCTCTTATCTGGCCCCACCCACATCCTGCTGATTGGTAGAGCCCAGTGGTCTGTTTTGACAGGGCACTGATTGGTGCGTTTACCATCCCTCAGCTAGACACAAAGGTTCTCCACGTCCCCACCAGATTAGCTAGATACAGTGTCCACACAAAGGTTCTCCAAGTCCCCACCAGAGTAGCTAGATGCAGAGTGTCGATTGGTGCAGTCACAAACCCTGAGCTAGACACAGGGTGCTGATTGGTGTTTACAAACCTTGAGCTAGATACAGAGTGCCGATTGGTGTATTTACAATCCCTTAGCTAGACATAAAGGTTCTCCACGTCCCCACCAGACTCAGGAGCCCAGCTGGCTTCACCCAGTGGATCCCCCACTGGGGCTGCAGGTGGAGCTGCCTGCCATTCCCGCGCCGTGCGCCCGCACTCCTCAGCCCTTGGGTGGTCATGGGACTGGCGCCGTGGAGCAGGGGTGGCGCTCATCGGGGAGGCTCGGGCCGCACAGAGGCCCATGGAGGGGGTGGGAGGCTCAGGCATGGCGGGCTGCAGGTCCCCAAGCCCTGCCCCGCAGGAAGGCAGCTAAGGCCCGGCGAGAAATCGAGCTGCAGCGCTGGTGGGCTGGCACTTCTGGGGGACCCAGTACACCCTCCGCAGCCGCTGGCCCGGGTGCTAAGCCCCTCATTGCCCGGGCCGGCAGGGCCGGCTGCCCCCAGTGCAGGGCCCGCCAAGCCCACGCCCACTTGGAACTCCAGCTGGCCCGCAAGCGCCGCCCGCAGCCCGGGTTCCCGCTCGCGCCTCTCCCTCCACACCTCCCTGCAAGCTGCGGGAGCGGGCTCCGGCTTTGGCCAGCCCAGAAAGGGGCTCCCACAGTGCAGCGGTGGGCTGAAGGGCTCCTCAAGTGCCGCCAAAGTGGGAGCCCAGGCAGCGGAGGCGCCAAGAGCGAGCTAGGGCTGTGAGGACTGCCAGCACGCTGTCACCTCTCAGTGTTATGGGATCCAAGCTGGTGTGGGCCCTTAGGAGAGACTTCCAGAGAAGGTGATGTCTTAGGGAGGTCTCAGGGACAGGTAGGAGGTGAGTAGGCAGAGGGGCTGGGAGGGGATGCAGGAGGGCGGGCAGGGGGAGCAGGGCAGAGACCACATGTGCAAGCAGGAGGTTCGAGAAGGCGGGGCGTGCATGGGAACCAAATGGCCTGGGACGTCTGGAGCACAGTGACAGGCGTCACGGGCAGAGGCGATGCCTGGGAGGTGGAGCCCAGGCTGAGAAGGCTACGTACCCCATGCCATCCCCAAAAGCTGGCAAATAGAAGGTATGCAGCCACAATGGCTTTCTTCCCCTACTCTGCCTGCCGGTGTCTGCAGATGCCCATGTCCAAGCCTTTTGTCCTGTTATCTCCTGCCATTCTGACCCATCTAAATCCTTCCCAGTCCTCAAAACCCACCTCCAAAAACATTTCATCCCTAAAACAGGATCATCCCTAAAATTTCATGGCTAAATTGAGATGACAGATGGAGGCTCACATACCAGAGATCCAGATATTTAAAAGGAATAAATCAATCTAACAAACTTGAAATATGTTCTATCCCCCCACCTTGAGAGATTGCCCTTTGTATGGCTTCGAAGACCAAGTTCAAATTAAAAAATCTCACACTGTGTGAAGTTCTGGGCCTGAATGGGGCGGCACAGAGAAAGCTGGTGTCTCCCTCCAGTCCCCGGCCCTCAGCCTGAGACTCACCTCTTTTTCTTCCTGTTTCTTGCTCCTTCCAGCACTGCCAAGGGCCTCCCACAATTAAACACCTCTACTTTTTTATTCAGGCTCAGCCACAAACTGCCTCTTGTCTGAGCTTGTCCTGGGCTTAAGTGATCCTCCCACCTCTTGGCCACCCCTCAGGCCTAGCAAGGCCCTCAAGGGCAGCCAGTCCACCTTTAGGAGGATGGGCCAAAGTGCGAGTTTGTTGTGTAAACCTCAGCAGCTCTGAGTCAGCTGAGTGGGGAACTCCAGGTTCCTGGGTGCCTGGAGTCTGGTCTAGAGTGGAGGGGCCCAGACACAGGGTTACCACCTCCCCTCAGCCTCACGCACTCCTCGCTCTGTGGGAAAGGATGTGGGTAGCAGAGGGCCAGAGTGGGGCTCTCTGAATGTGGGGCCATATCCAGGGGCTTCTCTTGCCTGTGTCTAAGAGCTGTACTACACAACACTTCCCCAGTCTTTCCAGATTGCCCACCCTGCTGCTGCCATCACCTTTAGGACCTCCCCTACATTCAGATCTTCTAACCTGGCCCTTGCCACTATAGAGAATCTTGCAAGGGTGAATACCACTTAATGATATTCATTCCTTCCTCCTCATTTATAAGCATATAGTTAAGAAAAAAGATCAGGCCGGGCGCAGTGGCTCACGCCTGTAATCCCAGCACTTTGGGAGGCCGACGCGGGCGGATCATGAGGTCAGGAGATCGAGACCAACCTGGCTAACATGGTGAAACCCCGTCTCTACTAAAAATACAAAAAATTAGCCAGGCGTTGTGGCAGGCACCTGTAGTCCCAGCTACTTGGGAGGCTGAGGCAGGAGAATGGTGTGAACCCGGGAGGCGGAGCTTGCAGTGAGCCAAGATCACGCCACTGCACTCCAGCCTGGGCGACAGAGTGAGACTCTGTCTCAAAAAAAAAAAAAAAAAAAAGATCAGACAAAAAAAAAAAATCAGCTCACAAAATAGTTGGATTAGCTTCTGTGCTACAAGTTTGTTTATATTTTTCTTTTCTCTAAAACTGCTTATGAAATAACTCATAATGTGCAGGTTATCTTTCAGAACTGACCACCCCAAGGCCAGGGTACCCTTACCTTGCATACTAGGAAAAACAAGAGGCCCTGAGAGGTATCTCCCAGAGCAACTGATTGTACTAGTTAGTGTATGTATGTGTGTGCATATGTGTGTGTGTGTATGACAGGGTTTTACTCTGTTGCCCAGCTGGAGTGCAGCGGCATGATCACAGCTCACTGTAGCCTTGAATTCCTGGGCTTAAGTGGTCCTCTCACCTCAGCCTCCTGAGTAGCTGGGATTATAAGCACGTCACCACTTCTTTTTAATAGAGACAGGGTCTGTGTTGCCCAGGCTGGTCTCAAATTCCTGGCCTTAAGTGATCCTCCCACTTTGGCCTCCCAAAGTGCTGGGATTAGAGATGTGAGCCACCACGCCCAGCAATTAAAATCATTGTTAGCACTTCTTTCTCCTTGCTCCTGGAGCTGGGGTGTAGCAGTTTGGCAGGGTTCAGAGTAGGTATCCCCGCCCCATGGGCTCCTCCCTCACAGGTGTTATCCTGCATGTCAGCTGCAATACTGAACAGGATGGAGGCTGGCCTCCCACAGGCTGGGGCAGCATAAGGTCCCAATGTCCCTCTGTATTGCTTTGACCTTTTACTTCCCCCTTCCCTTCCTGTGGTGGGTGAGGGCTTGGGTTGGGAGGGAAGACAGTGGAAGCCTCTGGGGTAGTCATGAGAGCCTCTTCATAAAAGTGTTGGTTCTTATGCAAACAAGAGCCAGAGATTGCATCAGAGCATGAGTTCTGTCGTAAAACCAATAGCTACCAGATTCTGCCTTCTGTTTCCCTCTGCTTACTACCTTCTACCTGCTTCTCAATCTTAAAGCACTTAAGAACAGGGACTTTGCTTTTTTCCTTTGTATTTCCTGCAAAGCTTAGCACAGGGAGCTTGGCACATGGTAGTAGCTTGGTAAATATTGGGTGAATTAAATTGTTGGTGAAACACTTTATTTCTGTGGTTTGGAATAATGAAATATGCTGAAATGAATATGAATCTATTTAACCTGGATCTTTTTTGAGACAGAGTCTCATTCTGTCGCCCAGGTTGGAGTGCAGTGGCGTGATCTCGGCTCACTGCGGCCTCTGCCTCCCTGCTTCAGGCAATTCTCCCTGCCCCAGCCTCCCAAGTAGCTGGGATTACAGGTGCCCACCATCACGCCTGGCTAATTTTTGTATTTTTTTTTAGTATAGACGGGTTTTTGCCACGTTGGCCAGGCTGGTCTTGAACTCCCGACCTCAGGTGATCTGCCTGCCTTGGTCTCCCAAAGTGCTGGGATTACAGGCGTGAGCCACCGCACCTGGCCTAAAAAATATTTTTGATTTGGCCGGGCGCGGTGGCTCACGCCTCTAATCCCAGCACTTTTGGAGGCCGAGGTGGGTGGATCACCTAAGGTCAGGAGTTCAAGACCAGCCTGACCAACATGGAGAAACCCCATCTCTACTAAAAATATAAAATTAGCCAGGCATGGTGGCGCATGCCTGTAATCCCAGCTACTAGGGAGGTGAGGCAGGAGAATCGCTTGAACCTGGGAGGTGGAGGTTGTGGTGAGCCGAGATCGCGCCACTGCACTCCAGCCTGGGCAACAAGAGCGAGACTCCATCTCAAAAAAAAAAAAAAAAAAATTATCTTTGATTCAAGGGAAGGCTGGTGAATGGAGAGTTGAACTGCAATCTGGGATCTGCAAAGGGTACTATATATATTCTGCAATTGATTTTGAAATAGTTCTATTTTTTCACATCTGGAAAGTTTTGTGGCTACACTGGAGGTACACAACTGTCTAAAGAAGGAGGACCCAAAAGGAGGAACAAGTTGTGAATATTAGTTCTCACACTTCCTTAATATTGATTTGTATATCCAATGCTTCTTCTGTGCCAGCCACTCTTCTAGGCCCTAAGCTTGTACCAGACCAAACAGATAAAAATGTCTGCCCTCATGGAGTCTACACCCTAGTCGGGGGAAGGGGAGAAGACAGACTAGAAAATAAAATATATAATTTTTTTAAAGTACAGTGAAGAAAAATAAAACTGCAAAGAGGAATGGGCAACACTATTTAAAAAAGGAAGGCGTATTAAGGAAGGTTTCCCACAAAGCTGAATTCTGAGCAAGTGCCTGCAAGGAGTTGGGGAGACAGGCAGGTGTCTGGGGACAGCAGTCTGGACAAGAAGGGCCATGCAAAGGCCCCTGGAAAGAACATGCCTGGCACATTCCAGGAGCAGCACAAAGGCCTGTGGCTGGAGTTGAGGGAGTGAGGGGAAAAGAAAGAGGGAGGAATCACTTCCATAGTTTTTCATGGGAAAAAATCCCCACGGAGAGCAGACTCCAGACAGAGAATGTGGAGAGGAGAAAAAAGAAGGAAGAAAAAAAGATGCTGTGTTGCTGAGCTAAGCTGGGTTGGTGTAGAACATCCCCTGGAATCTGGGTTTTCTATTTTTATGATCTCTGAGGTCTACATTCCTGATAGATGCCAACAAGCAAAAAAACCTCCAGTATTAACAACTTGGGGCATTAGTGCCCAATAGCAGGATTTATTCCAGTTAAGTATCACCAGCATCATCTCCAAACATAATATTTACAATTCATGTAACTTTGCTTTCTTATAAAAATGTAATTTTCACAAGAATTTGCATTATCTGAAGTTAAAAGAGGTAGATAGAGAGAAATATGGTCTGTTGACAATACTGTCCAAGTAAGTATTGTGCTTTATTTATTTATTTATTTATTTATTTATTTATTTATTTATTGAGACAGAGTCTCACTCTGTCACCCGGGCTGGAGTGCAGTGGCACAGTCTCTGCTCACTGCAACCTCTGCCTCCCAGGTTCAAGCGATTCTCCTGCCTCAGCCTCCCAAGTAGCTGAGATTACAGGCGCCTGCCACTACACCCAGCTAATTTTTTTATTTTTAGTAGAGATGGGGTTTCACCACGTTGGCCAGGCTGGTCTTGAACTCCTACCTCATGATTCCCCCTGCCTTGGCCTCCCAAAGTGCTGGGATTACAGACATGAGCCACCGTGCCTGGCTGTGTCTTTCTTTCTTTCTGGGTTTTTTTTTTTTTTAACTTCAATCTAATTCTGATGCCTGGTTTTGAAACAGTTGTTCTCCACCAGCCAGCCTTGACTTCAAAGTCCAGGCACCTAAAGGCTGGACTTGCTTTTTCAGTCACACCCATCCACCACTGGTTCAGCCCAGCGTGGCTCTGCTCCAGGACATCACAGTCCCTTCCTCTTCATTTGCCATGGGCCCAGTTACCCATCTGGTGCCTCCACAGGAACAAGTCATGCTTGCTCCTTAGCTGGGCCTTTAAAATGTTACCTCTGCTGTGGTGGGAAGTTGATTGACACATGTTCAGTCAGTAACTCACAACAGAAAAGATGAGGAAAAGTCCAGGTACCCTCTCTCTCCTAGTACATTAAAACTTGTGATAATTTATATCCCACCAGGATTTGTTGCAGACATAATCAGATTTCGAATCATTTGGAAAGGCCAATATTTTACCATTTTTGACCTATAAAAATGGCAATTTCATATCATTTGATCTAATCTTCCATTTCTCTTTTCTCGCCCTAATAATTTTGAAATTAAGTCTCTCTCTCCCTTTCCATGAACAGATAGATCATCAGCATCAACTCACTTATTAAGCTGAAATATACAATTTAGAATTTGGTATTCTGTCTAAACCAGTCAAGCTACTTCTCAAAAGGCATCTCCTGCCCAGTCTCATCAGCTTCTGACAGATAGTGCTGGAGAACCCGAACGACACAACCAAAAACTCTTAGGCTAGGTGCAATGGCTACTTGATAGTTCTAAATCATGTTCCCTTTAACCTGTCCATTAACCAGTTGGGCCATTCTTACAAAAGGCTGTGAAAATCACTGGATTGTAAAATAATTGATGAAGTGTTTTCACTTCATCCATGAGGGCAATTTTTCTTTTCTTTTTTCTTTTTTTTTTTTTTTTGAGATGGAGTCTCGCTCTGACACCCAGGCTGGAGTGCAGTGGCATGATCTTGGCTCACTGCAACCTCTGCCTCCTGGGTTCAAGCAATTCTCCTGCCTCAGCCTCCAGAGTAGTTGGGATTATAGGCGCCCACCACTACACTCAGCTAATTTTTGTATTTTTAGTAGAGACAGGGTTTCACCATGTTGGTCAGGCTGGTCTCGAACTCATGACCTCAGGTGATCCACCCACCTCAGCCTCCCAAAATGTTGGGATTACAGGCGTGAGCCACCGCGCCCGGCCTCATGGGGGCAATTATTTATTTAGTGTCTACTATGTACAAGGAATTGGAGGCAATGTTAGGAAGAGAAGAACAAATCAAATACCAGCTCTTTCCTCCAGGAACTTACAGTATTATTGGGGAGCTAAAGCACATAACAAATAAATGAATTCCACCACACACGGCAACAAGCAGCAAGCGCCAGAAAAGAGTACCAATGGAGTGCTCCAGCCACTAGGAGAAGAGAGACCGTGGTCCCATGAGAAGGGATCCACTGGGAAATGTTCCAAGGAGGTGGCAGATCAGATGGGCCTTCAATGAGGCATAAAGGGCAGCAGCATCTTAATCATAGTCATCACAACTGTATTTGTTTATTGAGCACATACCTTGTGTTAGGTACCATTTTAAGCCCTTGATAAGCATGGGTTTCACTTATTCTTCTAACAAACTTTTGAGGTAGGTCTTATAATTCCAACCCACAGATAGAAAATAGGTGCAGAGAGGCCGGGTGTGGTGGCTCATGCCTGTAATCCCAGCACTTTGGGGGGCCAAGGCAGGCGGATCACCTGAGGTCAGGAGTTCAAGACCAGCCTTGCCAACACGGAGAAACTCTGTCCCTACTAAAAATGCAAAAAATTAGCTGGGTGTGGTGGCGCATGCCTGTAATCCCAGCTACTTGGGAGGCTGAGGCAGGAGAATCGCTTGAACCCAGGAGGCGGAGGTTGTAGTGAGCCGGGATCACGCCATTGCACTCCAGCCTGGGCAATAAGAGCAAAACTCCATCTCAAAAAAAAAGAAAAGAAAATAGGTGCAGAGAGATTAATTGCCCAAGATCATCCTCAGAATCCATAAGTGAAGGAACCAGGAATCACACTGTGATCTCTCCATGGGAAGTCCCTCTACCTTGAGACTACCCAACCCTCCCTAGTGTAGGGGAAGCTTTCCAGGCCAGGCTTCTAGCCCCTGGATTATCACTGCTCTCTCCTGCCCCCTTGTGTCAAGGATGACTCACTGCCTCTGATTTCCCAGTCCCTGGGGCCACAGGCTCCAGACCTTCCTACACACAGGTGGCCGTGAGTCCTGATTGGATAACCAGGTCAACACAGTCTGATTATTTATTGGCTCTCTCAAGAAGTCCAATGCCTTAATAAGGTCAAAATGATTATGATTCCTGGGAATGACTCTTTAGAATTTCGAGCATCGTGGGAATGAGGGGAGAAGTAGGTGGCAATATTTTTAGTTAAGGGGACCTTTGGACACATCTCAGGCCATGTTCATGGATGGTTCTATGTGCAGCAAGAACCATTAGTCCCCTCTCCTAATGACATGTCTAACTAACTACAGGAACTTAGAGCATAAAAGTGGCGACTGTGACAAGTTTGGCTTGTGAGCTACTCTTCTGAGGCTACCCTTTTGAAGGTTGCCAATGTCTCACTTCATATAGGTATATTCTTTTCTGAATGTCCAATAAGCACAGTCCTAGCTGCTGGAAACAGAGCAATGAACACATGAAAGTCCCAGCCCTGTGAGATAATTTCTAGACAGGAGATTGGCAATAAATACATATATAATACAAGGTCAGGTGGAGATAAAGATTATGAAGAAAAGTAAAGCAGAGAAAAGAGAGTGTGGAGAGGAGAAGGCCTGATCTTTTAGATAGAGGGACCACAGCAGGTGGCATTTGAGCAGAGATGTGAATGGAGTAAGAAAGTGAGCCCTGTAGGACTATGTGGAGTTTTGGAAAACGAATGAATGAGCTCTGGTGTCTTTTTTCCCTCAGTACTCTCTGTACACAATGATGACTATATGTCTTATGTTTCCCAGAAAATCCCGATTTTATAAATTTTATTTTTCTAAAATGATCCTTTGAAGTTATAACAAAATGTGACTTAATATGTATACTCTTGAAAGATTTTCCCCGATAAATATAAATTCATACATCAGAAAAAACATCCTTTGTCATCTTTCTCAATTTGAGTTCCCTAAAATAAGTGTTCAAAGAGTCATGTGTTTGATCTTTAACTTAGGCTCCTTTCCTCCAGCTCTTAGCAATACTGTGGGGTAAGAGGATTGGGGTCAAGTGAGAATAGACAGATATTTCAACTAGTCAAAAGAAAAATCTACAAATTAGTTGAATTTCTCAAGTTTAGATAGATTCAATGCCAATTAAGAAGAGGGCCTTAGGGGAGTGAAACATTGTCTTGGAGAAATTTCTATGGCATATACCTTGGCAACAGCTCCATGGAAACAGACTGAAGTCTATCTAATAAAGTCTAAAGAAAAAGCCCATATTTTCTCATGTTAACTCTTTGAACTCAAGGTCACTTCTAAGCAGATAATATGCAAGTCTGTTTTTTAACAGTAACCCAGTTGGCAGCTTAGGGAGCTTATCCATCATCAGACCTCGCCTGTGAAGGACTCCACCATTCATGAAGTAGATTGATATAGCAGATTTATACAGCCATAAAATTATGAGTAATATCAAGAGACTGACCTTGGTTATGTCGAGATGAAACATACAAATCACATATGGCAATGCATGAGAAATCTCATGCCAGCCCCCAGTCTGATTACACCCACCCATATCGCCAATTCACAGTTTCACACAGGCTGAAATGAAGAACAAGATGAGTTGTAAAAGCATGAAACACCTTTTTAATACAAATCCTGCAACTACAGTAAGCCACAGTTTTGAATTTGCAGTCGTTATTACTGCCCGAGCTCTCTATGGCTCCCAGTCAAATAACTGTGATTTCTTAGGGACATTACCTCCGAACATAAATTCACTCAGCAAACATTTACTAAGTGCCTGTTGGGCACTAGGTATACCAGAGAAATAAGAAAAAAATGAAGATATCTCTTTCTGTCTTTAAGGAGAGCCTCAAAGAGAAGATTTTTGTAAATGGAAAATTACAGAACTGTGAACAGGAGCCATGGGAGCACAAAGGAAGGAGGAGTCAACTGCAGGCTGTGGAGTTGATGAAAGCAACACACTGAAAGTGATATTGGAGTTATGTTGACATTTCCTGGAGTAATGACCCACAACCCTGCAGTATCTCTTCCCCGTGTTTCCCCATCTATTACTGGTATATAGCTCCCACTCAGGGCTAGCACTAGGCATAAATATCAAGTAGACTGAGTCTTCTTTCATAATCTCATATCCTTTTCCAGCCAATATCCCTCAAAGCCCAGGAATGTTCAGTTAGGGTCCTAGCAGGAAACAGCCTTCAAGCCAGATGGGTCATGTGAGGAGACCTTAATGAAGGGACTCCTTGCAGAGATATGGTCAAGGTTAACGGAACAAACAAGGATGATGGGCATCTGCAGGCTAACAACTATGGGAAGCCATTATCACCCCTAGGGCTTAAGAGATAAGAATAGCAAATACCGTTACTGAAGCCCAATGGGAGCTAGAACCATGAAGAAGGGGTTATTCAGGGAAGACAGCATTACAGAAGAACATAGCTACTGCCAAAGACATCACAGAAAGTGGGGAAGGAGCAAGAAAGATGTATCCCAGCCTCTCTTTCCTCCCTGCTCTCTGACATCTCTCCTTTCAGTGTCTCCCATTGTATGAACCCAAGCAGAAATCAGCTTGCAAGAGAGTCTAGGTGATGCAGTCTAGCAGTCAGCCTCAAGGACACAGAACAGAACAGAGAAGGATGCACTCTAAGGAGTCAGAAGGAGAACAGCCAGCACCAAGTGACCTTCCCTTGCCTTTATAACTTACTTGTTTTATTTCCTGTCCCCCCAATTATCAAAGTGACAAGTCTTCACACCCAAAGGAGCAATGACATTGTGGAACAGCCCTGGACCGAGGGCCAGAAGATCTGCAGTCTCCTTCAGGTTGCTCCTTATGTGAGCGTGGTCACTCTCTAGGCCTAGAGAAAAATCTAGGCCTCATCTTTAAATGGGGATATTTTCTTCACCTACTACAAATAGTCAGTGAGATTGTCATAGGAGATAATATGTTTAAGGAATATTATTCCATATTATTGGAGAGTTCTTTGAGAATCACATGCAGGTAATATATAAGCTTTATTATTTCCAAAAATATCACCCTTTGCCTCTCTCCTCCTTTCCTCTTTCATCTTCTGCCTCTTACCCTCACCCCCAATCTTTCCCATAAATGATGACACTTTCTGGATTAAATTTTCATGGAAGCAGAGACTATGTTTGTCTTGTTCGCTGCCATATCCCCCAAAGTGCCTGGCACATAGTAGGCCATCAATCAATATTTGAACAATTAATATATGGATTTTTTTTTTTTGAGATGGAGTCTCACTCTGTCACCCAGGCTAGAGTGCAGTGGCATGATCTCGGCTCACTGCAACCTCCGCCTCCTGGGTTCAAGTGATTCTCCTGCCTCAGTCTCCCGAGTAGCTGGGATCACAGGTGCGCACTGTGCACAGCTAATTTTTTGTATTTTTAGTAGAGATGGGTGTGCCGAGCTAATTTTTTGTATTTTTAGTGAGATGGGGTTTCACTATGATGGCCAAGCTGGTTTCAAACTCCTGACCTCAAGCGATCCGTCTGCCTCGGCCTCTCAACGTGCTAGGATTACAGGTGTGAGCCACCACTCCCAGCCATATGATTTAAAATTTTTTTATTTGTATAAATTTATGATGTACACATGCAATTTTGTTATAGCATAGATTGTGTAGTGGTCAAGTTGGGGCTTTAAGGTATCCATCACCCAAGTAACACACATTGTACCCATTAAGTAATTTCTAATCATCCACCCCCCTCGCCCTTCCAAATCTCCATGGTCAGTCATTCCACTCTCTATGTGCATGGGTGATTTGAAAGAACTCCTTCCTCTCATGTTCATCAGTCACACCTATGGTGGTGGCCAAGTCTAAGTTCTGGACACTGCCCACCAGTACCAGTCCTCAGCCCAGGGAGCAAGTGATTAGGGCAGAGAAGCCTGGTGGTTCTAGCCCATGGGCCCTTTCCCCTATTTGAGGCAACAGAAGGCATTTGCTTCCCCAGTGACTTGAGCTCCCCGAATAATGAAAAACTCTCCCTTCTACTTGATTAATACTTCTCACAGTCAGTAAACAAACCCAGAGCCATGGTTTTATCTTTCTTGGATCTTTTATTACAGGTAGGGCTTGTGTTGAGGAAAAACATAAATAAACCTGAACAATGGATCTACTCCACTGTTAATGCCCCTGAAACTCTGACTACATCCTCATGAGACTCTGGAAGTTAGAAAAGAGGAGAAACAAAAGTAAAAGAAAAAATATGAGCAGAAAAGAAAGGAGGCCATGCTCAGAGGGAAAGTGAGGAAGTTCCAGAGTCTTTCTAGAACGGCTCCCCCTCCCTCAGAAGGTGGTGACATCAAAATCCTACAAATATGAACTGGGAAACTGTTCAGGCAATCCATTGCTCCTGGAGTCTGAGTGTAATACATACACGTTTCTGCCCCTGGCTTCTATATTTTTCACCACAAGTTTTAGGAAGAAAAGCTGTGCCTTCTAGGCTGCCTCGACTTTGGAGTTAGGAGAGAAGAGGACGTGGGATACTCACGGGAATCGCTGTGCTTCACCATTAACACAATGATGAGAGGTAACAGGAACGCCATCAGTTCCCCCATAGTCCTTCTCTTTCCGGGTTCTTTTAACCAAAAACTGACAGGTCCCTTCTGAGAACCTCTTGGTGACACACAAGGCCTTCTCCCAATAAGAACAGGGGAAGATATGCAGTGTCATCAGTTGCTAGGTTAAAAAAAAAAGATAAAATGAAAGCATGAACACCTTCTTCGGTAACTTTTAAGTCTTTGCTGGTTTCAGACACTGCTTGCTCCTTTTGGTGTATCTATCTTCACCCTATTCCCAATTTTTAAATATTTATGGAGCATAGTCATGTTCAAAGCACAGAGAAACAAAGATTAATCATATCTGGTCAATCAGGGAGCTCAAGCTGCTGCCTCTGCTTCCCTGGAGCTTAGAATTTTGCTTAAGGGTCAGTAAGAAAGAGTCACAGTTCCCACGGCTTGGAACTCCCTGCTCTGGCTCCCTATGATGCTGAAGTCTCTGTCTGAGATAGCAGGTGTCACTTAGATTGTCCCGTAATCTTCAACTTAGGTCTGTCCTCCCTGCTACTCTAGCACCCAGCACAATAAGCTCAAAACACTTACTGAATAAAAGAAGGCAAGAGAAAGGCCTACAGAAGATTCTGAGGGGCAGCCACTCAGCTTGCTCAATCAGCAATCCCCAAGATCAAGCTGTGGCTACACTGTCATAAGGAGCACATGACAAGCTGGAAAACAGCAGCTTAAGCTTGTCCAGGGAGCTAGGGAACAGGCCCAGACAGGAAAGAGGAAGTAGACATGAAGGGGAGAGGTGAATGGAGGCATGGCCATGAGGCAGGCAGGCTTGAGCTGGGTTCAGGGACCTGGGTTTGCCTCCCCACTATTTGACCATGGGCAGAATCCCAAATTGCACCAAGGCCTGATTTCTTCAACTTTAAAAGCAAATCCTGTCATATATTTCACAGAGTTGTTGAAGGATCAGAAGTTCTGTTTATGATGCATTTAGTAGGTAGTAGAACCTTATGTACCGGTTGTATGGTAGGTTGAGAATTGTCGCCCCAAAGATGTCCACAACCTAATTGCCAGAACCTGTGGATATATTACCTTAAATGGCAAAAACAAAATAAAACAAAACAAAACCCTTGGCAGATATGATTAAATTAAGGATCTTGAGACAGAGAGCTATCCTGGATTATCTGGTGGACCCAGTGTAATCAGAGGGGCCTTATTAGAGGGAGGCAAAAGGGTCAGAGTCAAGGAGATGTGACAATGGAAGCAAAGGTCAGAGTGATGATGCCATTGCTGAAAGAAGGACATGAGCCAAGGAACGCAGATGGCCTCTAGAACTAGAAAAGAGAAGGAACAGATTCTCCTTAGAGCCTCCAGAAGGAACACAACACTTTGATTTCAGCTGATAGGACACATTTTTGGACTTCTGTCCTCCAGAACTTTGAAAGAATAAATTTGCATTGTTCGAGGCCACTAAGTTGGTGGTAATTTGTTATAGCAGCAACAGGAAACTAATAGGTCTACCTTTACCCAGAATAAAATAAGAAGCCAAATAATGAAATTAACATTTGGCAATCTCTCAGCGGCCCCTGGCACCTTCTCTTCTCAGATCTTTGTATTTCTCTCTTCCTTTCCTTTCTGTTTCTTTACATTGTTTTTCCTTTTGTTACTCATTTAACAAATACAGTCACCTGGATTTCTCTTTTGGAAAACTCCCCCAATATTCCCAAATGTCTCTCAGCACTGGAATTCCATGGCCATGTATTTTTTCCTTTGAATTTTTGTTAATATCTTGTTCCAAAATGCATTCCATACCATAACCTGCTGTACTGACATTAAAAAGTAGGTATGAGGCCGGGCGCGGTGGCTCACGCCTGTAATCCCAGCACTTTGGGAGGCCGAGGCGGGCAGATCACGAGGTCAGGAGATCGAGACCATCCTGGAACATGGTGAAACCCTGTCTCTACTAAAAATACAAAAAATTAGCCAGGCGTGGTGGTGAGTGCCTGTAGTCCCAGCTACTCGGGAGGCTGAGGCAGGAGAATGGTGTGAACCCAGGAGGTAGAGGTTGCAGTGAGCTGAGATTGTGCCACTGCACTCCAGCCTGGGTGACAGAGCAAGGCTCCATCTCAAAAAAAAAAAAAAATGTAGGTATGTCAACGATGTCTTTCTTTTTTTTGAGACAGAGTCTCACTCTGTCGCCTAGGCTGAAGTGCAGTGGTGCCATCTCGGCTCACTGCAACCTCCGCCTCCCAGGTTCAAGCAATTCTCCTGACTCAGCCTCCTGAGTAGCTGGGATTACACACCCAGCTAATTTTTGTCTTTTTAGTAGAGATGGGGTTTTCCCATGTTGGCCAGGCTGGTCTTGAACTCCTGACCTCAGGATCCACCCACCTTGGCCTCCCAAAGTGCTGGGATTACAGGCGTGAGCCACCACACCTGACCGATGTCTTTCATTTTTTAAGTCATTGTATTCTAATTGCAAATTAGTAAATTTAATCCAGAGTACAGGGCAAATACATATAAAAAACCCAGAGAGTGATAAGATAAAAATCACCCATCAGAAAAAATTGCTGTTGGCCGGGCATGGTGGCTCACACCTGTAATCCCAACTTTGGGAGGCTGACGTGGGCAAATTGCTTGAGCCCAGGAGTTCAAGACCAGCCTGGGCAACATGGTGAAACCCCTATCTGTACTAAAAATACAAAAAATTAGCCAGGTGTGGTGCATGCGCCTGTAGTCTCAGCTACTTAGGTGGCTGAGGTGGGAGGATTGCTTGAGCCAGGGAGGTCAAGGCTGCAGTGAGCTGAGACGCCACTGTACTACAACCATGGCAACAGAAAGAAAGAAGGGAAGGAAGGAAGGAAGGAGAGAGAGAAGGAGGGAGGAAGAAAGGAAAAAATTTGCTGTTAACATATTTTAGTGTATTTCTTTTCAGTGGTTTTGCTGACTACATATGTCTGCATATAAGCATACCTTTATTTGTTCATTTTACCAAAAAAGGGTTTTACGTCCTAATAGTATTTTGTAAATTCTTTTCAAATTTATATTTTCCAATATTAATATGCAGTTTTTAATAGCATAGCTTTAATAGTCCTTAAAATTTTTAATAGATTCAATTATGCCAAGATCTTCAAGGACAGGTAAGACTGCCCCACTAAGCTGGGAGGCACTGAGGTAGGGAGAATCCCTCGCATTCTCTTTGTGGAAAAACAAGCCTCACCTCTGAGCAATAGTCTAAACTTAAATCTCAGGCCGCACTTTTCAGAGTGGGTTGTGCTTATCCTGTTCATTATAAATCCCTTTATGTGTTTGGCTTTTTAATACCTGATTTATTATATGTATTTTAAGGCCCCTCTGAGGAATCTGACTCATTTGCAGTTAGTGCAATTCATCCTTAAAAACCAAATGATGAATTATCAAGTTAGCAAAAGGGTCTTGTTTGTTAAATAATGTTGTTTTCAACATAATATATTTTATTATATTTAATCAGTAGTTTCCCCTTGGCTATTTCTTTTTTAATTCAGTAGAAGTGTGTGTGTGTGTGTGTGTGTGTGTGTGTGTGTCTGTGTCTGTGTCTGTGTCGAGTTTGATTTGAGCCCTTTTCTGTGGGTAGGTAAAATCCATTTGCCAATTTTTGGCCAAGGCTAGTCCTTGTACAAATGGGAGTAGAATACTGTAGCAAAGAACATGGGTTCAGGAGTCAAACTTATTTTCAAATGAGGCTCTGACATTTCCTACCTATGTGACCTTTGACCAAATTATTAACTTCTCTAAGTCTGGGATTTCTCATAGAAAATGGAGGTAATAACCAATTCTGCCTTACAGGATTATTGTGAGGATTCAATGAAATCAGCAGTGGTGGAACCAAGAAGTGACTTGTCACTTGTTGGGGCATTAGAGTACTTTTACTACACACGCATAATGGCCATCAGCTGTCTTAAGTAATCCCAAATAAACCTATAATTTAAGAAAAGAGGCCAGGCGCAGTGGCTCACGCCTGTAATCCCAGCACTTTGGGAGGCCAAGGTGGGCAGATCATGAGGTCAGGAGATCGAGACCAGCCTGGATAACATGGTGAAACCCCGTCTCTACTAAAAATACAAAAAATTAGCCGGGCGTGGTGGTGGTCGCCTGTAGTCCCAGCTACTCGGGAGGCTGAGGCAGGAGAATGGTGTGAACCTGGGAGGCAGAGCTTGCAGTGAGCAGAGATCGCACCACTGCACTCTAGCATGGGCGACAGAGTGAGACTCCATCTCAAAAAAAAAAAAAGAAAAGACAGGGGTCTCCCATGCCACATCAAGTCCCCTAGCCCTGCTGTCCAACCAAATTACATTCTAAAACCTGCCCCATATGGGGATTCTGGAGCTTCTGAAGATAATGCATGTGTGTCACTGTATTTGTTTTCACACTGCTGACAAATACATACCCAAGACTGGGCAATTTACAAAAGAAAGAGGTTTATTGGACTTACAGTTCCACATAGCTGGGGAGGCCTCACAATCATGGCTGAAGGCAAGGAAGAGTAAGCCACATCTTATGTGGATGGCAGCAGGCAGACAGGAGCTTGTGTAGGGAAACTCCACCTTATAATACTGCCAGATTTCATGAGACTTATTCGCTATCATGAGAACAGCACGGGAAAGACCTACCTCCATTATTCAATTACCTCCCACCAGGTCCCTCCCACCACAACACATGAGAATTCAAGATGAGATTTGGTTGGGTACACAGCCCAACCACATCGGTCACTTAGCACAATGCCTGGTACATAGTATGTAAATATTAGCAATCACTAGTACTATTATTGCAATGAGCCAGTTTACCAACACAGATTGATTTTTCTTTCCTTATACACAGTCACATTCATAAAGGATGGTAAAGAACATACCTCCCCTTCCTATAGTGGTTCAAATCCACCGTCTTGTCAAGAAATTCACTGAATTCCAATAACGTATTTCAGCTTTTTAGTACTCACCAATTTCCATTCATTCAGACCCTCCTAACTTGCCTTATTCTAAACAGGATTTAAAACTGTTATTTATTTATTTATTTATTTATTTTTTTGAGACAGGGTCTCACTGTCGCCTAGGCTGGAGTGCAGTGGCGTGAATATGGCTCACTACAACTTCTGCCTCCTGGCTCAAGTGATCCTCCCACCTCACCCTCACGAGTAGCTGGGACCATAGGCATAAGCCACTACACTTGGCTAATTTTTGTATTTTTTTTTTGTAGAGATGGGGTTTTGCCATGTTGCTCAGGCTGAAAACTGCTAACTTTTGATGTACTTTTTCGTATGTGGTCACTTGGCTTTTCACTTCTCTTTTATTACTTTTTCTCTTCTTTTTAAAAAACTTTTTGGATTTCTGACTATCCAAGTAAATATTTCACTGTAGTAGTTGACAAACTTTAAATAGATTTCTTTTTTCCTACGTGTAAAAATTTTCTATGTACCAAAACATTTTAATGTATAAGAAAGAACAGAGCTGAAATTGTATCATATGTATAATTTTGTGTCTTGCTGTTTTTACTCAAGCCATTCCTATGTCATTACATACTTTTAAACAACATTTCTAATGACCACCAAATGGATGTTCCACAAATTCTCCATCATTCCTTAGTGCTGAATATGTAAATTGACTGGAATTCCTCCTTGTTTATTTTAAATCAGTGTGTAGAGGGTGACAGTGGTGGAGGTGTTGGTAACAAACAGGAAGAGGAAATAAATCATGGCCAGTGTGTTTTGGATATGTGTATGGATATTTTCTGTGGTTGGAGGTAGGAAACATAGACAGTCATAGCCAGATCAATGGAACTTAACATAAGTGGAATGTTCTGGAATATGTACATGTATATCAGGGTTTCTAAAAGGTTGGATAATGATGAAGAGTATGATATCCTATATCTATGTTAACACTTTTCTCCCTTTCTTTACCTTGTTTCAAGAAGGATTTAGGGTGAACTCAACAAAAACAAAACAACTCAATCAAAAATGGGCAAAGGACTTGAATAGACATTTCTCCCCACCCCCCAAAAAAGATATACAAATGGCCAATAAGCACACGAATAGGTGCTTAACATCACTAATTATTAAAGAAATGTGAATCAAAACCATAATGAGATACCACCTCACACCTATTAGTACAACTGCTATAAGGGAAAAGAAAACCCAGAAAATAACAAGTGTTGATGAAGATATGAAGAAATTGGAATGCGTGTGTCTTTTAGCAGGAATGTAAAATGGAAAACAATATGACTGTTCTTCAAAAAAATTTAAAATAGAATTACCATATCCAGCAGTTCCACTTCTGGGTATATATCCAAAATAATGGAAAGCAGGGTCTCAAAGAGATATTTGTACACCAGCGTTCATAGCAGCATTATTCATTATAGCCAAAAGATGAAAGAAAGCCAAGTGTCGTCCACTGATGGATGAATGGACAAGCACAATGTGGTATATATACAATGGAATATTAGGCTTACAAAGGAAGGAAATTCTGCAATATGTAGAATGAATGAATGAACCTTGAAGATATCATGCTAACTGAAAGAAGCAAATCATAAAAAGACAGATCCTGTATGATTCCACTTATGTGAGGTACCCAGAGTAGTAAAATTCATAGAGACACACAGTAGAATGGTGGTTGCCAGAGATTGTTGGGGGAGAATGGGGAGTTGTTTAATGGGTATAGAGTTTCAGTTCTGCAAGATGAAAAGAGTTCTGGACATTGGTTGCACAACAAGGCAAATATATTTAACACTACTGAATTGTACACTTAAATATGGTTAAGATGGTAAATTTTATGTTATGTGTATTTTACCACAATTAAATTTTTTTTTTTTTTTGAGATGGAGTCTCGCTCTGTCGCCAGGCTGGAGGGCAGTGGCGTGATCTTGGCTCACTGCAACCCCTGCCTCCTGGGTTCAAGTGATTCTCCTGCCTCGGCCTCCCAAGTAGCTGGGACTACAGGCACGCACCACCAAGCCCAGCTAATTTTTGTATTTTTAGTAGAGATGGGGTTTCACCATGTTGGCCAGGATGGTCTCGATCTCTTGACCTTGTGATCTGCCCGCCTTGGCCTCCCAAAGTGCTGGGATTACAGGTGTGAGCCACCATGTCCGGCCTCATAAATTTAAAAAATAAAAAATTTAAAAAATAAAAAATTATTCCCATATATGATCCAGTTGTTCCTTATAACAGGCTAGTGAAGGAGCAGGCTGAATGTCATTATTTCAGAGTAGGGGAGATCCCCTTGTAGGGGTGTCATGGCATTCCCGCAGCTTCCAGGGGCAGGGGGTGGCTACCCACTGCAATCCCTCTCAGGTCTATCCTGGCATCCCCAGTGATATGGTTGGCTCCTTTCTGATCCTCAGCTCATTTGGCTGCCTGTGCCTTATTCTCTGTGTTGCCATCTCCTTATTTCTGCAGAAGATGCATTGCAGGACCCAGTGTGCTCCCTTCCTCATTCACTCTCCTAACTTTGGAGACTCACTCAGGAACCAGAGGTTCTCCTGGCTGCCCACTCAGAACTCTACAGAAAGCTCAGAGTTGGCATGTCAACCTCCCCCAGAAAAATGAACAGAAGTTAAGTCCAATTAAGAGTTTCGGTTTGAGGAATTCTGACAAATGATACTCTCATGTAACACACACTCCGTCAAGATACAGAGCATTTCTAGTACCCAAGAAAGTTTCCCTTCCCAGTCAAACTCTGTCCCCCAAGACAACCACTGTTTTGATTTTTTATTCCCTGAGAAATTTAAATTATTCTTTTGGGTTGGGGGTGGGGTAGGGGTGGGGGTGTGGGAAGAGATGGGTTTTTGCTGAGTATTCTTCCCAACCTATTGTTTATGCCAGGACGTGGGTCCTATTAAATGAAAAAAAAAAAAAAGAAAGAAAGAAAGAACCTCCTTTGTTTCTCCTTGCATTTTAGCCATAGCTTCCCTTTCCTTGTGGGCAGTGGAGGCCAAGGTCTAGTTTGAGAGAGGGTAAAGGAGGGTGACACATTAAAGAAAGGAACACCTACACACACACACACACATACACACATTTTATATCTTGACACTCCACTATCTCCATTGTTGGTGCTTTTTCTAATCCCCTAATTATGGGAACCCAAGCCTCTGTCCTCTATCTTCTATTACTACTTATAAAACTCTGGCCTGTCATATGTGGTCCAATTAAGAAATTCATGGAACAGATAATAAGAGGCCGTGTCAGGCACTTAGGTGATAATAACATTAACATAGTATCCTGTCCCTCCAGGAGTTTACTGTTTGGTGGGGATAAATGACATGCTAACAGCTAATTTACATTCACCCTAAATCAAATCCTCCTCTTGTGTTCTCTTTCTTGATGGTTGGAACCAACACTACCCATTTACAACCCCAGAAGCCTTCCTCCCTCTTCTTTCATCAATTCCCCCATACCCTGAACCAATCAGTCACCAAGTATACTAACTTTGCCTCTAAAGTATGTCTCAAATGCATCACTCTTCTCCACCTTAGTTGTCACAAGCCCAGCTCAGGATACCCTCATCCCTCCTCTGGACCATAACCTCCTAGCCACTGAAGCATCTGTCTCAAATGCCAATCTGACCCTGTCAATTCCCTCAGTCCCCATGGGGAACTGTCCATAGGAAGCGTCCACTATTCTGAACATTACAAACAAGGGCCCTGATAATCTGACCCTGTCCACCTCCAGGCTTAGCTCCTGCTGCCCCCATCCTTTTCCTTCTACTCCAGCAACATGGCCCCCTTCTCCTGGCTGCTTCTAGTCACTGCTTAGGAACCCCCTGCCCCAGCCCCGAAAACACACAAATATACTGGTATCTTGTCGCTGTGTTTCTATGGCAACCTGTGCCCTTCTCTCACTGTGTGTCTCTCCCACCAGTCTGTCTCTCCCACCAGTCTGACAGTTCCTTGAAGGCAAGAACCAAGCCTTGTTCATGCCTGTGTCTCAGTGCTTAGCACACAGTAGGAGCACAACATGTGTCAGGCACTGTTTTAAGCACTTTTCACACATCACCTCATGACACTCTATAAGGAAGCTGTTATTACGGTGTCTATTTCACAGTTGAGGATAGTGAGAGATGAAGCGGCTTGCCTGAGATGCAACAGTCAGGAAGCAGCAGAACTCAAGCAATCAGACTCCAAGGATGGTCTTCAACACCATGCTCACCTACCCCTCAATTTACATGTGCTTGTTGAATGAATGAACGATGACACGTTTTCACCTCCCCAGCTAAGTAAATTAAACAGTTCTCTCCCAATAAACATTAGCAATCACTAGTATTGGACACTGCTTCCTTTCCCCACATCTGCCTTCCATCATTCGCTCCTCCAGGGATTTTGGCTTTCACCCCTCTCTTCTCTCCCCTCCTGAAACCCATTCAGCCCCTCATCATGTCTAGGTGTTTAGTCTTGTTTTCCTTTTGAAACATCTGTCAGATTCACTCCTTCTCTGTTCTCAATCGCTGTCATCCTGGTCTGGACCTCATCCCTTCAGGCCACATGACTTTAGCAGCGTCCTTACTGGTTTTCCTGACTTCAGTAACTTAGTCCTTTGGGATCTTGAGGTTTACACACATTTTTATTTAACCATCACAACAACCCATGAACTAGCTATTATTATTTATGTTTTATAGATGAGGAACTGAATGATAGAGCCAAGGTTTAAACGGGGTTTGTGTTGCTCCAAGGACTGTGCCAGCTCCAGACTGGTGACCTTGGGCAAGTCACTTAACCTCCGAGTCTCAGATTTCTCATTTATAAAATGGGCATGATAGCAGTAATTATCACATTGTAAGAGCAACTGAGATAACACTTAACATCCTGCCTGACACACACACACAGTAAGTGCTCAATGATTTTCAGCAATCAAAGTCCACAATCCCCATCCACAAATTTCATAGCATATCTAGCATATGAGTTGGTTAATGGTTCTGGGCAAAATGTTTTCTCGAATAGCTCTTGAACCACAGTGAGAGGAAGTTGTCATACCTGGCCCCTTCTTTATTCCTCGAAGGTGTGCTCTCCTGGGAAGCACCATATGCTGTATGAAAAATTACTTTACATGGTTATTTGCAGAATGTACAGCAACAGAAAGTACACCCCATCTGGTGGAAAGTGCACAGAATCTGCAGTTCTGCCCTGTCCAGGCTGTGTGACTACAGGAAGTCTTCAAGCCTCTCTGAACTTATTTTCTTATCTACAAAATGAGAAAAATGGATGGTGTGGTGGCTCACGCCCATAATCCCACCACTTTGGGAGGCAGAGGCAGGAGGATCATGTGAGCTCAGGTGTTCAAGGCCAGCCTAGGAAATATACTGAGAGCCCCATCTCTATAAAAAATTTAAAAATTAGCCGGGCGTGGTGGCGCTCACCTGTAGTCCCAGCTACTCGGGAGGCTGAGGCCGGAGGATCGCTTGAGCCCAGGAGGTCAAGGGTGCAGTGAGCTGTGATTGTGCCACTACACTCCAGCCAGGGTGACAGAGAGAGACCCTGCCCCCCAAAAAGGGGGAGGGGGGAATAATACTTTCCCCCAAAGGATACTGAGATGATGCATACACAACCTTTAGCACACTGTCCAACACAAAGCAAGACCTACTTAAAGGATCTGTGTAACATTATAATCAGATACTATGCTTCATTTTAAGTCGAGGACCAGATAGATTTATAAATTACATACTGTCAAAATTAAGTATTAAAAGTAGAGGAAAGGTAAGAGGATTTTGCAAATCAGGTACAACTACAGCTTATCCTGAAAAGCCGACTGCCTAGTTCTGAGGGAACAAGCCACTCCTCACCCTCAAGCTTGAGGAGAGGGCTGTAGAAGCCCGCCCACCTCCACCGCCCCGAGGGCTCCGCCTCCAGGGCCGAGGGACGCAGGCGTAAGCCCCGCCCACTGGGGGGGGGGGGAGAGAGAGAGAGAGAGAGAGAGAGAGAGAGAGAGAGAGAGGAGAGAGAGGAGAGAGAGGAGAGAGAGGAGAGAGAGGAGAGAGAGGAGAGAGAGGAGAGAGAGAGAGAGAGAGAGATATATGCCCTGGTCACGTGAGCGGGGTGCGGAAGTCGTGTTTCAGGCGGCGTTCGTGATTGGCCGCGGCCGAGGGTCCCGGGGGTGGGGTCAGGCCCTCCGACGCTTCGGGAGGAGCCGGGACTGGAGGCTGCCGAGGGGGCCGGCGCCCGAGTCCGGGATTCGGCCAGTGGTGCTGAGCGAGTGCTGGACCAGCGGCCGTCCTGTGCACCTGGCCTGTGCGCGTGCCCGCTGCTCGGCTTCACCCAGACTAAGGCGCGGGCAGCTGCGGGAACAGGCGGGGTGGGCGGAGGGAGACCGGGAGGCACGGGCGCCCTGTGCGCGGAGGAGGTGAAGGCGGCCGGGGCCGGGACGCCATGTCCATGGAGGACCCCTTCTTTGTGGTGAAAGGGTGAGTGTCGGCCGAGCGCTCCACCGGAGGAAGAGGTGGCGGTGCTGCCTGCCCGCACCTCCTAGGTCTTCTCGCAGTGGGGGGAGGGGAGGCAAGTTGGAGCTGGGGAGGGGGAACAGTGGAGACGGCTTAGTCTTGAGGGCCATGACCAAGCGTCAAGAGACGTTCCCTCCATCCCTACCTGGACCGTGAAGCCACTGTCCCCAGCCAAGCCCCTGGTGGTGGGGGGCCCTTTTTGGCCTGTGTGCTGCGGTACAATTTATTTGGGGGCCGAGGGGCTCAGCAGCTCTGCAGGTGGGGAAGGAGACACGCGGGTCCTGGCGCACACTGGCCGTCTAGTCGAGCATGGGATCTTGCTTCGAAGGAGCGAAAACAGCATCTGGGCAGGAAAAGGGAAATGGCCCTCCTGAGCTTTGTAGTTCGCGTTGACGGGGGTGAGCTCCATTGTCCATTGAGTTTGGAGCGCTTGTCCGCAGACTGGCGAGACCACAACAAGCCCAGAGGCGTCTGAGCACGTTTGCTGGGAGGGAGGCGGGGGCGGGGGCCGTTCTGGGAGGCTGGGGAGCAGGGCACCGGAAGACAATTCAATGGGGGAGTTTTTACTGAGTAATGTGAGGAGAGGAAAGCAGTCGTTCATACTCAGTGATGATTTGGAAGGAAAACAAAATGAAACAAGCCAAACCAAACTTTCCTCAGCTTTCTATTAGCAACCGGAATTTTCTCACAGTGCTAAAGGAAATGAGTGTTGCTTGTTAACTCCTTGATTTCATCCAGGTTGTTTGACAGGTTTCTCCTATTTCTTCTGCCTTTCAGAATAGAAAGGACTGCCTTCTGTTCCCTTACAAGCTATCCTAGCTCATCTTTGATTGCTCGATTGTTTCTTTGGAGATAGAGTCTTCAACTGCACTTTGTAATATCCACTTCGTAGCCATTAAACACATGCAAGAAGATCAATTCTGATGTAACTTTTAGTTTCTTATTAGAAACTTGTCAGTTTTCTGTTTTAAATGTCAAACATGAAAAATCTGAAAACTGCAAAGTTCCCAGGTCAGTACTGATCACCACAGAATGTCCCTTGCTTTTTACTAGTTGCTGCTAGCTTCCTATTTCTGTAGTGGTGCAAGCTGGCCGTTGTATAGTCAAGTGTTGTAGAAAATTTAAATGGTATTTTAGGTGAAATACTTTATCGATTATGCAGTAAAATACATTTATACTACTTCTTAATATTTCCCTGGAAAGTTTTTTTTCTTCACCTTACTCTAATTTAGATGGGAAAATGCTGAGTTGTAAATTTACTGGTAATATGTGTATCCCTACCTAGAAAATGTGATATTTATTAGAAGGATTGATTTAGGGGTTAATTTTTAAAATAGATGTTTTTTCCTTGATTGAAAGTTCTTAATGCTTAGGTTGGCAAAGGTTATCTCTGGCGGTAGAGATCAGAGATGATCAGAAATTTTTTGTTTGACTTTTTATGGAATTTGTCAAAAGCCTAAATTCTTCTGTCTTGGCATTTTTTTTTCTTGATGGTATCCTATACAGTCTACTAATGCTTGCTCACTGATTAAATATCACTACTTTATCGGAACATTGGCTTGGAGGGAGTTTTGATTGATTTTTACATCATTTTAGCTCCTATCTTTAAGGTTCTTGAAGGAAAAGAGATTCTCAGTTCCTTCTGCTGTGGAAAGGTAAAGTCACCCATGAAGGTGTATCCAGATTTTTGGGGAGTCATGTACCTGTGTTTATTAAAAGTATCAAAAATGCATTACACAGCATGCAAAAATTAAAGGTGCCTAAATTATGGCCCTTAGCCTAGGAGCTTCTGGTCTAATCTGAGAAACAAATTACCCCAAAATTAAATAGAAATGACAGGTGGCAAATGAATGAGTGTTGAAGTGAATGCTACAGATAAGTGCCTCAGGAGTTCAGAGAAAGGTAACTCCTTGGGAATTGTTAGGATTAGGAGAGCTTTTGGAGGCAGTAGTGTATCTTGAATTAGGTTTTGAAGATGGGCAGAATTTAGATAATCAGGCCTGTCTCTCTTACCTGGATGCTTATCAGAGTCTTTTTAATTGTTCTTCCTGCTTCTGGTCTCATTTCCTCTTTCAGCTGTCCTGGGATCTATTGGATCATTGCTGTCCAATAGAAGTATAATGCCAGCCATGTATGTCATTTTACATTTTCTAGTAGCCGCAGTAAAATATAAAGGAACAGGTGAAATTAATTCTAATGTAATCTCTAATACATTCAAAATATTCAACATGTGATTAAAGATTATTGATGAGATATTTTACTTTTGTACTAAGTCTTCTAAATCTGATACATATTTTACACTTACTGCACATTTAAATTTGGACATTAAATTTTCATCAGAAATAATTGATCTGTATTTAAAGTTCATTAAATACATTTTTTTTTTTTGAGACAGAGTCTTGTTCTGTTGCCCAGACTGGAGTGCAGTGGTGCAATCACGGCTCACTGCAACCTCTGCCTCCCAGGTTCAAGCGATTCTTGCACCTCAGCCTCCTGAGTAGCTGGGACTATAGGTGTGTACCACCTCACCTGGCTAATTTTTGTATTTTTAGGACTATGGGCAGGGCACCCGCCACCACGCCCGGCTAATTTTTTGTATTTTTTAGTAGAGACGGGGTTTCACCATGTTAGCCAGGATGGTCTCGATCTCCTGACCTTGTGATCCACCTGTCTCGGCCTCCCAAAGTGCTGTGATTACAGGCGTGAGCCACCGCGCCCGGCCTACATACTCTTTAATTGTTCCAAACATACATAAAAGGTTTTTGATAACTGAATTGCTATCAGTTACCAAGTTTACATTAATTAAAATTTAATTTCTGTCACACTAGCCACATTTCCAGTCAGTAGTTGTATGTGGCTTCCGTGTTGGACAGCACAGTGTAAGCTTTTCTAGAGTCCTAGACAGGTGTACCCTACTTAATATTATTCAGTGGCTGCTGCTGGCCTGCAGAATAAAGTGCCAACACTTCCTGACCTCACTGATCTAGCCTCTGCTCTCCCTTAGCCTTAGTACTCCAGCAGTGCCAGACTCAATACAGTGACTGTGATTGCTGTACTGGATGCTCTTACTCTACATGCACCCACACTGCCTGATTCACCCACGCAGCTTTCTGGAGTCAGTGTAAGCATCTCCCTTGCCTCCAGGAAGTGCTTCCTTTGTCACCCCTAATTATTGGACCTCTTCCTCTGTCTCTCTTTCATTATTAGACTATGAGCTCTGAGGTTTGGGACTGTTTTTTTTTTTTTTTTCCTCTGTATTTCCAGCCTACACCTTGAATATATAGTGTAAATGTTGAACACATACTCTTTGTTGATGGTGGTGATTGTGATGGAATGGTGCCTCATGGGTGAGAACACCACCAGCCAAAGGCCTAAGTTGGGCAATGTGTGTTAGAAATGATCTGGAAGAGCAGCCCAGGTGGAGTAGACAGTTTAGGGAAGTAGTAACAGCTCACATTTAAAGGATGCATCTCCAGTGCCAGGCATACATGTAAAGTGCTAAGTAAGCACTTTATATGAATTTTCACTCTGTAAAAACACCCATATGATGAATACTAGCCACATTTTAGAGATGAGAAGCTGAGGAAGTGTTAGAGGGGTTAACTTACTTGCCTAGGGTCACACAGCTAATAAGTGGTGTACTCAGGCTTCAAATTAGAACAACCTGATTTCACACTACTGTCAATACTTCCCAGTGCAGGTAAAATAGGGTCAAGTTATGTTGGCCTAAGGAGAATCTCATCTTGAGGCCATTACAGATTTTTAAAGCAAGGAAATGACATGAAATTAGGATTTTAGGAATATTGATTTGGTGGTAGTGTTGGATGCATCAGTGTGAGGAAAGATGAAAAAGGAGACCAGTTAGAAAGCTGTTGTAACTTATACATGCAGTGGTTAGTGCTTGGAAGTTTGAAGCTCCTTTTGGGAGGTTTTGACATTGTCAATGTCCTGTTCGGAACAGAATCCCACAACAGGGATTGCTCTTTTATCCTTATGAAGTAGGTATTATTATTGTCATCATTTCACAAAAAGGAAAATGAAACTTAGTAAAAAACTTCAACTTTATAAGCTTGTACGTAGAAGGGCCAGGATTTATATATTTATTACAAATATATATTATATATATAATATGGTCATTTTAAAAATTGGGATTATACGTTATATATGGTTTTATCACTTTTTCTTTTCTTTTTTTTTTTTTTTTTTTTTTTTTTGGGACAGAGTCTTACTCTGTCGCCCAGGCTGGAGTGCAATGGCGATGGCGTGATCTCAGCTCACTGCAACCTCTACCTCTTGGGTTCAAGCGATTCTCCTGCCACACCCTCCCAAGTAGCTGGGACTACCAATGTGCGCCACTATGCCTGGCTAATTTTGTATTTTTAGTAGAGATGGCATTTCACCCTGTTAGCCAGGCTGGTCTTGAACTTTGACCTCAGGTGATCCACACACCTTGGCTTCCCAAAGTGTTGGGATTATAGGCATGAGCCACCGCGCCTGGCCTGTTTTATGACGTTTTCATCTGTATTTCTTTATATCCTTCAGACTTCTGGGTGGCAGCTTTTAATGACTGCATTGTATTTTGTCATATAAATGTTCATCCTGGAAGATACATTATATTTATGATCACACTACAATTAATGTGGTGATAAGCCTACTTGTCATAGGTCTGTATTGCTGCTTCTGATTTTCATAGCCTGTATTCCTGGAGCATAATTGCTAATTCAGAGGGCAGGCACAGCAAAGCGTTTGATGCATACTACCACGTTGTCCTCCAGAATATTCCCCCTTGCCCCTCAAAGTGTTTGAGGGACCCAATTCCCTTGATTCCAGTACTGGGATTTTCATTAAAAAAATCTTTACTAATCTCCGGGTGAAAATATCATATTTAAATCTTGTAGTCTTCATCTTTGTATTCAGTAAGGATGTACTCAGTGTTTGTTGAGTGAACCCATTTTGATTGTTTAGTTCTGTAGTTTTTTTCCTCCCTTGTTGGCAAGTTTTTAGAATTAGCCTCCTTTTAGAATTTGCACCTTCTAATCAGACAAACCCTGAAGAAAACCATGTAACTGAGCATGTGGAGACAGAGTATAAGTGAGCCACTCCTGTGGATAAAAGGTACAAATACCATGGCTCTTTGCTATTTTATTGCTGTGGAGGTTTTGTGTGTCTGATGAGGATAGTTTTTTGTTTGTTTGTTTGTTTGTTTTTTTGAGACGGAGTCTCACTCTGTTGCCCAGGCTGGAGTGCAGTGGCGCGATCTCGGCTCACTGCAAGCTCCGCCTCCCGGGTTCACGCCATTCTCCTGCCTCAGCCTCCTGAGTAGCTGGGACTACAGGTGCCCGCCACCACGCCCAGCTAATTTTTTTTTTTTTGTATTTTCAGTAGATACGGGGTTTCACTGTGTTAGCCAGGATGGTCTCGATCTCCTGACCTCGTGATCCTCCCACCTCGGCCTCCCAAAGTGCTGGGATTACAGGCATGAGCCACTGCGCCCAGCCGAGGATGGTTTTTTTGTTTGTTTGTTTGTTTTTGAGACAGAGTCTCATTCTGTCACCCAGGCTGGAGTGCAGTGGCGCGTCTTGGCTCACTGCAACCTCCGCCTCCCGGGTTCAAGCACTTCTCCCTGCCTCTGCCTCCCGAGTAGCCCGCCATCACGCCCGGATAGTTTTTGTATTTTTAGTAGAGACAGGGTTTCACTGTGTTTACCAGGCTGGTCTTGAACTCCTGACCTCAGGTGATCTGCCCGCCTCGGCCTCCCAAAGTGCTTGGATTACAGGCATGAGCCACCGCACCCAGCATGATAACAGTTTTATTTCCAGGTTTTTGGCTGTGGATTGATGTTGAAATAATGACATAAGTAAGCTGATGAGTAAGATGGTATATGTTATGTTGTGTTCTTTAACCTTCTCTGTCTGCATATCTAGCTTTATTAACACTAGATTATGAGCTCCTCGAGGGCATCACGCATTCTATTCACTGTTGAAAAACTGTATTGGTATAGTCACTGTGAAAAAAATAACCCTTGTTTGTTAATTTTGGCCTAGTAAAATTGAATGTAAATCAAATTTAATACTTTCTAAAAAGCAGAATCCAGTGTTTCGTTGTAAGAACAAATTTGCAAGCCTTTATTATAAATTTGAGTGTTTAATATTATTTAGCTCCTTAGTTTGGAGAACACTATGCAGATAAGTGAAAGATATATTGTGTAAGATTTTGCAGTAGAGTTGAGATGCTGTGGAGATTGAAAAAAAAAGAAAGACCCATGCTGGGAATGCTGGTCAATCTGGGCCTTAAAGGAAGTGTCTGCTGAGGTGTAAGGCTCTTCTAGGCTGGGGAAACAACTGAGTGGAAGTCAAGAACCAGGAATGAGAAAGATAAAGATGGGAAGAAGACCTGCCAACTGAAACAGAATTTGTTCAGTGAGAAACCATGCTTGATACTAAAGTCAGCCAGTTTGGGTTAGGAGGAGGAGTGGGAGAGGGTTTGAATACCTGCCTGAGGAGTTTAAATTTAATCTGATTTCTATCATAAATTCTAAATCAGGAGGCAGTTTTTAAACTAGCAGTTACTATTCACTTGCTTATAGTCAGCTTTTAAGGGTTCAAACCCAGATCTTCTGATTCTACAAAGAAAACAGATTTGTGGGCCAGGTGCGATGGCTCATGCCTGTAATCCCAGCACTTTGGGAGGCCAAGGCAGGCGAATCATGAGGTCAGGAATTCGAGACCAGCCTGGCCAACATGGTGAAACCCCATCTCTACCAAAGATACAAAAAATTAGCTGGGTGTGGTGGTGGGCACCTGTAGTCCCAGCTACTTGGGAGGCTGAGGCAGGAGAATTGCTTGAACCCTCTTTTGCAGTGAGCTGAGATCACGCCACTGCACTCCAGCCCTGGTGACAGTGCAAAACTCCCTCTCAAAAAAAAAAAAAAAGATTTGTGTGGAAGTTTTGGAAAAATGCAATTAAATAAGTCTTGGTAATAGAAAGTGTCTTATAATCAGGGTTGGAAGAACTTGAGGCAAGCAGCCAATATGTCTGAGCCCCAAGGTCTCTTATTTATGTTTAAGGAGCACAAACTAGATTATCTTGAAAGTTCTTTCCAGATCTGAAAATTCAGTGATTGGATTTAAGTAGAGGTTGTGCAAGGTAAGGAGGAGGAGGAGTCAAAAATGACTCTTGTCTAGACAAGTGTTGAAACTTGGAAAATGGTGGCACTATTGGCTAAAATGAGGAAGCTAGAAAGGGAAGCAGATTTTTCTATTTTGTTTGTTTTGAATACATTATGTTTTGTAGGGAGGATATGATTAATTTGGTTTTAGGCAAATGGAATGATCCTATAGGCAGCTAAAAATATAGGAATTAAGCCTGGCTGAGTGGTTAGGGTTGGAAGTATAGTGGGGGAGTCATCAGCTTAAGAGGGGTGCTTTGAACTTGTGAATGCTGATGAGCACATAGAGGCCACAAAGAGTACTGAGAAACATTGGGATCCAGTGGAGGAAGAGGAAGGAGAAAACTGGTAGAAAACTAGAACAGCACAATGTCACAGAGACAGAGAAAGTGAGAGTTTCAAGCAAATAGATATAATGGGCCATAGTGTCAAGTGCACCAAAAATGAGGACAAGTTAAATTCACTCGTGACTTTGACCTGCAGTGTCATTGGTGGAGTTGTGGAAGCAGCAGTAAGTTAGGGTCAAAAATTGTATATAATTGTAGGTAACTGAGTAAAAATGATGTTTCATTTTCACAAGAGTAATTACAAAATATGTCACAGTGTGGTTGAATTTGGAAATGGCAATAAAGTCAAGTAAAGGGTGTGCATGTGTTTCCTTTCAAATACAAACGATGTGAATGTAGAAGTCAAGCAATAAAAAGAGTTCCTCTCTTTCTGGAGAGATGAGTGGTGAAACCAGGTTTGTGGGGTATGGGGCAGGAACCAGTTGGAGAAGAGTGAGGAGTGGGAGTCTGATGTGTTGCAGAGGCTCACTCAACCTGAATTTTTCATGTTTCATTACTAGAATGGAAACTTTCAGCCTTGACTAGCCTCTTTTACTGTATTGATGAAATGGGGATCCCTCTGTAAAGACTTGCAGAGTAGGTGCTGTCCCAGATAAAAGAGTTGTGGCAGATTGTATTTTTTCCATTGATGGCTGCACCAATAAATGTTCTGTCCTGTGTTGCTTTTCTTTCTTTTTTTTTCTTTTTTTTTTTTGAGATGGAGTCTTGCTCTGTCTCCCAAGCTGGAGTGCAGTGGTGCAATCTCGGCTTACTGCAACCTTCGCCTCCTGGGTTCAAGCGATTCTTCTGCCTCAGCCTTCTGAGTAGCTGGGTTTACAGGTGCATGCCACCACACCCGGCTAATTTTTGTATTTTTAGTAGAGACGGTTTGACTGTATTGGCCAGGCTGGTCTCGAACTCCTGACCTGGTGATCCACCCACCTCGGCTTCCCAAAGTGCTGGGATTACAGGCGTGAGCCACCACGCCCGGCTGTTTGTTTTTATTAAATTGTGAAGCTGGCATTCTTTTATCAAACTGGAGTTTGTATTCCCTTCCTTTGAACCTGGGCAGACCTTTATAAACTGCTTTGACTAGCAGATTGAAGCAGAAGTGACGCTGCTTGACTCCTGAAGCTTAAGTCATAAAAGACAACCACTATACCTTCCATCTGCATCTTTCATCTTGGAACACAAGTATAGGCTACCCTGAGCTAACATGTAACAAGTCCAGTTACATTGAAGCCACTCTGTTAGAGCATGTGTGCAGACTGTGGAGAGATAGAGAGATGTGATGCCTTTACAGCCCCAGCCTGTTTAATATTTTCAGCTGAGGTCCCAGACATTGTGGAACAGGGACAAGTCAGCTCTGCTGTGTCTGATTCCTGATCTACAGACTCCATGACATGATAAATGGTTGTTTTACACCACTAAATTTTGGGGTCATTGTTAAACAACCACGATAACTAGAACATGCCAATTCAGAGTCTGCCAGCATGGGCAAAGAAGAAAGGATAAATCAAAACGATGAAGGGGGAGGCCAAGGCAGGAGGATCACTTGAGGCCAGGAGTTTGAGATCAGCCTGGGCAACAGCGAGACCCTGTTTCTACAATAAATAAAAAAAATTAGCTTGGCGTGGTAGTGTGCACCTGTAGTCCTAGCAACTTGGGAGGCTGAGACGGAAGAATCCTTTGAACCCAGGAATTCGAGATTACAGTGAGCTGTGATTGCACCACTGCACTCCAGCCTGGTTGACAGTGAGACCCTGTCTCAACCACAACAGGAAAAAGGATGATGGGGGTTGTGGCTACACTTACGCAATTTGTTGGTACAACTGAATGACAAATACTGGGGAACAAAGCTCCCTAATGGCTGAGATACTCTTTCTTCTCATTTTACTTGGCAAACTTGGTTAGATGCAAGTAAGAAAACTTTGTGATTTTTTTTTTTTTTGGACTGTATTTGGACTGAATGTATTACTTGTGGCCCCAGAGGCTAGTTTGGTGATGTACCATATTGGGAGGTTGTATGGAAGAGGCTCAACTATCTGACGAGGGATCAATGTTGGGCTAACTTCAAAAATAAATGAGGTTGGTTTGCCAGAATCAACTTTTTATTTATGAAGAATGGAAGAATTGGCTGGGCGCGGTGGCTCATGCCTGTAATACCAATACTTTGGGAGGTCAATGTGGGTGGATCACCTGAAGTCAGGAGTTTGAGACCAGCCTGACCAACATGGAGAAACCCCGTCTCTACTAAAAATACAAAATTAGCCGGGCGTGGTGGTGCATGCCTGTAATCCCAGCTACTCAGGAGGCTGAAGCGGGGTAATTGCTTGAACCTGGGAGGCGGAGGTTGTGGTGAGCTGAGATTGTGCCATTGTACTCCAGCCAGGGCAACAAGAGTGAAATTCCATCTCAAAAAAAAAAAAAAAAAAAGAATGGAAGAATCTGAATGCTCAGATGACTTTATTTTGTTTTTCCCAAAAGATGCATTCTTCAAAGATGTGGGCAGTGTTTCCATTTTTGACAGCTACTTACTGGGAAAGTTCTGCATTGCAAGTGGTCCTGTGGGCATTGTGGTGACTTGCCATGAAGAGCCTTCATTCTGGTGTCTGTAGGGAGTTTAATCCTTGAGAAGATGACAGGTTCCATGATTTTGATGGGCTGTTTTGTAGACAGCAGGGAGGAAAAGCCACATCCCTAGAATTGCCAACACTGGCTCTTGGTATCTACGAAATGCTACCTGTATCAGATGAAACTGATTTGGGCAGCATGTGTGACGGATAGCGCAAGATTTGCTTGATGTGTGGAGATAGCCGTCTTTCTCTTTCAAGGATTTGAAAAAGGCTTCTCTGGGTCAGCAGCTAAAACTATAATTCCTAGGAAAGTCATCAGCAAGTTTTCAGTGAAATGCTGCCAGATGTGATTCTCCAAGCTGTGGGTGAGCAGATTGTTATTTACCAAGAAGTTTGCTAAGCTGAAGAACTCTGACAATTCAAGGTATACCTGCTTCAAGGTATATACTGCTTCATGGTATATACTCTCTCATGGAAAGTTCTGGGTATCAAACTTTAATTTTTCTGATTACATAGTTGAGGAAAAAAATAGCTAAATCAGACATAAAGATAAGGGATAAAGAAGCACTATCTGTGATTGTCACCTTTCTGGAGACAGACAAAAATGGATCTCTGTTGCCTGAGCAGTCAGCAGTTGTATCTGCTCACTCAACGGGAAGTGCTCCTCAAAGTGAAGTGCTCCTCCCAAAGTGAAGTGCTCACACGGGCTAGTTGTGTAGAACGGACAACAGTGGTGGGTAGACATTTGTGGGTCATGCCTCACTAGCCAACTGATACTGAAACAACTCCCTTGCCTTTCCTGAGAAAGAAATGTGAAATCAAGTAGATGGGCACTTCTCTTATAAAAACCCTCACAAATCTCAAATAGGTGACATGATTATATGTTACTGTTTTATGAATTGACTTACTTGGAATGCCAAGTAATCTTCAGTTTTTAGTTGCAAGTACTTACAAGTGGTTCTGGATTGAGAGGGTTGTCTCCCTGGTTAGATTTGTACATTATTAGGTGTGTCTTGTGGCTCTTGAAGCTGTTAGAAATCCCACATGCTTTAGAAAATTCTGGTTACCATTAATAGTTGGCTTCCAAATAAGACTTGTGACCAACATTGTTTTCTGCTTCCAGTTCATGCCTTCTTTTTCAGGCTAACACTGAAATGATATTGGAAGAACAGTTGGGAGGTTTTCCACTTAGAGAGACCTCTTTGCTTGCTATTGAGATGGGATTCCCTGATACACTGCAGATTCTGGCTGTCTTTCAAGATCTGAGCCATTGCTGGCAGTTTCCACCTTTGTGATCCCTTAAAACATCCATCTTAAAAATGTAAAATAACGACTAGTTTACCTTTCTTATGTCTGTGTTACTAAATGAAAACTAAACATGAATCCTCTTTTTAAAAATAAGAGCTTTAGAATGGAATAAGCCAAGTTGCTGGTCAGGCCTGTAGGGTGCTGAGCTTTATTCTGCAACTGCTTTGTAGCATTTTTCTAATTCCTGCCATTTCTTTCATTTTTTTCCTCAGGACATGCTTTGCTTCTTGCATACTTAAGGATTCCTTGGCTTCACACTCAGTGCTACTAGAATCCACCCATGCACACTCCTCAACTTCAGTCTAACAGTGTCTTAAGACATTGTAGTTCTGAAAGCATGGCCTGTAAATCACAAGGGATCCCCAAGATCCTTTCACAGAAAGATCCACTAGCTCAAAACTCTTTTCATGATAATATTCAGATATTATCTGCCTTTTTCACCATGTTGACATTTGCACTGATGGTGCCAAAAAAAGCTGTGGTGGCTAAAACTCCTGGTGCCTTACCAAAAATCAAGGCAGTGGTGTCGTGCCATGCTTTCTGTGGTATTCCTCATCAGCTTGTACTAACAGTAAAAAAAAAGAAAAAAAAGAGTCATATTCCCCTAAGAATATTCTTCATGAGGCCGGGCGCGGAGGCTCACACCTGTAATCCTAGCACATTAGGAGGCTGAGCCGGTTGGATCACTTGAGGTCAGGAGTTTGAGACCAGCCTGGCCAACATAGTGAAACTCTGTTTCTACTAAAAATATGAAAATTAGCTGAGTGTGGTGGCGCATACCCATAATATCAGCTACTCGGGAGGCTGAGGCAGGAGAATCGATTGAACCCGGGAGGTGGAGGTTGCAGTGAGCTGAAATGGCACCACTGCACTCCAGTCTGGGTGACAGAGTGAGATTCTGTCTCAAAAAAAAGAATATTCTTCATGAAACAGTAAAAATTAATAATTTTATAAAATCTTGACCCTCAAGTATAATTTTTCTCATTTTTTTAAAGTTATAATTTACCTACAATAAAAAGCAACCTTTTTGGTGTACACTTCTGTGAAATTGACTAATTCATATAGTTGTGTAATCATCACTTCCACAAGCAGGATATAGCACAGATCCATCACCCCAAAACGTTTCTCTGTATGCCTTCTGGTCCTTCCCCCATGTCGAGCACCTGGCAAACACTGAACTGTTTTCTGTTCTTATAATTTTGCCTTTTCCGGAATGTTATGTCAGTGAAATCGTATAGTACGTGGCCTTCTGAATCTAGCTTTTTTCACTTAGCCTAATGCATTTGAGATTCATCTATGTTGTTGTATGTAGCTGTAGTTTGTTCCTTTTTATTGCTGAATAGTATTCTGTTATACATATATACTACAGTTTATCCACTCATTAGTTGAAGGACATGTGGGTTGTTTACAATTTTTGGCTGTGTGAACATAAGTTTTCATTTCACTTAGGAGTGGGACTTTGGGGTATGGTAAATATATGTTCAAGAAACAACCAAACTCTCTTCCAAATGGCTGTACTATTGTGCTTTCCACCAGTAAGGTATGAGAATTCCAGTTACCCCACCACCTTTCCAGCATGTTGCATTGTCATTTTGTTTTCATTTTAATCCATTCTAAATATGTAGTAGTATGTAATTGAAGATTTAATTTGCATGTCATTAATGATATTGGGCATCTTTTCCTGTGCTATTTGTCATATGTATGTCTTTGGTGAAGTGACTGGTCAAATCTTTTGCTTTTTTTTTTTTTTTTTTGGAAACAACAGTCTTGCTCTGTCACCCAGATTGGAGTGCAATGGCACGATCTCGGTTCACTGCAACCTCTGCCTCCCAGGATCAAGTGATTCTGCTGCCTCAGCCTCCTGAGTAGCTGGGATTACAGGCACCCACCACCATGCCCGGCTAATTTTTTTGTATTTTTAGTAGAGATGGGGTTTTACCATGTTGGTCAGGCTGGTCTTGAACTCCTGACCTCAAGTGATCCACCTGCCTTGGCCTCCCAACATGCTGTGATTACAGGCATGAGCCACTGCAGCTGGCTTTGTTTAATTGGGTTTTTCTTATTAAGTTTTGAGAGTTTAAAAAAATATATATTCTGGATATGTCATTAATCAGATATATAATTTGTAAATATCTTCTCCCTTAGTATATATTTTAATATTCCACTGGCAAAATGGAAGTTTGCGTGAAGCATTTTTGTGATGTATTGTTAAATAAAATGGTTGTCTCTAGGAAAAGCACTTATGTGATTGAGTTGTGAGTTGAAATAGCTGTTTTCCCCCCGCCCCGAGCAAAATCTCATTTTTACTGGAGAGAATGACAAACTGGTTTCTCAGACTTGCAGGCTTTCTCAAATCTCAAATTTATCTAAAAAATTCTCGAGATATTTTCTCACAAATGAGTGAGGTGAACCTGTCACTTCATGGAAAATAAATGACAGTATTTTTACCAGTGATAAAATTAGAGCCTTTTGTTTAAAAAAAAAAAAAAAAAAAAAACAATTTTGGAAAGCTTATATCAACTACTATGCTCTTACAGATTTCCAACACTTAAGTTTTTCTGATGAAACTGGTGGTGATAATAACAAATATGATTTTGGATACTGTGTATTGAAATGAGCTGGCATTTGGAGGTTCTGCAATACTCAGTAGACTAATACTTTCCTAATGACCACTATTTGATGTTATAAAATCATCCAAAAGTAAAAGATCCAAATTACAGGTTGAGCATCTCAAATGTGAAATGTTCCAAAATCCAAAACTTTTTAAGCACCAACAAGATGCTCAAAAGAAATGCTCACTGGGGGCATTTTGGATTTTGGATTTTCAGATTGGGGTGCTCAACTGGTAAGTACAATGCCAATATTCTAAATCTGAAAAAATCCCAAACATTTCTGGTCCCAAGCATTTTGGATAACGGAATCTCAGCCTGTACAAGATTGACCAATGGATCGTAGTATAAGGGAAACAAAGCGCCCTAATGACTGAGATACTCCTTCCCATTTTACTTGGTAAGCTAAGAAAAACAAGAAAATTATTACTGTAAAATAAGAAAATCTAAAAAGTTCTTTAATACAGTTTTAGGATCCACATTGCAGCTAACCTTTAACAGCCAGTTGTCAAGTTTTGGTATACTATCAAAAAAGTACATCCACAATTGTCCGAAAAGACTATTAAAATTCTCCTCCCTTTTCCAAGTATGTATCTGTATGAGGCTGGATTCTCATCATATGCTTCTACCAAAATGTATGTCCACAGACTGATGGTAGAAGTGGATATGAGAATCCACATTTATTGAAGAGATTTGCACAAATGCAAAACAATGCCATTCTCACTACATTTTTTTTGTTTTAGAATTTTTAAAATAAAAACATTGTTAACATGTAAGCTCACATTTTAAAGTTGACAAATATTTTTAAAATGTCTGTTTGAATTCCTAATATAGTAAATAGATTAGATACATAGTATACATAACTCTGAGCTCTTCGGGGTCTTCAGTAATTTTGAAGAGTTCAAAGGAGTCTCCTGAGACCAAAAAAGTTCATAGATTGCTACTTAGAATTTAATTCCAGCATCATCATTGTGTACTGGTGGTGGAGAACAAACCTAAGCCCTAGCCCAAGGCTTCTTGGTTTGAGGCTTCTAGTTCTCAAGAAGGAATTCATATTTACTTTACAGAATTGATATATTTTATATTCTTTAAAAGATGTCTTTACAGATAACCTCTTCAACTCTGTCTTCCATTATCATAAATGATACTCAGTACTTACAAATAAACCAATGCAATCAGCCCTCCATCTCTGTGGGTTCCAAATCTGTGGATTCAGCCAACTCAGGATTGAATGTATTCAGTAAAAAAAGAATGGTTGCATCCCTACTGAACATGTACAGACTTTTTTTTCTTGTTCCCTAAACAATACAGTATAACAGCAATTTACATAGCATTTAAATTACATTAGGTATTATAAATAATCTAGAGATGATTTAAAGTATGTAGGAGGATGTGCGTAGGTTATATGCAAATACTATGCCACTTTATGTAAGGACTTCAGCATCTGCAGATTTGGTATCCTGTGGAGGTCCTGGAACCAATCCCCTAAGGATACCAAAGGATGACTTACTTTGCATTAAGGAATGATACATAGCTCTTTCTCCACTAAATCACCCAGATCCCATAAAGAGTAAAGAAAGTAGATTTTCACCTCACTTAATTCTTCCCCATTTTATCTTAAATAGGGTTTCTCATTAGCACTGAAAGTCTAAAGGCTGACATGAAAGGAACAATGAGGTGACTTGCCTAAGCCTTAAACTAGATGAATAGACGTTGGTAGATTTGTTGTCCATATAGTTTGCTTATTTACTCAGCCTGCACCTAGAAGCTGTATTCTCTGTTTAACGTTCCGCCTCTTAGCTCTCATCAGTATGCCATAGACCTAAATATTGTAAGGTGCTTTTTTTCATTTTTGTTAGCGCTTTCTTTTTTCCAATACTTGAAACGTCAGAGGGTATAGGATGCGTGTGAATTCTGTTTTAAAGCCATAGACAACAAACACCCTAATCAGCTAGAACACGTTTTTGTGGTCTTTGTTCCAGAAGAAATCATAGAAGGATCAAAACAGTTCTTATAGTTCAGGAGCAGTGGGATTATCATCTTTGAACATGAGAGACCATATGATTATAAAATGACTCCTTTTTGGCTTTTATATGTGATAGTATTAGATTATAACATTTAAATAGTGGATATTGGCCCAATGGTGGGGGTAAAAGTTCTTAAAATCTTGTGACTATATCTAATCTAAAGGCATGCTAGATCATAGCACTTAATGGCCTAGTCTCATTCTCTAAACAAGAAAAACACTAATGTGGCTGGGCGTGGTGGCTCATGCCTGTAATCCTAGCACTTTGGGAGGCTGAGGCAGGTGGATCACCTGAGATCAGGAGTTCAAGACCAGCCTGGCCAATCTGGCAAAACCCCGTCTCTACTAAAAATACAAAAATTAGCCAGGCGTGGTGGCGGGCACCTGTAATCCCAGCTACTCGGGAGGCTAAGGCAGAAGAGTCACTTGAACCCGGGAGGTGGAGGTTGCAGTGAGCCAAGATCGCACCATTTCGCTCCAGCCTGTGCAAAAGAGTAAGACTCCCTCTCAAAAACAAAACAAAAACAAACACTAATCTGGTATATGGTATTGCTTAATTAAGGAAAGTAGGTATATTTAAAGCTAATAATGTTTGGAAATTGAATGAGATTTTGGGTTTAAGAATTTCTCGGATTAAAATACTTAACCTATAATAAAATGGTAGCTATGTAAGAGTAACCTTCCCTCCAGCATTCTCATTCCTCCCACACCAAGAAAAGAAAGGCCATATTAGGACTTATCATCTGAGTATAAATTATTAATACTGTCACACCAAGTGGAAGCATGTGGGAATGCTCATTGCCCTTTAGTTAATTTGTAGGATTGCTTCATTATACTTTTACGTATAGTCTGTTCAGAGAAAAATATTAAATTTGTCCTTCCCCAACAAACTTGATATTGTAGCTGCTTAAATAATGGCTATTGTATTCCAAGCATCAGCTGAGAACATAATACTCAGACTGTGTATCAAAGTTTTGAACTTTGATATTTGTCTGTGAAGAGCCTTCTGTGGGAATGGTGGTTGCTGAGGATGGTGTATGATCATAAATGTTAACCTAAATCATGCAGTAACTTGACCATGGAATGTTGTCTGTGATTTCTCTCCTTTGCCTCATCTTGATTACAGAGAGGTACAGAAAGCAGTCAACACTGCCCAGGGATTGTTTCAGAGATGGACAGAGCTCCTCCAGGACCCCTCCACAGCAACAAGGGAAGAAATCGACTGGACCACCAACGAGCTGAGAAATAACCTCCGGAGCATAGAGTGGGATCTAGAGGACCTTGATGAAACCATCAATATCCTTTTCTGTGGTGTCTGTGCCATTCGGGATAAATAGACAAATGGACAAGTTTTTCTCCAGTTGTTTCCAGTATGTAGATGAAACATTTTATAATCGATTAATGTTTGTTGCTCTTACTTGTACCATGACATGTTTAAAGTATTTGCCCAGTAACTTAAGGTACAGTAGCCAAATTCTTATACAGTGTGTGACAAATCCTGTACTATAAATGTATATATATATATAAAGGCAGCATAGTGTAATGATTATGACTGTGGACCCTGGAGTCAGATTTCTGGTGTTCAAGTCCTGCCTCCACCAATGTAAAGGGAAAAAAAAAAAACCCTTTTTTTCTTTTTTTTTTAAGTCTCTACCCTCACACTCAAGTCAGTATGATATTTCTGACACTGTCTACTTGGAGATAGCATCAGGTCCACAGGTTAAGAGCTCAGTCCCACAAGACTGCCCCCACTTCAGATGCCAGTTGCAAGCCCTAGGTTGTGACCAGCGCTTCCAACTGACCACGTATAAATTGGAGTTCCCACGACCCCCTCCATAGATCGAATTAATTTAATTTGCAAGAGCAGCTCACAGAACTCCGGGAAACAGTTTCCTTAGGTTTATCCATTTGTTGTAAAGGATATTACAAAGGATACAGATGAATGACCAGATGGAAGAGATGCATGCAAGGTATGGGAGAAAAGGTGCAGCACTTCCAGGCCCTCTTCAGGTGCCTCCAGGAACCTCCACATGTTCACCTATCTGGAAGCTTCCTGAACTCTGTCCTTTTGGTGTTTGTGGAGGATTCATTTCGCAGGCATGATTGATCACATCAGTTGGCCATTGGTGATCAGCTCAGCCTTCAGCCCCTTTCCCCTGGGGTGGGGTTAAGCAGGGGGCTGAAAGCTTCAACTGTCTAATCACATGGTTGGTTTCTCTGGGGACCAGCCCCTCGTCCTGAGGCTATCTAGAAACCCCCAGCCATCAATTATCCCATTAACATACAAAAGATACTCATCTGGAGATTCCAAGGGATCAAGGAGCTGTGTGCCAGAAATGAGGGGGCAGAGACCGAATTTGCATTTATTACAGTATCACAACCAGTTACCATGTGACTTGGGCTCATCACTTAACCTCCTGTGCTTCCGTTTCCTCTTTAGTGGAAAGTTAGGATAACAAGAGTACCTAGCTCATAGGATTATTGGGATTATACAGGTAAAGAGTTTAGAATGGCACCTGGCACACAGCTTATGTAATAGTGTTAGCAGTCATTATCATATAGAGGTCCATACAGGCCAGTGTTACACTTCGGTAATTAGAGATCAAAAAATCTTTTTGTAGACTGTCTTCATGTTTAAGAAGTGATGTTACAGTGCTACCGTCCATTGAAGAGATGTCTTGTTCCATGAAACTGCATTTAGTAAAAGCAGATCTGCTCTGCTAATTCATGGTATTGATGTGAAGTAAGTCCACTGATCTGACTCATGCACTGGAGAACTGTAAAAACTTCATTATATAGCCTTTTTTTCCAACTGGAAATCCCACTTAACCAAAACTTTAGATGGAAGATATGCCACTTGCATGTTCTGAGTTCTGTTTTGTTTTTTCCCTAAGTGAGATAAAACATAAGGAAACCAGCTTCTGTCAGGATCACCTTATAGTTAGCACAGGTTCGTATGCAGTTGATACATGGAGTAAATAATTTTTGTTATTCATGATGACCCTGGTACCTTTTACATTATTAAAAGGCAAGTATGTTCTCTAAAATTAGTGGCAAATATGTGAGGGGGCAGGATCAAAAGCACAGTTACAGGGAGATAATTCTTCCCTTGAGAAAGGAGGGAAGGAAAAAAAGTTAGGGGAGATAGAGAAAATGTGAGATTAAAAAAACAAAAGTTTTAATAGATACTCATCATTCAACCAGCAAGTGTTTATTGAGTATACTATGTGCCAGGCATTTTGTTGGTTACAGAGATTAGATTAATAAACACTATACCAGCCCTCACAGAACTTTGAGTGGATAGGGATGGGGGACAGATGGTAATCAAGTAATAACACAAATAGATACCTGCAGACTATGAACGAGAAGTATAGAGAGCTATGCAAGTGTCTGACATGGTGCGTCGGACCAGGCTAGAGGGTAAGGGAATGAGGGCAGCTTCTCTGAAGAAGGCCCGATCTCTCTAGATTAAGAAGTAGGGTTAGCATCTTGGCATAATGGGAAGTGGTTTGGAATGGCAGGAGAAAAAGGCTTGCAAAAGCTGTCTTAGTAAAGGTGATCAGGAGTCAAAAAAGGATAGACACAAGTGTTGGCAAACAGGAAGAGCCCAGCTCACCTGTGGTCAGATAGCCCTAAGTGTTTGCAGTGAAGCTCATCAGCAGGGGCTATGCTTCCTAACCAGACAGATCATCTCTGTCTTGGAGCAAAGGGATCCTCCCTCCTGTGGCTGTGGGCAGAGGAAGTCTGAGAATGATTGGTGTCCAGCTGACTGTGTTTTCAGAAAGTTTGAGCCAGATTTTATTTGTTTGCATGTGAGAGATTCAGTGAGTTAACAGGATGTTGTCAGGCTTTGATGATGAAATTGTTTTACCTTGACTTTTTGACCTACGCATAGTTGAAGCAAATCCTAGAAAATTTAACCTTGATGCAACTGAATTGAGTATAAGAAAAGCCTTCATTACAAGTACTCGGCAAGTTGTCAGGGTAAGGAATATGATCTTATTGTGTTATCTGTATAAGAAATAGCCAGACTTCTTAGAGCTCTTTCCCTTAATTGTAAACTAATAGGTCACCTCTGAAACCACTTTTTAAATATGAATTAAATGTGAGCTTCCCCATATATAATTTCTCTGATTGGCTGCGCATGGTGGCTCATGCCTGTAATCTCAGCACTTTGGGAGGTGGAGGTGGGTGGATCACTTGAGCCCAGGGGTTTGAAACCAGTCCGGGCAACATGATGAAACCCTGTCTCTACAAAAAAAAAATATAAAAATTAGCTGGGCATGGTGGTGCACACCTGTTGTCTCAACTACATGGAAGACCAAGATGGGAGGCTGAGGTGGGAGGATCAGGTTGAGGCTGAGAGCTATGATCACGTCACTGTACCTTAAAAAAAAAAAAAAATTTCCGTGATTGAAGAAAAAGAAATCTGTTTTTAATCTTTCTTTTTTTGACACAAGGTCTCACTGTGTTGACCAGGCTGAAATGTAGTGGCATGATCTTGGCTGACTACAACCTCTGCCTCCCAAATAGCTGGGACTACAGGCGTGCACCACCACACCAGGCTAATTTTTTGTAGAGACAGGGTTCACCATGTTGCTCAGGCTGGTCTTGAACTCCTGAACTCAAGTAGTTTGCCTGCCTCAGCCTCTCAAAGTACTGGGATTACTGGCGTGAGCCACCATGCCCAGCCTGTCAGGCTTATTTCCGAGAGCAAAAATGAGACAGTAATCTGCTGGCTTTGGGCAGGGTACATTCAAATGGTGTCATCCTGAATGATTAGACCCTTGTCCATACCTCTAGTTTCTTCAAGCTAGTTATCTTTCTCACTTTTTATTTCTTAGTGTACTCTATTTCTTGACGAACAAAACAATTGCTATTGTAGAAACCATTTGGTTTTTTGATTGATTGGTAATCACTTCGCATTGTTGAAGAGTGACTCTTAGTGGGTTTGGATAGCGGCCTCTTCCGCCATCTGAATTGCTTCTGGAACTCTTGCAACCCAAGATACTGACATTTCCATATGTAACTACTTGACAGCCGTTCCAGAGTTATCCAGAGCAAACAAGCATCTATCAGAGTGTAAAAAATTGATCCAAGTGAACAAATCTTTAGTTCTAAGTTATTTAGAATAATACCCATTATTAAAGAATCTGAGAAAAAATATTAAGTACAATCTTGTGTCATTAAAATGTTTCATATTTTGAAACTATATGGCTAAGCCATTTGATTAGCATAACTAGATGTAAGAGAACCAGCTGTCTTTAACATATGTACTAGAAAGCAGCTTCCTTGAATAAAAAGACTTGGGATCATACCAGTGCTAACATACGGCTTTTTAAGAGTCATCTTAGGCAGGAACCTTAGTTTGTGTTTGCCAAAGTCTTTATATCATGTGATTTCCTTTTGAAATTATTTCAAATGGTAGATTATCACTGAACTTTATATATTCTTGTTACTTGTTTTATTCATTAGTTGCCTTTCTATATACATATACGTAAATTGTTTATAGATAAACCCACATTTTAATGAGGGAGAAACCTTTCTGGACCTCAGATGCCCCATCCACAGTGAGTGTTTGGATTGGACATTCTTAATTTCTAGCCAGTTCAAAATACTGTTCTGATGAGGAAGCCTTGTTGTTAGGTGACATATTTTTTGTAAGATAAGTAAATCCCCAATTATTTTGTATAAGCTTTTTTTTTTTTTTTTTTGTAGTAGTAGGTTTTTTGAAGGATACTCCTATAGACGTTAATATTTAAGTGGGGCCTTGCAGTGAAGCATATGTCCTTAACCTTAATCATTATATTTATTTCTGCAAGGTAGACTTAGGAAGTTTGCAAATTGAAATTTAGAGGTTCGTATATTAAAAATTAAGTTCATTGGTATAATGGAAAGAAGAATCCAAAGTTCATTTTCTAATATCTGAAAAGCTTTTTAAAGTACATTCTTAGAAAGAGGTTGATATGATTTAGCTGTTTCCCCACCCAAAATCTCATCTTGAATTGTAATCCCCATAATCCCCATGTGTCAAAGGAGAGACCAGGTGGAGGTAATTGAATCATGGGGGCAGTTTCCCACATGCTGTTCTCATGATAGTGAGTGAGTCTCATGATAGCTGATGGTTTTATAAGGGGCTCTTCCCACTTTGCTCTGTCACTCTTCCCTGCTGCCTTGTGAAGAAGTTGCCTTGCTTCTCCTTCTGCCATGATTGTAAGTTTCCTGAGGCTTCCCCAGCCATGCTGAACTGTGAGTCAATTAAACCTCTTTCTCTTATAAATTACCCAGTCTCGGGCAGTTCTTTATAGCAATGTGAGAACAGAGTAATGAGAGGTATTCCAAATCAAGTCAGTACTTCAAAATCTTACTGTCCTTTTAGAGTTGAGATCTAAACCATACTCAACTATGTGATCCACCTGAATATTTTAGGGTTTTAAATCATTCTTGTTTAAATTTATGACCCCTTTGGGGGAAGCTGTTAGTATTTACCAGTGGTAGGCTAACAGTACCTAACTGAGCTTTTGCTGATCTGATTGTAATAAATTCTAGTTGAAAGTCCTATAGAAGAGGAGGAAATAGCAATGGTGCTAACTCGATTAAAAATAAAATATACCTTGTATAATTCCACATTACCACATTTAGCTAAACAGTGTTTGTATGTAGAGATTTCTGGGTTCTGGGTGGAAGAGCTCGATAGAGAGGGAGCAGAGGGTTAGCAGATTTGGAAAATGAGATGAAATGAAGTTCAAATTAGGAATTTGTACAAATTTATGTTAGTTCTTCTGTTACTATTACTAGTGGGCTTTCATTTAATATTGCTCCAAAATTTTGATTGACTTTATCTTTCAAACAGTGTATTCTACTTATGCTTTCTCTTTTGTAGGCAGGGGAGTCAGTGATACTCTATGCATTTTGTGGTTTTTTTTTTCTTTATTTGCTTCAACCTGAAGAAGTAAATCGCCTGTTTCTTCTTGATTAATGTCCATTGGTTATGCCTTTAGTAAGCTTTCCTTGTTTAGAGTTTTGTGTATGTTTTTCCAAGCATCTTTTAAGTCTGTACAAATCCAGTTTTGCTGGCAGTTTTTAGTGAAGAACCAAAATACTCACATTTTTGTGTAAATAGCTTTCATATTTTTGAGGTAATCATTTTTACTCTTGTGGAGTCACCTATACATCAAAGATTCCACATGTGAAATTTTTGTGTTTTAGAAATATATCCTAGAAGTGACTTTGGTTTTACTTTAGGATCAAGAGGTTTTGCAGTATATGGCAGAATAATGGTGAATATAAGGGGTAAGGGAACCTGAGTTCTAGGCTAAGCTGTGACCTTAATAAATCTTAACCATGGTAAGTCATTCAACCTCCCTGGATCTCAGTTTTATCTATGAAATAATCCTCACTAACATTCTCTGACTTTAAAAGTTAGAACTATTACCCTCTCCATGAAAAAACCGAACCTGCTCCAATGTAAGAATTGTTTACAGTCAATTGTAAGTCAAGATGGAAATGGCTTTGGTTAATCAAAAAGGGTGAAGTATCCAGTGTGAGCACAGATGACCTTGAAATGTAAGAATTATGAGTGGGAAGCACTGGGGTTTATGATGTCTCATTCATTCAGCTTGGAAGACAGTGTGAAATGGGAACAGAAGCATAAATAACCAGGACATTTGTTGTTCCTTTGGCAGATGAACCATATTTTATTGGGACTTGTTGCTTGACTGCTGGTTCTAAACGTCATGTGTTAGAAAGAAGATGAGTAATTATGTTTTTGGCATGATAGATTGTTATAAAATGTTTAAAACTATTTAGTAACATAGTTTAAGATCCCGAATTCCAATATGAAGGTGTTGTGTGGTATCTGCTAACTTTTGACCTACATGGATAAAGTGCCATCTTAGAAGTGAAAGCTGGCGGGGTGTGGTGGCTCATGCCTATAATCCCAGCACTTTGGGAGGCTGAGGCGGGCAGATCACTTGAGGGCAGGAGTTTGAGACCACCCTGGCCAACATGGTGAAACTCTGTCTCTACTAAAAATACAAAAATTAGCTGGGTGTGGTGGCAGCTGCCTATAGTCCCAGCTACTTGGGAGACAGAGGTGGGAGAATTGTTTGAACCGGAGACAGAGGTTGCAGTGAACTGAGATTGTGCCACTGCACTCCAGCCTGTGAGACAGAGTGAGACTCCTCAAAAGAAAAAAGAAAAAAAAAAGAAGTGAAAGCCATAGATCCTTAGATCCTTACCCGCGGTGGTGGTGGTCACATACAGGATGCCTACCCACAGGGCTATTGGAGGAATCTGCCTCATCAGGGCTAACACCCATGCAGGCACACACATAACCCCACATGGTTTTTATTAAGCATAAAACTTTAAAAACTGCAACTTTAGAATACACATTTAATTATGATAATGCAAGCTCAAAGAAAATTAGAGAAAATTTTCAAGAAGTAAAAGTAGGAAAAGGAATCTAAACTCAGAATAATACATAGCACAAGACTTTGCATTTTCTTCATAATTTTCCTCCCAATGCAGGGCAGTTGTATTTTTACATAGTTGTGATCATACTGTTATGCAATCATAGCATTTTATTTTCTTAGGTTAAAAATAATCTGTACTTGGTATTTATAAAATGCAAATAATCCTGATGAAAAAACTTTGAAGAGAAAATGCCTCTTCGTTCTCCAATTTCACTCCCTAGAAATAATTAGTGTCAACAATTTTATTTTTCACAGCCATTTTATGGACATTGAAATATGCAAACTTTTAAAAAGCAGTGGCATGATAATCTGTAACTTTTTTTCTATGAAAAATTACATTGTGGACATAGTCTTACAATGACACAGATAAATCTAGAGAAGTGCTGTTCAGTAGTAATAAAATGGGAACCTCTTGGTCATTTTTAGTTTTCTAGTTGCCACATTAAAAGAGTAAAAATAGGTGAGCTTAATATATTTTATTTAACCTGATATATCCAAAACATGATCATTTAAATATGTAGTCAATATAAGAGATATTAATGAGAGATTTAAATTTTTTAAACTGTTTTTGTAATAAATCTGGCATGTATTTTACACTCAAGCATATCTCAATTCAGATGTGAAATTTTCATTGGAAATACTTGATCTGTATTTAGAGTTTACAGAACTTACAATTGAAAAAGTAGAGTCACAAACCCAATTTTTTCTAGACATACTTCAAAGTTTTCTAATAACTGAGTATCAATTAATTAAAGTAAAATTCAGTTCCTCGGTTGCACTGACCACATTTTAAGTGCTCAGTAGCTAGTGGGTCCTGTATTACCCAGGAGCAGACTATCCTTTTTAATAGTTGCATACGTTTATTTGCTGATAATGTTTATTGAGTGCTTACTATATTGTTGGCTACTGTTAATCAGGCTTCATGTGTTACCTCTATTAATCCCTACAATGATTCTAAAAGATATTATTCTAAATGTACAGAAGAAATAGAAACTTAGTGCAGCTATTAAAAAGCATAACTAAGTCTTAAACCTAGGTCTTTGACATGAAAGATCATGCTGTTTCCCTCTCCTTTAATGTGGCTCTGTTATGATTTATTTAATCATTGACCTACCAGTAGATATTTTGGTTATTGTTTATTAGTGGAAATTGCAAACCATGCTTCAGTGACCATCTTTGTGAGCATAACTTACATAATTGTTTCGTAAAAAATTCAATGAGAATACACATTTTAAATATTCATTGCCAGTCATGATGGCTCATGCCTGTAATCCTAGGACTTTGGGAGGCCAAAGCAGGAAGATCAGTTGAATTCAGGAGTTCAAGACCAGCTTGGGCAACATAGTGAGACCTCATCTCTACCAAAAATTTAAAAAATAAATAGGCATGGTGGCACGTGCCTGTAGTCCCAGCTACTTGGGAGGCTGAGGTGGGAGGATTGTTTGAGCCTGAGAGGTTGAGGCTGCAGTGAGCTGTGATGGCACCACCGTACTGATGATGCCTGGGCATCAGAGTGAAATCCTGTCTCAAAAAAAAAAAAATTGTTTTCAAAGTATCCTACAAAAAGACCTTATCAGTCATATTTCTGATAGAGTATCAGAATATACCTTCACTAAGTATTATCAATCTTTTTCATCTTTCTTGGTCTAATTGGAGAAAATGTCTCTTAGCTACACTTCTTTGATTACCAGTGGGTTATTGCATCTATTCATGTTTGATCATTTGTGGGGTTTTTGTGAATTGTCTGTTCACTGAACTCTCTTCATAAGCACAATGCCTAGTACATAATGCCTAGTATATAATACTGCATTGTGTGGATTGTGTTGCTGTTCCCTTATTTGGGCTTGCTGCTTATTTCTACTTTTTTTCTTATTATAAATAATACTGCAGTACACATCTCTGCATGTCTTTTTTTGTATCTATTTTATGTTATCTCCTTAAAATAAATTCCTGTTAGTGGAATTACTGGGTCAAGGCAGTGAATATTTTGAGACTCATGGTACAGAATGACAAATTTATTTTCAAAGTGCTGTTCTAGTTTACCATCCAGCCATTGTTTGGGACCAGTAGTATTAAAAATACATATATTTACTAAAATATAACGGTACAGAAAAGTGTAATTAACCTAAACATATAGCTTAATAAATTTATAAACTGAACACAGCCATGTCAACAGCACCCAGAAGCATTGCAGGGTGTTACCAGCACCCCCAGAAGGTGCCTGTGCTCCTTTTTAGCCAATGTCTCTACCCCCCACTGCACTGACTTCTAACAGCAAAAGTATGTTGTACATGTAATGTTCAAAGGCTAACATGTCACTTTCCCATACTTGCATGTTGATATTTTTATTATGCAAGTAATGTGTTGTTTTAAAAAAACACTATTATAAAATGCACTGACTATATTTTTATTTTATTAATTTTGTAGAGATGGGGTTTTGCTATGTTGCCCAGGCTGGTCTGCAACTCCTGGCCTCAAGCGTTCCGACTGCCTTGGCTTCCCAAAGTGCTGGGACTATAGGCGCAAGCCATAGTGCCCAGCTGAGTATATTTTTAAAGGCATGTATTATCCCCCTAGTGAATGTTGCTCTGCGTAGTTTTTAATAATATTAAATAAATCGGGCTGTTGGATTGACTGTCAGAATGTCATCTTAAACTCTGATTGATAATCAGAAAACGAATCCTGCAGTCCAGGAGATACTAGCATAGTGATCAGTTTCTCTTGAAGGCTTCTAGATTTCCATTGTAAGACAAGGAATGGGGATGGGGAGGGGGCTTGTTAAAAATGTGCCGTCAAGAGTCTGACTTCGTAGGTCTCATAGGGGCCTAGGGAACTACATTTAAAAAATATTTTTAGGCCAGGCATGGTGGCTCATGCCTGTAATCCCAGCACTTTGGGCGGCCGAGGTGGGCAGATCACAAGATCAAGAGATCGAGACCATCCTGGCCAACATACTGAAACCCTGTCTCTACTAAAAATAGGAAAATGAGCTGGGTGTGGTGGTGCGTGCCTGTAGTCCCAGCTATTCAGGAGGCTGAGGCAGGAGAATCACTTGAACCCAGGAGGCGGAGGTTGCAGTGAGCCGAGATTACGTCACTGCATTCCAGCCTGGTGACAGAGTGAGACTGTCTCAAAAAAAAAAAAAAATTTTTTTTTAAATTTCTTGATACATATGGTTGTGCATATTTTTAGGGTACATGTGATATTTTGATACATGTATATAATGCGTAATGATCAAATGAAGGTAATTGGAATATCCATCATTTTAAACATTTATGCTGCAAACATTTGAATTATTCTCTTCTTGCTATTTTGAAATATACGATAGATTATTGTTGAACTATAGTCACCCTACTGATCTATTGAGCACTAGGTCTTATTTCTTCTAACTGTATTTTTTACCCATTAATCAACCTCTCTTCATCCTCCTTTCCCCCTGCACTCTTCTGGCCTCAGGTAACCACCTATCTATTCTTTGTCTTCATGAAATCCACCGTGAGTGAAATCTCATCCACTTATGAGTGAGAACATGCAGTATTTGTCTTTCTGTGCCTGGCTTATTTCACTGAGCATAGTGACATCCAGGGGAACTGCATCTTTAACAACACTCACGTGACTGACTCAGGCATGTCATCATGATGTGAACTCCATGTGGGCAGGGGCCTAGCTAGTATCATTCACTGCTGTATGCCTGGCCACATAGTAGACATCAGTGAGTGTTTGCTAAATGGATAGATGAGTGGTTTGAAAGTTGAATCAGGTGGTTCTCACTCACATTTACCACAGTTCTGGGATTGTAAAAGCGGTGGCACTGTCTCATCTGTTTACTTGTCATGGGTCTTTAAAGAAGTTTCTAAAAGTCTTACACTTTGATGTTTGCATAAATTATATTTTGACGACCTTTTAAAAACTGTTGTTGCAGTCATGTATTCAGTTCAAATCATTCTATAGTAGATTGGATTGTAGCTAAATAAGCAGAATGACTCATATTTAATAAAGTGTTTTGCTTCAGATAAAGTAATGGATCTATTCACTTTTCATTCCATACAAAATTATTTTTGACACCACTCTGGAAATTCACTCTGATGTTAGGAATAGTCTATACCTTTCATGAATCCAACTCAGAAATAAAATAAGTGACCTGTTGTACCACTATTTGGAAGTATTCTTTGGTGTTTAATGGTAAATATACTTTATACTAAAAGCACATGGTTTTTTACATATATTGTAAAAAAGATGCAAGCCCTTGAACACGTGCTTTTGTGTTTGTACCCCAGGGATGTTCTTTATTAGTGATGTGACTTTGAGAAAGTATCATCGTCTTTTTGGACCTAGGTCTCCTCAACCTTAAAATGGAAATAGTACCAGCTTCACAGGGTCCTTGTGAAAATTCAGTGATAATGTGTGTATGTGTTTAGCACTGTTTCTGACCTGTGGTAGGTACCTGGTAAATGTTAATTCCTTTCTCTTTCCTCCTATTCAAATTAGTATCCAGGTTACTTCTTTTTAAGGGACCATCTTTCTTTTTATTTTATTTTCTTTATTTTTGAGACTGAAAATAAAGCCAAGAAATGCGGTCTTCTTTTTAAAAAGTAATAATAAATTGTGTGTTTTGCTAATGTATGAAATGTTAACTGTGATTTTGTTTAAGGATATTTTTCATTTGTTTTCGTATCTTCTTTCTCATTAGGACATGAAAGATCAGATGTCAACTTCATCTGTGCAGGCATTAGCTGAAAGAAAAAATAGACAGGTGAGAAAACATCAGAATATAATTATCAATGACAGAAAGCATACAGTTAGATATTTGGAATTTAAAAATGCTGACCATCCATGGATCATGTAATCAAGAGGAAGACTTCTGCTTGCAGGCCCTGGTGTGACCATGGGAGGTTTTGTGACAGTCCAGGCAGCCTGTCCCAGCACCCTGTCAACATTTCCCTCCCCTCCTCTTACCCTCTGGTCTTCTTCTCTGGGCTCCATAGCACCTTTTGCCTACCCTTACTATAGCACTTATCACAGAGTACTTTTACTTTTTTAATGTGTTTATTCTGTACCTATTGAACACATTTTGTGTGCCAGGCTCTTTGAAGGGCTATAATTACTGTCTTTCTCTCTGCTGGGCTCCAGGCCCTTTGACAGTGAGGAGAGATGTGTGTCATGGTTTTTTGTTTCTTGTTTGTTTGTTTGTTTTGAGCTCTCTAGCAGTTACTACATTGCCTACCCATGGAACACATTAGACATCTAAGGATTGACATTTGATGTAAAGACATTAGAGGAACCTTAAACTTGTGTGTTAAATTAAGTTTCTCTTTGTTTTAAGTAGTTTTAAAAGAATTACATACTTTGGCATATTGATAGAAGCTCCTTTCTAATTGTTAAAATACAGTCCTTTTAAAAAATGTAGAATGATCATCTAGAATTTGGACTTTCATTTAGATTGAGATTTGATTTAGACTTTTTTTGGTGGGATAGAATGTTTTTGCCTGTTGCTAAACTGTTAGGTAATTTTTTTGACAGAAGTAGTTTTTTAAATTCTGTGGATATCCATTTTCCTTAGAAGTAAAAAAGACTTCATGAAAAATGATACTATTTGCTTTAAATGACTTACCTTAGTCTCATTTTATTAAGATTCCAGAAAGTTATGAATTGTCCATTTAGTAGGCTCTTGAGAAATTTCACTATTTATACTAACTAGCAATCAGTACTTCATACCTGTGGGTATTTGTCAAGACACTTAATTTTGAAAACAAATATTATGGAAGCTTGAAGAAGGGGCAGGGTTCTATAAATATCACCTAACTTAATTTTCCTGTTTCCTTTTCTTGCATTCCATTTTTCAAGTCATTGTTTTGTTTTTGGCTTTTTAATCTTATTTGCCTCCTTTGCTTTCTTTTTGAGCAATATAGCTAGGAAAAGCCACTAGCTGGTCCATTCCATCTGGCTCCCTCTCTTGAAAGAAGCTAGTGAATGCCCTCAAGTTGGCTAGTTTTGGAGTTCTCTTCTCATTTGCACTTGAGCTTATAGGAAGTGGAAGTAACTGAAGTAGTTGTGACAGTGAGGTCAGTAACACCTATGCTGTTACTCTTAATTTGAATGTTTTATTCTCTAGATAGTATAGTTGGGCTAACGTAAATAAAATTTATATTTATATATTTATAAATATATATATATAAATTTAAATATATTTTATATAAAGTATATATACATGTATGTATTTATATATTGCCTATCTAGTTATGGCTTGGAATTTTGTTTTAGGCTATGAGTGAAATGTCAAGTTGCAAATTTTCAAGGAATAGCAGGATCAGGGCTCTCTAAGCACTCCAGCAGGCATGGGCCTTGCCACGTTGTGCCAGGTGCCAGGCTCTGTGCTGCTCCTTGCCTCACCAGCACCCCTGCTCTGGCACCCACACACAGGTGCATCTTCCAGTCCTTGGGCCCTCTCTCAATCTCTATCCTATTATCACAAACATTTGGGATCAGACTGATGAACTTTAAGCTATTTCACAATAAAACGTGGATGATTTGCCCTATACTTAGCTCTACCTAAGTGTACACCATGGAAAACGTAGGAAAAATAGCCCTGTGACCTCAGGAGCACACAAGGCCCTGGTGGTGTCCCAGTTCTCTGTCCTTAGGCCAGTGATGCATTATAGCATTTTTCTGACCCTAAAAAAATTGTCACTATTTCCTCATGTCTTCCATAGAGGTCCTTAGAGTGTGGATCATAATGAGCAGGATCTTTTCAGTCTTGATAGCCCTAAGACCAGGTCAGGGCAGAGCCACCCACAAAAAGCCTTGGATCTGCTTTACACCAGAGACAGTCACCATCCAGCTGGACTGAAGCTCTGGGCCCCTGGAAGCTCTTGTAAGAAAAGCTTCTAATAACTGAGCTTCCCTGATCCTAGCCCCTGAAGTCTGGCCATTTGATGGAGTTCACCCCTCGCAGTCTGAGAAGAGGTCAGTGTCAGTATGGAGGAAGGTCATGGGGCTGTTGGAAGGGTTTTCAGACAGAACCAAGTAACCAGGCAGGCTTTTAATAGTGCCTGAGATTTTTTTTAAATTACCCGATAGGAAAATTTGGCAACTCTACAAGGAAAAAGAGTCTTAGTTGCTAGCGTCTTCTGGCTCTTGCCTGCGGGGCTGGTGTGAGCAGTTACTTTGACCAGTCAGGAAGGCTTGTGGGGATCTGGTCAGAACCAACTGCTGAGATGGAACTCTCACATTCCTGCCTGTCTTCTTCATGTGAGGAAGACATACCCATTTATGGCTGCAAACTTCCTTGAATTCATACTTGGGAAACCCGACCCTTGTGTCTGGGAGCCCTGGTGGAGAACTCTGACTTTAGGGCAGCCCTTGCCTCGGTTGCCAGGGTCAGGCATTCCTTGTGGTCATACCTGCCTGTAAAGTAACCCCCAGTTGTCATCTGGAAAGCCTGAAGGACCCTGGATTCTATTCATGGGTTAAACTTAACAGACATTGATGGTTCTTGTGCCTTTGTGTGTGAAGGGCTATGGCTTACCTTCTTGTCATTCCAGGGAACTCTCCCTTTCCCCCCACCAAAAAAACCCACAACTTCCCCTGGGTCACACTTTTTTTAAAAAAGTACTCTAGATCTTCGGAATCAGGTTGACTGGAACCTATGGGTTGCTGAAGTTCCACAGGTACCAGGAAGAGCTCTTTTACAAGAGATTGAATGCTTTTCAATTATAACACAGTATATAGATGGGTGTTTGTTGATTTAGCAGACGTTTATTTGCACTTTAAGGGGACAAAGCCCATTGTGAGGCCTATTGGGAGAGCTTAAAGACATAGAGGGCCCTTCCTGGAATTCCTTAAATAGTACCACCCAGGCACCAACCTACACCACTACATAAAAGCCTTGCCCAGGGGAAAATAGACAAGAAATGTGAAAACTCTTTATATCACTCTTGATGCATCACTTGTTCAGAGATAGTAATTGTTTGTTTCTCCTGACTCCTCTGGTTGTTCTTCTCACACAGGCACTGCTGGGAGACAGTGGCAGCCAGAACTGGAGCACTGGAACAACAGATAAATATGGGCGTCTGGACCGAGAGCTCCAGAGAGCCAATTCTCATTTCATTGAGGAGCAGCAGGCACAGCAGCAGGTACCCCAAGGACCCCAGACTTAGGACGGGCCAGTGGGAAACAAGACACCCCCTTAGTTCCTTTGCCAGCCATGGGGTCTTGTGGCTTAGTGACAAGGAGGGTAAGCCAGAGCTTGTCCTGTGTTGATTGTGTTTAATAATTGCATATGTAAAGGGTTTCAAAATCTTCACAGTGTGACTGCTTCAAGAGAACCAAGCTCAGCCAGGCGTGGTGGCTCACACCTTTAGTCCTAGCTACTGAGGAGGCTGAGGCTGGAGGATCCTTGAGCCCAGGAGTTCAAGGCTACAGTGAGCTTCGATCATGCCATTGCATTCTAGCCTGGGTGACAGAGCAAGACCCTTTCTCTAAAAAAATAAAGAACCAAGCTCAGTTAGTTCTCTTAGAAAAAACAGACCTTTGTCCATCTCAGCAAAGACACTTTCAGAAAGATCTCTCATTTTTTTCTTCGAAAATTATTGATTGGTTTCTTTTTTTTTTTTTTTTTTGTGAGACGGAGTCTCACTCTGTCACCCAGGCTGGAGTGCAGTGGCACCATCTCGGCTCACGGCAACCTCCGCCTCCCGAGTTCAAGCAGTTCTCCTGCCTCAGCCTCCTGAGTAGCTGGGACTACAGGTGCACGCCACCACGCCCAGCTAATTTTTTTTTTGTATTTTAGTAGAGACGGGGTTTCACCTTGTTTCTCAGGCTGGTCTCGAACTCTTGAGCTCAGGCAATCCACCTGACTCAGCCTCCCAAAGTACTAGGATTACAGGCATGAGCCACCGCGCCCGGCCTATTGGTTGGTTTTGTTATATGTAAAGATGACTGCTTTTGTGTAGGTTAAGGGGTAGAAGGAAAATGAAATTGATTATGTCTGTTGATGCCTTTGATATGTAGCTGTATTAATAAAAGCAAGCTAATGATAATGTGTCTGGGGATTTGAGGAGCATGTACCCATTGAAACTATTGATTCTTAAATATTGTGTTTTATGTATACATGTAGTTTATATGTTCTTTTGTTCTTTACATTAGTATGTCTGCTTAACCAGTTGTCTACTTAAATTGCTATTAAACCCAGGAAATTTTTTTTCTATAGAAAGTGAGAAGAATGCAACACAACTAAAAGTAAATATTTGTCAGTCAGTAGTTGTCCTTGAGGTAACTTATTGCCACAGGGAATCCTTTCGTTTGTCCTTGAAGAGAGAGGAAAGACTGCATAGTTTCCCCACATCCAGAGATTTGCCAGACTCTCTTGTATTTAAGCTGTGGCAGTCTGTTGTGGATTGAGACCTTGATCTTGGCAATGGGCTTCCTCCTCCCAAACATCCCCATGTCTCAATGGTCATCTGCACGTGTGCTTTCAACCATTGTCTGCTCCATTATTGGACGTCAGCCAACCAGAGTAAATCTCTCTTGGTGGTTTCAAGCCCCGCTGACTGTTCACAAGTTGGATCAGCAGGAGATATCAGTAGCTTAACAATCCAGCCTTTTGAGCAGTGTGTTCTCAGAGGCAACGGTCTGGTCCTTTGATTTCTGGGCTTTGCTTCTGAATGTGAATTGTCCCAAGTTGGCAAAGAAACTAGCAGCTGCTAGAGTGCTGGGCTTGGAACCAGGTAAGATGGATTTTAATTGCTTATTTCCCATTTCTCTGGCACCAGTTGATCGTGGAACAGCAGGATGAGCAGTTGGAGCTGGTCTCTGGCAGCATCGGGGTGCTGAAGAACATGTCCCAGCGCATCGGAGGGGAGCTGGAGGAACAGGCAGTGTGAGTATTGAGACACCCCTCTCGCTTCAGTGAAATTGAGGGGCAGAGCCATCCTATGACACCCCTAAAAAGCCTGGCAGCTACGTGGCTGGTAAAATCAAAAGCTATTTTATTCATAGCTGCATTTTTATTCTGTTTTACAGATTAGCCTCCCCAAAAGAAGCAATTCTACTTCGTAAATTTTACTACAGGCTTTAGGTGAAGTTGTTATTATTTTTAAACACCTCCAAAAACAGACACAGATGTCTCTGAGCAGATACTCGAAGTATAGTTATGAATGGGAATATGAAACAGAGAAGCCTCTGTAACCTGTGGGAATTTTTGTTCCAGAGAGGATAGGACATGAGCTGACTTTATCATCCCATGACTCTCCTGCTATATTGAACAGACACGTTTTGCTTTGAATCTTAAATTATTGTAACTTTGTTTTTTTTTTTTAAAAAAAACTTACAAATTTAACGCCAGTTAATAAAAACTCTTTCCTCTCAGAAAAATAAATAAAAACAAAACATAACCTCAGTTTGTTTTTCCTTATGAACAATCCCTTTTGCACCCAGAAGTTCGATGGCAAAAACTGCATTCTTAAATGCTGCCACATCATTTTGTAAATCTTTTGAAAGAGAAAAATGAAAAAACAGTCCACCAGGATATTTCAGAAACTTTCCTGTCTCGATATTACGTTTATCATGACACATTGATTGATTATGAATTCTTAGTGGGCCCGTGTTCTACACCGGGCCTTCTGGAAGCCAAGGGATATAGAAGGGAACAGAGCAGACAAGACAACCCATCTCTGCCAAAGAGTTTGCCGCTTGCAGGGTAGAACGGATATTGGGTAAGTGGCGAGGGGTCATTAGGTGATGGCAGTGAAGTGGGAGGGCCCCTGTGATGGGGCCAGTGCATGCTGCCTGGAGAGCCCTGACTTAGCCCAAGGTCCCTGAGGAAGAGGGGTTTAACTGAAATCTGAAGGATGTGTGGATGCTAGCCAGGTGAGGTGAGAGTTGGTGTGGAGGCAGGTGGTGTGGGGTGTGTAGACCAGGAGGAAGAAAATGCACCTGTGAAGATGGAGAGGTGCACACGTGCATGGAGCAGAGAGGTTCCATGTGTCTGGAGGCAGAGAACAAACCAGGGAAGGCCTTGTCAGCATGGTAAGGAGGTACGACTACTTATTCTCAGCATAATGAGAGACCAGTGGAGGTGAGGTGAGGAGTGATGGTGTGATCAGGTGTGATTTAGATGATGTGCTGCAGTGGAGTCAGGTAGGGAGACCAGGTAGGAAGCTGGAGTAGCCAGAATCTGTTTCATGTCTATCTAAAATGGGTCCTGACCCTAAAGTTCAGTTTGAGGAGGGGAAAGGACTAATGGCCTGAGCTTCTCTGTTGATGAGGCAGCCTGGCTGGGCAGTGGGTAATAGAGTCAGAGGGACTTCCAGTTAAAGATGGTGCATTGACACACCCCTACCTCCACTCCCTCTCCACAGCTCACTAGAACAATAGTAAAGGGGTTTGTTTTTAAGGGCATGAAACCGCTGGGCATGGTGGTTCACACCTGTAGTCCCAAGTACTAGGGAAGGAGGCTGAGGTGGGAGGATTGTTTGAGCCCAGGTGTTTGAGGCTGCAGTGAGCTATGATGGCACCACTGTACTCCAACCTGGGTGACAGAGGAGACCCTGTCTCTAAAAAAATAGAAATAACAGATAAATGGGAAAAAGCATGGGATTTGGACTTAGACCTGTGCCATCCAGTATAATAGCTACTAGCCACATGTGGCTGTTGAGTAAGTGTTATGTGGCCAGTCTGAATTGAGATGTGCTCCAGAGGTAAAATGCTTACTGGATTTTGAAGACTTCATATAGAAAAATATAAAATAGCTTATTAATAATTTTTATATTACATGTTGAAATTACAGTATTTTGGCTATATTAAACTAAATACAACAGAATTAATTTCACCTGTTTCTTTTGAAATTTTTACAAACATGGCTACTAGAAAATGTAAAATGGCATATGTGACTCATATTTTTGTTGGATGGTACTGAGATAGATTTGGGCTAGCAACTTGGTTGGTGAGTGTCCATGGACTGAAGGTCGGATGATGTGCCTGATGATGTGCCTGTTTTGTCTTCAGTATGAAAAGTCATACCTAGCGCAGAAAGGTAGCTCTTGCTTTTTAGAGTTTGGCCCTGCCTGGATAGGCCTGCCAGCTGCAGCGCCAAGATGCTGCCAGGATCTAAAATGAGTTAAATATTTTTTAATTTGAAAATTTAGGTAAGGGACAAAGACTTATTTTAGTTGTCAACATATATGTAACAGTTGATTTAATGAAGAGTTGGTTGCCCTGAATCCTGCAAGGCTGTCAGGTGTCTATTGTGGGCACAGATCAAGACCAGGAGTTTCTAACTGCCATTGATGCTGTCAGAGTTAATACAGCCTTTTTAGTAAGACTGTTAGTACTAATTGGCATATTACATTCTAGCCTCAGAATAATCATTTACTAATCAAAAGTTGAAAAGTCTGGAATATTTAGTGACTTATGAAATAGGCACTGCTGAAATAGTATTTTGGGGTTTTCTTTCCCAGCTGCACATTGGACAGCAAATAGTGTAAGCCTGCTGGAGTCAGTTTTCCTAGTGGGAAATACTGGTTTCTCTGTGAGGACAGATGGGGAAATGCGCGTGTGCATGCACAGACACACTGTCACACACCCCATCAGGGATGTTAGTCCTGAGGCCTTCTGGGTTTATAATAAAGCACGTAGTGCCTTATAGGAGGTTATTTTATTAAAGTACATTCCTTAACTCATATTGACATAAAGTGCTTTTGTTTATTACCTGGTTCTCACAAGAGCCCTGTGAGGGAAGTTGAGCTGATAGGATTGCCCTATTTTACAGGTGAGGAAACAGTCCCAAAGAGTTATAGAGTATGTTGTCGAAGGTAGCAATGTAAACAAGTGGCAAAGCCTGGTTGTCTGCCTCAGATAGCATTGTTTCTACCACATTGCACTGCCACTGAGTTTGTGTTATTGTATAGACAGGTCTATAGTCTTGCAGTTCTGAAATCTAGGAAGCTCTAAAGAAATCTCGTTGTTTTTTTTTTCTTTAAATTTGCCGCAAGCTCATGTTACAGAAAAACCTTACCTGAACTGACTCCAACTGTGATTCCTCATAGTTTTCTCTGCAGAAATATTAAGTATCTGATTACGGGGACTGCCCCAGACCCTCCTGGTGGTGTCCTCCTAGTGGTGTCGACTAATACAAAGGATATGTAATTTAGGCTTTTTTTAATCCTGAGAATTCCAAAATCAAAATCCTATCTTGTCCCAAGGATTTTGGATAACAGAGTGAGGTCCTGAAACCCAGTGTTGCCTATTTTGTTTGCTAAAATGGAGGCCTGGTCCTTTTAACCCAGTGCAAGTGCACTGCCAAGGCTTTGTGCTTACCAGCGACCTTCTGTGTCTGCTTCTCTCTAGTATGTTGGAAGATTTCTCTCACGAATTGGAGAGCACTCAGTCCCGGCTGGACAATGTGATGAAGAAACTTGCAAAAGTATCTCATATGACCAGTGGTATGTATGGCGTTTAAAGCTTAAGCATTTGTACTTAATTCTAGAACTCTGTCTTGGGGGTGTTGTCTCATAGTTATGCCCATCCAGATCCCTTTCTTATTTTTTACAGATCCCTTTCTCTTTTTTTTGAGACAGAGTCTCACTCTTTCACCCAGGCTGGAGTGCAGTGGTGCCATCTCAGCTAACTGCAACCTCCACTGCCTCCTGGGTTCAAGCGATTCTCATGCCTTGACCTCCTGAGTAGCTGGGATTACAGGTGCGTGCCACCACACCCAGCTAATTTTTGTATTTTTAGTAGAGACATGGTTTCACCATGTTGGCTAGGCTAGTCTCGAACTCCTGACCTCAGGTGATCCGCCCGTGTCAGCTTCCCAAAATGCTGAGATTATAGGCGTGAGCCACCGTGCCTAGCTGATCCCTTTCTTATGGCACATTTTTTTTTTTTGTGATGCCTTAGAATCAGAGAATGGAAGACTTGTATGTGCAGTCTTTATCTTCTCCTTGTAGCTTTAACTTGGGAAAAGTTAAGGCTTTGTGATCCCCCACCGTGTTTGGTTTTTTTCCCAGTAGAGTCACTTTCGTTGTGTTTTTTTTTTTTTTTTTTTTTTTTTTTGAGATGGAGCCTCACTCTGTTGCCCAGGCTGGAGTGCAGTGGCGTAATCTCGGCTCACTGCAAGCTCTACCTCCCAGGTTCACGCCATTCTCCTGCCTCAGCCTCCCAAGTAGCTGGGACTACAGGCGCCCGCCACCATGCCCAGCTAATTTTTTGTATTTTTAGTAGAGATGGAGTTTCACCGTGTTAGCCAGGATGGTCTCGATCTCCTGACCTCGTGATCTGCCCGCCTCGGCCTCCCAAAGTGCTGGGATTACAGGCGTGAGCCACCGCGCCCAGCCCAGTAGAATAACTTTCTTTGCAGTTACAAAATCCTTCTTTATTTTACTGGTTTTTTAAGATTTCCTTGCCAAAATAGGGAACTTATGTAAAACAACAGTTAAGCCAGTTACTGTTTCTCCTGAACATTCTTTCATTGATAGAAAAATACCTACTACTTCAGAATAAGATGGCATGTGTGGATCTATTTTAAATTGTTATGTTTAAATCAATACTGAAATATTTCAGCAAATTTGCACCAGGATGAGGATGAATAAACAATTTTCATAATAGTTACTGTATAAGATATGTTCCAGTGACTCTTTACATGGGAAATAATATATTTTAAATTTTAAAAAATCCAGTATCTCTTCTTTATCTGGTGGGGGTTGCTTGGTGGAAGGAGAAACTGAGATGCTCCTTGAGGTAATCTGAATGTTCCCTGACTGTAGAGCACCTCCCTTGTGTTAGAACATGCCCTGTTTCTTGACACCTTTTCTTCTGTTGGTTTCCTACTGTCAGGTACATGTTATAAGGTCTAATAGGTTAGCTTTTTGAAGCAATATTTAAATACATATGCAGGTTTACTTTTCAGAAGTTTAACTCATAGGTTACATAACAGTTCTCTGGGGCTCAGTTTCTTATCTGTAAAAATATGTTGAGTCCTACCTCTCCAGGTAATTGTGAGGATTAAATGAAATACCAGTAAAGTAGAAGTGCTTAACTGCGTTTACCATTTATTTATTGGTACTTAGTAAATGTTTTTAAGAAATTGTAAGGCAACAAAAATTGTAATGGCCCCAAGGCGCAATGGACCTATTACATCCAAAACAAAGAGAAGCTCCTATCTAGAGTCATTTTCTTCTTTCTCTTTAGGGACAAGTATCTTTGTTTCTAGCGGGCTCTTCATTGCCTGAAACTGTGCATATATGGGAAGCAGGCACCAGCTTAGTTCATCTGTCACACATTTAGAGAAAGGTTTGCAAAGTCTTTTCTGATTCCCTCTGTTCTCTCTTCTGCCTTCTCCCCTCTACTTAAAAACAAAACAATAAACAAAAAAAAGGTGTTTTAATGAAGAATTGTATAACCAGTTTAAACTCCAGGCCTCTCACTCATGTATGTAGTAGTTGCAAAGTCAAGTAGCTACTTCAGCACCAGTTCTGTTTGGGGAAGAGCAAGTGAACAAAGATGCACTGTCTTTGTTTCCCAGCATTCTGGGTATGAATAATTTAGAAAAGTACTTGCATTGTGAGAAGCGACCCAGTGTGTATAAATAGCACTGAAGTTTGCTTATGCTTTATTCTACTTTTTCCCAAAAGAAAAATTGGGGAAGCAATGTAATAACTTTGGTTATATTTGTATAGGAAAAAGAGCCAGGAAACAGAGCATTTATCCTGAACGGTGCTTCACTTTTGACAGGTTGCTTGTGTTTTCATTTTAATCTTTGCTTGCTACCCAAAGAAATACTCCCTAAGGACCTCTTCCTGCTTGGTGCTTTCTGCTTCAATTTGACAAACAAGCAATTTGTATTCGTCTCTGCTCTCCTCCATAATTTTTGCAGAAGTTCACTGCTTTAGTAATCAAACCTGTACATAAAGGAAGCCTATGGAGGCACAGCGAAGTGTGATTAAGTAGTTACAGGCACACAGGCGGACCATCTCCGCTCCCCGTGGCTGTCTGCTTCATGGGGAGAAACCAACCAAGACTCCACATTTACTTTTTTGAATGACCCAAGAGAGACACTAATTGTATTCTCCTACCCACAGAAGTATTTTATTTTAAGTAGATACTGAGATTTTTTTCCCTCTTACTTTCCAACATTCCATTAATCTTTTCTCTTTAGGGGAGAAAAATATTTTGAGAGAGAGAAAAAACTACCATTGGAGTTCTTTTGTTCCGCTCTGACTTTTTGAGGCAGGTCCTGAGCTTGCAATGCTGCTTAAAACTTTCCACTTGAGGTCACAAGAGCCCCTGTGGTTAGTACCCGTTCCTTCTATGCATGAAGCCTCTGCGGGAAGTGCTGAGAAGTCTGCTGGGGTAACAGCTCCCTGGGGTTACCTAGTTCATGCTTCGTAGAGGCAGCTTAGCCACTTCAGAGGAAAACGGCTTTAAAAGAACATCCTCGGGTTGTGCTGGCTTGTGTGGTATATGCTTCTCCTTGGTGAAAATTCCTACTTAATACAGTTGTGGAAGAGAAGGTGATTGGAGGGTGGTAGGAGGCATGAGTAGAGGCTGATGGAAAGCCAAAAAATGGAAATCTGGTTCAGTGTTGGAAATCTGGTGCTGAGAATAGCGAGATGCCTGAGGGAAGGGGGTAAACATAGGAGTGTGTGAGGTTGAGGGCGGGGTTGGAGAAGGAATACTTTCTCCGTTTTTGTCCTGAAAGAATCGCAACTAATCATTTTAGCAAAGTGGTTTTAAATTATTGTAAGCATTTTAATCTTTTTAAAAAATTAATAAACTATTTTTAGAACAGTTTTAGGTTCCTAGCAAAATTGAGCAGGAAGTACAGAGAGTTCCCATATAGCCCCCTTCCCCCATGCATAACTTCCCTGACTATTGACATCAAGCATCACGGTGGTACGTTTGTTACAATCAGCCTACGCTAACACATCATTAATCATCCGCAAAGACCGTTGTTTACCTTAGGATTCACTCTTGGTATTGTACATTCTCTGGGTTTGAACAAATGTATAAATGACATGTATCCATCATTGTAGCATCACACAGAGCTGTTTCACTGCCCTAAAAAATCCTGTGTTCCACCTGTTTATCCCTCCCTTCCCCCAACCCCCAAACTACTGATCCTTTGACTGTCTCCATAGTTTTGCTTTTCCAGCTTGCATATGGTTGGAATCATATATCACAGATCCTTTTCAGATTGGCTTCTCTCACTTAGCAGTGTGCATCTAAGTTTCCACTGTGCTTTTTCATGGCTTGATAGCTTATTTCTGTTTTAACACTGAATAATATTCTATTGTCTGGATGTACCACAATTTATCCATTTACCTACTGAAGGACGCCTTGGTTGCTTCCAAGTTTTGGCAATGATGAATAAAGCTGTTATAAACACCCATGTGCAAATTAGCCAGGCGTGGTGGCGTGCGCCTATAACCCCAGCTACTTGGGAGGCTGAGGCAGGAGAATCGCTTGAACCCAGGAGGCAGAGGTTGCAGTGAGCCGAGATCACACCACTGCACTCTAGCCTGGGTGACAGAGGGAGACTCTGTCTCAAAAAAAAAAAAAAAAAAAAAAAAAAAGTGCAGGTTTTTATATGGACATAAGTTTTTAAGTTCATTTGGATAAGTAACAAGGTATGTGGTTGCTGAATGGTTATGGTAAGAGTATGTTTGGGTTTTGTAAGAAACTGCCAACCTGTCTACCAAAGTGGCTGTACCAGTTTGAATTCCCACTAGGAGTTAATATTGCTCCACATCCTTGCTAGCATATGGTGTTGTCACTGTTTGGGGTTTTGACCATTCTAATAGGTGTGTATTGTTTCTTGTTTTAATTTGCCTTTCCCCAGTGACATCTAATGTTGAACATCTTTTCGTATGCTTCCCTGGCAGCTCTTTCATGGTGTTTTTTTTTTTTTTTTTGAGACAGAGTCTGACTCTGTCACCTATGCTAGAGTGCAGAGGTGCGATCTCAGCTCACTGCAACTTTTGCCTTCCAGGCTCAAGTGGTTCTTGTGCTTCAGCCTTTCAAGTAGCTGGGATTACAGGCCTGCGCCACCACGCCCAGCTAATTTTTGTATTTTTAGTAGAGACAGGGTTTCACCATGTTGGCCAGGCTGGTCTTGAACTCCTAACCTCAAGTGATCTGCCTGCCATGGCTTCTCAAAGTGCTGAGATTACAGGTGTGAGCCACCTTGCCCAGCCCCATCTCTTTTTTGATGAGGTGTCTGTTCAGGTCTTTTGCCCATTTTTAAAATCAAGCTGTTAGTTTTCATACTGGTGAGTTTTAAAAATTCTTTGTATAATACATTCTGGACAACAGTCCTTTATCAGATGAATCTTTTGCAAATATTCTACCCCAATCTGTGGCTTGTCTTCTCATTCTTTTGACAGTGACTTCACAGAGCATAAGTTTTTAATTTTAATGACATCCCAATTTCAATTATTTATTTCATGGATATATAGTGTCTTTGGTGTTGCATCTAAAAAGTCATTGCCATACCCAAGGTCATCTAGGTTTTCTCCTGTGTTTTCTTCCAGGAGTTTGATAATTTTGCATTTTACATTTAGGTCTGTGGATACATTTTGAGTTAATTTTTGTTAAGGTGTAAAGTCTGCCTCCAACTTCATTTTTTTGGCATGGATGTCCAGTTGTTTCAGCACCATTTGTTGAAAAGACTCTCTTTGCTCTGTTGTATTGCACTTGCTCCTTTGTGAAAGATCAGTTGACTGTATTTATGTCAGCCTATTTCTGGACTGTCTGTTCCATTGATCTGCTTGTCTATTTTCCTAATACTACATTATCTTGATTGATGTTATGGTAAGTCTTATAGTTGTTCCACATTTCTGGAATATTCTGTGCCAGGTTTTTTTTCAGTCTTTTTTTCTTTTTTCAGGTTTCTGTTGACAAATTGTGAAGCTCAGAGATCCTTTCCTTAGCTGTGTTTAGCCTACTAATGAGCCCATTAGGGGCATTCTTCATTTGTGTAGTCTTTTTGATCTCTATTTTTTTCATTCTAGAATTTCCATGTCTCTGCCTACATTATCCATGTGTTCTTGCATGTTGTTTACTTTTTCCATTAAAGCCTGTAGCATATTAATCATAGTTTTAAAAATTCCTCTTCTGATAATTCCAACATTCCTGCTGTATCTGACTCTGGTTCTGATGCATATGCAGTTTCTTCCTACTGTTGCTTTTTCCTTTAGTGTGCCTTTTACCTTTTTGTTGAAAAGTGGACATGATATACTGGGTAAAAGGAACTGTGGTAAATAGACCTTTACCATAGATGGGGTGGTGAGGCCGGGGGGTGGCATTTTCTAGTCCTGTGATTAGGTCTTAGCCTCTGGTGAGCCTGTGCCCCTGGCCCGTGAACTTCACTAGTGCTTCCCAGTTTTTCTACTGTTAGGTGGAACTGGATGGCTAGAGAAGACTGGAGTTGGGTATTTTCCTTCCCCCAGGTTAGTCAGACTCTGGTTAGTTTCTTTTGAGGGCAGACTTTGTTTAGAACAGAGTGCTCTGGAGTATTTCGTAGTGATTCTTTTTCCCCTCCGCCTGCTGGAAGCATGAGGGGATTTTTCCCAATATTCGCTGAGAACCTGGTCAAGCTCCTGGAGGTAAAACCCACAGAAGTGTGGGGGTCCCCTTCGCCTGGGTCCACCTGGAGTGTTTTTGTTTGTTTGTTTTTCATCTCAGACTTGTCCACACTGAGCCTTCAGCGACTCATCAATTAAAGCTAAGGTTTTCCTACCAGAACACTGGTTCCTATGGAGTTTGTTGCTTCGTGGGTTTCTGCTCTGATAAGCTGTGATTCTCTGTATGCATCTGTAGGTTTCTGCAGTTTTAGGGGCAGCAGTTTACCATGTGACCTCACTTCTCTGATGGATCTAAGAAGAGTTTTGCTTTTTCAGTTTGTTCAGCTTTTTACTTGTTACGACAGAGTGATGACTTCTAAGCTTCTTACATACTTGGCTGGAAATTAAAAATTTAACATTTTTAATCAGATGAGAGAATGCCAGTTATAAAAGTTTTCTTGACCATTGAAGTAATAGTTAAACAGGTCAAAGTGTGACCTGCAGTAGGCCATCTCTGCCTTCCCTAGACCTTTGGAACAGTCCTACCTGAGAACAACGAGTGATGGACCTGGGGTCTTTGTCCTGCTCAGAGTTAACTAAATGAGTTTCTAGTATGTCTGAGGTAGACCAAGGTGATCACCACTTAGAAGGTACTTGCTTTACTTATAATTTGGTGGCAGTTCTCTTGTCCAGTTCTAAGACTTTGATATCCATAATATTTAAAATAATTTTAAGTACATGTTTTGCCTTGTGGAGAGTTTAGCAGTTTATTTTCATAGATTGAGATCTTTTTGCAACGTGATTCTCAATAACTATAGTGTGCTAAAATCAGTGGGCTTTCAAAGAAACTTTAGTGAATCAATATGTCTTTATATTTCTATTTAAATGGAACTCTTATTCCTAGTGGTTGTACTGCATTTTCATACGCTAGTGAATTCTGTTATCAGTCGGGCCCTTTGTGGAAGATGCCAAAACTCATCAGTGGAAGGACTGCTCATTTTTTCTACATGTCTCCAAATTAAGGAAGCATCCTGATGTTGACAGCATCCTCTGTGCCCTAGGTTTGGGTATTGCACAGTGTGTGTATGACAGGGTTGTGTTGTTTAATTCTCACAACAGCCCTGCGGGGCAGCTGTTGTAGAGTTGGGACCACAGGATTGTGAGCTGCAGCAGGGCTCCCCCAGGGCCTGTCTGGGCCCTTCTGTCTCACAGGGCCTCCCTGCTCTCAGCCATTTGGATGGACTCTAGTCAAGTTGTTTCCTGTGCCTGCTGTTCCAAATTGTTGGTAGGGCAGAAAGTTTCAGAAAAAAAATTCCACTTTCATTTACAGAGGAGCTGTACAAGGTACTTTAACACAGTTACTAGTTAAGTAATCTTACTTGACTAGGTGTGGTGTGAAATTAATCATGCTGTCTCACTGGAGCTTGCTTTTTCAGCTGTATATTTCCTGAAGTGACCAGCAGTAGCTTTCATCTCCTTTCCCTCCTCCCGTTGTGCTCATTGAGAAAAGAATGTGATTATTGTTTAATTAAATGACTTGACTTTTATGGGAGATTAAAGCAGGCAGGCTTTGATCTGTAACACCATTGCCAACACCTTTTTTGAGGATATGCTAACTACCAGCAGAAAGCTAAGATCCGCAGATTTTAATTAAAGACTTGAGACACAAAGCATGTAATTATTACGAGACATTTTCAGGGGACTGGCAAAGTTGTGACTGCATGCGAAGTGCAGGCCAAGAACAGAGCAGCATTAGAGCATCAGGCACCTAGGCAGGTGTAAGATCATGGCCCCGTCATTTGCACGTTCTGCCCCTTTTCTGCTTCAAAGGGTGCCATAAATTCCATATAACTGTATCTTGGGGAATGTGGAGTCCCTGTGAGAGCTAATCCCCATGTCCTGCCTTCCAGATCGGCGCCAATGGTGTGCCATAGCCATCCTCTTTGCAGTCCTGTTGGTTGTGCTCATCCTCTTCTTAGTGCTGTGACGGCGGGGCCTCTGGGTGCGAGTTCCTCCTGCATATGAACCGAGGGGAGGAGGAGAAGCTGAGCACGTGTGACATTGCCGTCTACTCACATTCCTATCCTGGAAACATACTGCTGCACTGACTTTTCTCCGTGTGACCCCACAATTGACATGGCTCCTCCATCCCAGCGCTGGAAGGGCCAGTGGGAAGAGGAAATAGATGTCTGCACTCCTGGCTGCAGCTGGACAACAGAAGCCCCATGCCGCCTGTCCAGTTCGGAGGAGAACTAGCTGCTGCCTTGCCTTCCGGGACCTCGTTTGCTGAGGAGGGACTTACAGACTCCACTGGTGTTTTGCTGTTGCTCATTCCATGCATCTTTGGCAGCTCTTTTCTTCTGCTCAGACCCTTCCCCGTGCTCAGACAGTGCACCGCTGTCCCATCTAAAGAAACCTGTCAGGAATACGAGCTTCTGGGTATGTTTCGTTTCCCATTGCTGTAGCATTTCTTATCCCCTGAGAGCTGATGATTATTGAGGACAGAAGGCTCAGAAACAGTTTGTGACAGAAAATGCAGTGTTTCATTTTTCAGGGATAAATGCTAAGATAAAATTGCTTTTCCAGGTCATTTTTTTTTGTGGTAAGAATAACTAATGGAAAATAATGAAACACCCTGGGGTTTGGGGGTGCTAACAACTTGTGGCTTTAACTGACAGGAGCAATTAAAAAGAGCAAGAGGGTTCTGCATTGGCATAGCTTAGGGAAGGGTTAATGATGTCGCCACAGGTCAGCTCCTGATCCTTGCCGACTTGATGTTGCTGTACCAGGGCTTCCTCCCCAGAGGTGCAGCTTGCGTTTTGAGGGTGATTGCTACATATGTTGTTGCTAAACAGCTCAGTAACACACTTGAATGAATTTGGATACCAGATTGTCCTCATTACAGTTCTTTTACTCTTAGGGCACTCTACACTGGGGGTTGGGGTTGGGAGTGGTTAGTACATTTATTACATTTATTAAGAAACGTAATGACATAAAAGGTTAGCTCTGGGCCAGACTTCTCTTACTCTGTGGGTAATGGCAAGGATGTGTAGGTAAACTTGGTTCTTTTTTTTCCCTAAGATGACAGCTTGATTTTATCATCTGCAGTCAAATAACTGAGCCAATCCAAATTTAAATGATAGATGCTTTAATTGAGTTTAAGTAGCTGAAACTGCTGAGACACTAAACTTTAACCTTCTGATGACTTTTTAAAATGCCTCAAATGTGCACATGTATATAGGATATTTTTATAACTTCCCTGATGAATAATCTGATATTAAAGTAGTATTTGGACCCAGAGCCAGAACTCGGTGGTGGAGGCTGCTGGTCTCTCCTCACCACCTTCTTTTGCACTTGGAAAGAACAGCAACATCTGGATAGAGTTCTAGCTTTGACTTCTCATTTCCTTGTCTTTTTGGGTGCATTCCTCAGCACACTTTTTTTTTAAACCTTTTTGTTTTGTTTTGTTTGTATTTCATGTGGTTTTATTTGGGGGTTTTGGTTTTTTCACCCTTTTTTGTGATTTGCAATGATGTGCTTGCCCAGCTAACTTTTGAATTGCACTTTTTAATAAATATTCTTAACAATTTTTGAAGAAGGATATTTTATCTCATTTGAGATCATGGTAGGTTAAGAAAATATGCCTGTTGATGAAAGCTAAAAGCAAATTTATGAAACTAAAAGGGTGATTGACATCCATGTTTACACTCCGCTCTAATGTTTGATATATAAATAAGTTATTTTCAAATTAGGAAAAAACAGTGAGTATTACAAAGGGCTTCAGATGTTTAGAGTACTAGGTTATTTATGTTTTACAAAGTTTGAATCTTCTATAAACTAAGAAAGGGGATGATCCTTAGATTTGCATTAAAATATAGAAGTCTTTTAAAGTAAATGTGAACCTTGTCTAAGTACTGTAATCCACACAACACATTATAAGAAGCAAACCAGCATCTTAAGGAATTATAAAATTACCCTATTTAAAAGCCATGCTATTGTTCTGCTATTACCAGATTTATTGTGCCACACAAAAGGATCATGTGTGTCAGCAGGGGCCGTTTGGAACAAACCTAGTCATTAATGAGTAAGATACTCCTGTTAGTTCAGGGACCAAGTTTTATGACCCAGAGGCTTAATGATGTTTGGATATATTTCAAATCGGCGTGCTTACCTCACTGATTTAAATTATTTTCTAAATAGTGGCCATTGTAGACCTGACTCAGGCTGAAGCTAAATAGAGAACAATTTAGAAAGTTAACTAACAATACAGTGCATTCTACCCGTAGGGCCACCATGCCCTTCTGCCCCTGGCTGATTTGATCCTGTGTCTGATCCCATTGCACCCTGACTGGGCAGTCCCTACAGAACCAGTGTTAATTTGAAGGGCCTCCACTCAGGCTCCAAATGTGGCAGCCAAAGAGAACAATCCAGGGAACCTACATTTATTTTTAAGGACAAATATTTCCTCCTCAGTGGTCCTAATGTTCAGGGCTTTAGAGGGAACCCAGGTGGTCTCTTCACCCTGTGTCCTAGAATGGGAGAGTAAGTAGACAGTGGTGATAACCCCACACTGCTTATAAGTGCATCTTTATAGTATTTGGGGCTTTCCTACCCCTTTAGCCTTCTGTACCTAGTACCATATTCCAGTTTTAAAGAACTGGCAGAATGTGATGGATAACAGAGGAAGAGCTCAATTTATGTTTATTGGAAGAACATTTTACTTAAATGATTTGAGGGGTGGGAGGGAGTGAACTACTGAGTTTGCCAGAGTGAAAATCCATCTGAAAAACTCAGCTACCTTTAGTTTTTAGTCCTCATTTTTGGTCTTGTCTCTGCGGACTGTGAAGAATCACAATGCTCTATATGCCCTGGACTGTGTGGCAAATGCAGGTTGCAGCGTGTGTGTTACATGAGGATCTTCCACAATTTCAGAATGCACGCCAGAGCTGAAGGGGGAAACTTGGTAACTTGCCCATTATTCTCTGCTTTTAGCCAGAGTTAAACAGACTGATGGGTCTGGTAGCCAACAACTTGGCAACTTCCACTCCTTCTCACCTCGTGAGATTAAGGGCTGTGAAAAGAAATCTAGTCTAACTCCAACAGAAATCTGTCTCTGTTAAGTGTTTTACCTTCTGTAAGTAGAGATGGTAGAGCCAAGATTTTTCTTTTGGTAATTTCCCTGTCTATAAAGTGAGACCAAAGGGATATCTGTTCCCTGTTACCTTTTTGGAGAATTCATAACATTTGAAGATCAAAAAATTGAATGATAAATATGAATGGCTTTTCAATTCTGTGGACTTTGTACCATTTGGCTTCACCTTGTACTGCAAGATGAATTTGTAAACAAAACAAAATTGGACTGTCTGGAAAGCTAAAGTTCTGAAATATGGAATGTACTGCCTCTAATTTTTCTTTGTCTTCCTCTCACTGGCATTTTTTTCTCTCCCAGGTTTCTTAAGAATAATGTTTTTTAAAGGAGGCTTTTTGCCCATCAAGAATAAAAAGAAATAAAACCAAAGGGTTACCGGACTTAAGCCCCCGCAGTCACTGTGCGCCATCCCTGAGCAAAGTCCGCCCCTGAGGACAGTGCCCCTGCCCCAGTGACAGGCCTTACTCCTCCCAGGGCCTTTGCTTCTAATAGGGGGTGGTCTTTCTTTTCTTTCTCTCCTTTTTTTTTTTTTGATTAAAAAATAAAACCAAACCAGAATTTGCTGAAAGCAGGTACCTTTCAGTAGCTCCGATCAGAGTAACTCAGCTTAGAGATACTGTTACTCAGGACAACAGTATGTACAAAAGTCTCCGGAAAAGGAAAATAAAACAACCTGAAAAGAATTCAACTTGAAAAGGACTGAATTACTAGAATGATCATATAGCAGAATAACACAAAATGCAACAAAGAGCCACCCAAGCCTGAGGGTAAGACCTCTACTTCCCAGATTCTTGGATCATAGCCCATGACTTCTTGGGGCACAGAGGCTGGCTTCAGCATGAGGATCTCACCACTAACTGCATGTAACTCATCCATGCCTTGGGCAGAGGCTAAACACACGGAACAAGGCCACCAGACAGGTACACATGAACCCATGAGAGCGGTGCTCTCTGTAGAGTCTATAGACCTGGCAGGGACCATGGATAGCTTAGAGGTACTTACTCTGCAGCTGGTCACATAAGACCCTAGACTGGCCAGGCGCGGTGTCTCACACCTGTAATCCCAGCACTTTGGGAGGCCGAGGCGGGCAGATCACGAGGTCAGGAGATCGAGACCATCCTGGCTAACACGGTGAACCCCATCTCTACTAAAAATACAAAAAATTAGCTGGGCGTGGTGGCGGGTGCCTGTAGTCCCAGCTACTCGGGAGGCTGAGGCAGGAGAATGGCGTGAACCTGGGAGGCAGAGCTTGCAGTGAGCCAAGATCGCGCCACTGCACTCCAGCCTGGGCGACAGAGCCAGACTCCGTCTCAAAAAAAAAAAAAGACCCTAGACTGACCTAAGCCCTACAGTTCCCTTATCCAAATTCCCACTAACCAGTGAGAGAGAGGGACAAGACTTGGAAGCTGCCTCCAAACCAATTTTTGGTCTACAGTAAACAAGGATAAACATAAAACACCATTCCACAGGCCAGCTTCAAAAGAACTAGTGTGCAAAGAAGGTGAGAGATCCCAAAGCCCCATTTAGTAACCCCCACCGAAGGAGGGGGATGGGTGTGGGTGGTGAGATGGCCTGTTCTGCTGCTGTGGGCACCCCTGTGACCTGTCCTGCTCTGCCATCCGGCCTTAATTCGTACAGTTACCCCCGCTTCCTAGATGTGCACTCTCATGGCCCAGAGCTCTCACCTTTCTGAGCCTGAGCCTCCCGGCCTCCAGCGTACACAGAGTGGAAATGCCAGATCCTAAGGGTTCTCTGAGGAGGGTGAGGTGGCAGTTTTTCTGAGAACCTGGGGTCCTTCCATGCCACAACAGTTGTAGGTGGGGCAGGCCAAAGAGGATGCTGAGTTACTGGAGGCAGAGAGCAGTCGGTCAAAGAGCAGGGAGGAGAATACAGCTGGGAAAATGATGAGAAGTTTCCATTGCATGGACTCAGCAAGCAATTTCTGGGGTCACCTCAGTTATGAGGCGTGAACAGCAAAGCTTTAAAACTGATGTGAGAACAGTGTGTCTCCCTTTTTCCAAATTCCCCAGAGGAACACTACTCCCTGCTCTGGAACTTCACATCAAAGAAACAATACACCTGATGGGAAGAAGTCTTTTCAGGACCCCAGAAGTGCCCATTGGAGGCCCATCAGAAAAGTCTGGCTGCTTCTCGTTTGTGGGTCCGCACATTTTGGGCAAGATGGCTAGAGGGCTGGAGGTTTCCCAAGGCCTCTAGATGCAGTTGTGCAAAATCAATCCTCCACAAATCACTGGCCCTTGGTAGTATGCTCGTTCCACCACCCACTGGAAGTGAGGAAGATCTTTTTGCTGTCAGAGAGGGCTGTCCTTCACTAACACCATAAATCTGCTCCCTGGCTGCTGGAGTGCACAGGCCAAGGGGGTCTTGAAGATCCTCGTGTCAAACTTGAGTGTCAGGCTTGCAGTTGGTTTCACCGTAGATAACCCTTGTTGCCCTACAGCTTGGGTAACTGTTATTGTGTCTTGACCTTTTGCTCTTCCTCTTCCTTGTCTGAACTGCGTTCCCTTCTTAGATAAAGGACAACTTTTATGTTTATTTTCTTCGTCCACTGTCATGTCACCCACTTGCACAGGAGTCCCACCTTATCTGCGGTTTCACTTTCTGAGGTTTCAGAAATGGGTTGCACTGGAAAGCACTGTGCCTATACAAAGATTTCAGCAAGGGAGTTCCTATGTATATAAGGGAAGAAACAGTTTATCTAGTCAGTACAATCTGTGGTTTCAAGCATCCACTGTGGGTCTTGGAATGTATCCCTGCAAAAAGGCGGTGGGGCAGGGGGCACTTCTGTATACTTCAAAACGTGCACGATGAAAACATAGTGTTATCTGTCAATCTGAAAACAAAATCGCCATGACTTCTGGGCACTGTAGTCCTACCTGTGGACTGGCTGCCTGACTGTGGAGCGTCCTTGTATTGGACACTGAGGGACTAAGATGGCGACTTCTCATTTGGCAGCCTGTGGCAGCTGAGTTTGAATTTGGTGGTGGCCGTCGCATGTTAGGGTAGCCATAGAGCTGCTCGCTGTCAGCCGGAGCAGCAAGCACAGTTTCACTTGACCCATTTTACACCTGTTGTCTCCACCCAAGCACCATGGCTCCAGTTAGGAAGGGCAACCGTTGGGTGGCCAAGAACAACTTGTTACGGAGCCAGAAGCTGACCTCCTTTCTTAAGGATTTCAGCTGTGAAGTGCAAATACTATGGAAGCCAATTCAGTCAGGCAGAACCTCTCCCAGAAGATTGATAAGATGCATGACCAGGCCACTCAGCGGCTTCCTGAGGCACAGTGTGACATGAACTGGTAATGCACAGACTGTGCATTCGTAGCTGTTTCGTGAGTAATATGCAGAGTGTGTGTCTTGGGTATTTTAAAGTACGTGAGAGGGTTGTTTCAGCAGCTGATGGGATGCCAAATGTTTGACTTTTTATTATTCCAGCCCTTCAGATTTCCCCAGAATTGTCACCTTGTAGAGCGTGTGTCTTCCCAGTGTGTTCCAGGAATTCTCTATACCACTGTCGTGTTGCTCAGAAAACAATAGAGCTCTCAGTCAGTTCAGGTAACCTTAGAATCTGCGCTGATGCCTCAGAAAGGAAGAAAGGCCAGGACGGCCTCGGGGGTGGCACTCTTATTTCTCCCTTGGTTTCACTTCCTTTTCCATTTTTTGTGGCTTCCCACTTCATCCCGCAGCCTCCTCTCATAGGCTGTCCCCCCTTACCCCCACTCCATTCTTCCCACTCTCTAGCCCATTTGTGTCCTCAGAGGTCTGGCTGCTGCCACTGCACCTGCCTCAGACCCAGTGTCACCTCGCCAGGGCTTCAGCCAGCCTGGCCTTCCAGCTGCCACCCAGCAGCGCAGCAACTCAGAACCTTCTGGCCCAGACCTTCATACCCAACTCCCGCCCAGGGCAAATACAGAAGCCTCTGCTGGTGCAGCCAACACGGAGTGGGGAAAAAGGGGAGAGGAAAAGCAGCAGCTTCCTGTGCTTCCCAGCTCAGGGCATTGGTAAGAGTGGATGGAATTTGGCATTCTGCTTCTACCATTTTGAATGAATTGGCCTATTCTTTTATACCATCACCCCTCCCTTCCAAATCATTCATTCTGGTGTGCAGCCCATTTCTGTCTATTTTCTAATGAAATGACCAGAGCCACCATGTAAGCTTGTGCCCTGCACAAGGATAGATACCCCACTGGGGAACAAACGGGACCAAAATCCACTCTGTGTTCTGCTGGCCAAGCCGGGTGACCTGGCCTGGGCTGGCGTCCTCCCAGAAGAAGGGTTCATTTTTCCAGTTTGCACACATGTGCTATTTGTGGGTTAGCTGAGGCCCTGCTCATGTCTTCGGTTGGTTCACAAATCAGAAACAGAACAAATGGCCAGAGATTAGTGTTGTAATCAAACTAGATTTACAACCAAGGCACGCTGAGTGGCATTATGGGTTTTATCCTGCGGCATGGCAAGCCGCTCATGCACAGGCTGTGCTCAGTGTCCTTTTTCCTCAGCCATGCCAGCCATGGGGAAGCAGGAGGGGAGCTTGTTGGAGAAGGCGGCCTCAGTGAGAGCCTTGGTGCATTCCCCTGAAGCCACAGTTGGGGGCTTCTCCTTCAGCAGGGGTCCCCATAGTCTGAGTGTTTTCAGAAATCTTAGGTCCAAGGGACCCCCAATTTTTTTTTGTTTGTTTTTTTGTTTTTGAGGTTGAGTCTCACTCTGTCGCCCAGGCTGGAGTGCAATGGTGCGATCTCGGCTCACTGCAACCTCTGCCTCCCGGGCTCAAGTGATACTTGTGCTTCAGCCTTCTCCCTAGTAGCTGGGACTACAGGTGCATGCCACCAAGCCCGGCTAATTTTTGTATTTTTAGTAGAGACGAGGTTTTACCATGTTGGCCAGGCTGTTCTCAAACTCCTGACCTCAAGTGATCCACCCACCTCAGCCTCCCAAAGTGCTAGGATTATGGGTGTGAGCCACCGTGCCCAGCTGATGGGACCCCAAATCTTATGTCCAGGCCCCAGGGTCTGAATTCATATTTAACTACTGAAAGGCATCAGCATCTCCTCTCTGGTTGAACTTGACCTTCTTACTGAGAACCAGCCAGGCAGGCATCAGAAGCCTCAGGCTACAGAGGAGAAGCTGGTGGGCAAATAGATCAGGAGCAAGTGCTTTCACCATCATGGATGAAAGTTGAAGGCCAAGAACACTTCCTTGTCCTGTGGTGCAGGGGTTGGGATGGAGGGGTGAGTCTTATAAATGGAAGAGAACTAAGTATTGTGATTTCAAGGAAGAACATCTGTCCCCTGCCCCCAAATACCCCCAAACCCGCCAAAATTCTACAGATTCATTTGGCTTAACTCCTCTCACAGAGGTAAGCTAAGGTAGTCAGTCTCGCTGTGGTTGCAGTGAATTTGTTTAATGATCTTGGTTTCCTAACTGCTAGATAATCCACTGGAGCCAAAGGAGTTTTGGTGGATTGAGGGAACCTACAGAGGTTGGGTAGGGGTGTGTTAGGAGTTGAATTGTTTCCCCCAAAAAATTCATGTTGAAGTTGTAACCCCCAGTACCTCAGAATGTGGCATTCTTTGGAAATAGGGTTGTTGATTTAATTTGGGAAGGTGAGGTCATCCTGCAGTAGTAAGGTGGGCCCCTAATCCAGTATGACTGATGGCCTCATGAAAAGGGAACAGAGCCCTACAGTTTACACAGTGCTTTTATGCACGTTTTTCCTATCCATTTCTGTGGGGTAGGCATTATCATACCTGTTGATTTTACTCTAGTTTATTGCTTTTTTGGCCTACCATCTGTTAGCCTCACTTTTTCTAACAACAGGAACCCCTTCTGCCAAACACACAACATATTTTGGAAAGTTACCCTACCCCATTCCAACATGTGCTTGTGTTGAGAGGTACCAGTCTTAATCCTCCTGCCCAGCCCTAGCCTAAAAAAGTGTGTGTGCTGGTTAGGCTCTCCCCATCAGCCCCCAGCTAATCTCTTCTCTGCCCTTCCATGCCCCAGGAGGCTATACGCATCAGATTGCACTTCCAGAGCCCCCGGCCTCTGGTTGGGCTTGGCCACTGCGATGAGCATCCTCAAAAAAGACCAGAGAGCTGGAGGAGAGAGAGGCTGGGGCTTCATTCCCCAACCCACCTCACTGCAGTCCCGCCAGGGGCCACGGTCACAGCTCTCACAAGGAGCATCCTCTGCCAGGGTAGCAGCTCTTGCCGGACTATGATAACAATATTCTCTTTTACCCTTCAGCTCTGGTGGAGGTAATAGCTTCCCTCTGTCACACGTCTCTGGACACTTCACCATCCCGTACTGGTTTCCTCAGTTCTGATTATTCCCTTACAGATGCTGTCTGTTGAATTCATTTAAACCATATTGAGTTGTACCATTTAGTTCTTGCCAGGACTGTTAGCTATGGCTTGTCTTAGAGGCTTATCCTGATGGTCACGGTGATTAGGCCCAGAGGTACCACATGATCCAACGCACGTCAGAGTCCTCCCGTGACTTCCTTTTCCTTTTAGTAACCAGAGCTGGGAGAGAGACACCCATTCTTACGGAGTGGTGAAGCGATGGAGGATATGAGCTTTGTGCTGGCAGCCACATCCCTACCTCTTGGATAAAATCATTCACATCTTGGTTTTGATCTCTCGGGTCCCCACACTGCCCTGATTCCCACCTTTAAAATAGCATCCCACTTTGTGCTTGAGCCGGTTTACATAGGTTTCTGTTACCTGCAACCATTAAGAGATAGTTTTTCAGCTAGTGAACAGGAGAGTCGAAGCTCAGACTCCAGGCATCTGCCTCCAAAGCCTGTACTTTTAGCAGATGCTCCATATTCATAACTGTGGCCAGACACCTCCCCTGCTGTTGGCCACAGCTGAGAAAATCCCTCCTACTCCTGTGAGGAAAGGCACGTGTGTCTGGGTATTTCCCGTAGCATGATACAGGGGTAATTCATTTTGAATAATAAGATCATACATGAAAAGTTCTGTATTAACTGAAAGTTGACCAATTGAATCATATCTTTAAGGTATAAGAAGAGCTCTTTGCTGGAAGGAATCTTGTCATTAGTCCTTTAGTAAAGCAGAGACCCTCTGTTTGTCCTGTTAAATCCAGATTTTCACTCCTACTGGTGGTGTGTGAGCCCTTTGTTAACTAAACAATTTGTAAGAATTGCTCCACCTCCCAAAGAATTTCCCAGCTTATTGATGGAATGGAAGAATTTGCCTCAATGGATCCCCAAAAACAAGGTGCCCTTGGAGGTACTCCACTCTGTCAAGACAAGGGGAACCGCCAAATCTTGTCAAGATGCCGCTCAGAAGTAACCAGAGGGCTCAAAAGTTCGCAGGGGGCTCTAGCCATGAGATCACTACAGGCCAACTAAAGAGATGGCTTCAGGATAGGGTGAATGTAACCTAGATTAGAGGATTTATGAAACAATTGTTCAGGCAATGCAGGAACAAGGCCTCCTCTCTTTACCTGTTCTTTGTTGGGTGTCTTTCCCATATTCCAGGAATCTCTTTAGCTAGGCAATACATTCTTCTTCCAGCCAGTTCTTTTGATATTGCAACTCATGCTGATTGGCCTCCCGTGCCCTCTTGATGGTGTGAGCCACATTATCTACAGCCAGTCAGGAGAGGGTGTCTTTATTGAAGATCAGGAAATTCTGCCCATCATATGCATACTGCAGAAATCCTGTAGTGCTTCCATCCTCCAGCAGCTCACAGCCAATCATTCTCTGGTAAGTGTGAGACCCTGGAACACACACGCAAGCCCAGAGGGGTCCACACAGAGACAGAGGTGGGCTCTCAAGTGCTGGGAGCAGGGGCATGGCTGGAAGCATCCTTTGGTCTACGTCACCCCACAGGCCTGCTGTGGCATCGCTAAGTCCCCAGGAGGTCCCTCTTTGGAAGCCCACCTGACAGCAGGGTTGTTTTTTAAATTTTTTTTGGTTCATATAGCTTTAGGGATACAAGTAGTTTTTGATTGCATGGATGAATCGTGTAGTGGTGAACTCTGGGCTTTTGGTGTATCTGTCACCCAAATCGTGTATGTTGTACTCAGTAGGTGGTTTTTTTCACCTCACCCACCTTCCACCTTTCCCCTTCCTGAGTCGCCAGTGTCCATTATACCACTCTGACAACAGGTATTTGTGAAGTACCTACTGCATGCCAAAGGAGTGTGATAATTCCCTTCTTGGGGAGTTATCCTGTAATGGGAATGATTGATTGATAAACTGTGGCTATTTGAGTGCAGTGGAGGAGGGAGAGAGATGCAGGAGCTAGAAATATCCCTGGGAAAGTTAATGTCATTATGCATAAGCAAGCAGGTCACTAGGCCTGGCTACCAAGAAGTGAGACACAGAATGGGCAAATTTAGAATGGGAAAGGAGATGGGGATATGGGGAAGGGGGATGCGGCAGAGGATAAAGGGCTCCTGGGGGAGAGAGGGACAGTCCAGAAGATGCACAGGCAGATGGGACACTCTGAACTACACCAACCAGATTTCCCAGGTTTTGCCAAAAGCCACAGCAGGTGCAAGTCAGCATTGCTCATTGGAGGTCAGCCCAGGGGCCTCTGTGGGGTGAGGGAAGCGTCTGTCTCTGCTGCATGCACACCTGAGTGATTGTAGTGTCTCTGCTGGCGCTTCAGTTCCACCCTGAACATCTGCTGCCAGCCCTTCAGCAGCTGAGTGTACCTCTCCCAGTGATCAGGCACGAGGTTCTCTGCCATCCATGGGGCCCGTGGCTCCTTCTGCTGAGTGACACTGTCATATGTGGTGATAGGGTGCGAGTCCACATACCCAACTGAAATAAATTCAGGGACCCCATGGATGGGATCCGAAACGCCCAGGCGAAAATATCTCAGAGAGTGCGTCCCTGGAAAGGAGGCAAAGAAGGAAGACATGTAGGGTCCCAGATGATCCAGGTCCTTCAACTGCATTCATTTAGCCCCACACGAGTGCTCCCTGCTCAGCTGTACCCAGGCCTCCAGGCCCCAGCTGCCATTTCCTCTTACAGAACCCAGGAACCGGGGCCTGGACAGGACTTTAGAGCTCCAGACCAACGACTTGGAGCCTTTCTCGTTCAGGTTTGCAAATGCAGGATGGAATTTTATAGGTAATCTCAACTCATAAGCAAAGTACAGTGCAAGCTTGTCCAACCCACGGCCCAGGACGTCTTCGAATGCGGCCAACGCAAAATTTGTAAACGTTCTTAAAACATGAGGGTTTTTTTTTTTGTGATTTTTTTTTTAAGCTCATCAGCTATTGTTAGTGTATTTTATGTGTGGCCCATGACAGTTCTTCCAATGTGGCCCAGGAAAGCCAGAAGATTGGACACCCCTGGTAGAGAGTGCTGCTCTGGTTGTAGGGGGAAGGGAGAAGACACAGGGGGAGCTGTCCCTACGGGAGCCCTTGGGAACTCTGAGGTCTTGAAAACCCTGATAATCCAGCCCTCTTGTTTTACCAAAGAAGTCTGTGGGTGGATAAATGAGGACCCCCCACTCCACTTCTGTGTGCACGTGTGAGCACGCACACATAAGCACATGCGCATATACACCAGGTCGGTCAGAGCGAGATCCCTGTTAGGATTCAGGCCTAAGTGGGCAGGTAGCATCTATAGTGTGGAGATGTTGGACAAAGGATGATTCATGTTCTGAGTGGGACCATGTGAGATTTCTTCATGCTACCAAGAACAGTGAGCAATTTAAAACTTATGAATTGTGTATTTCTGGAATTTTCCATTTAAATTTTTGGAACCAGTAGCTGAAACCGTGGAAAGTGACAGCAAGGATAAGGGGCTACTACTGTCCATAAATTGTGGAATGGTTAGATCTAGCTTCCTAACAACTGCATAACCTCACATCATTCGCATAGAGATGATTTTTTTTTTTTTTTTTGAGATGGAGTCTCTCTCTGTCACCCAGACTGGAGTGCAGTGGTACGATCTCAACTCACTGCAACCTCCACCTCCTGGGTTCAAGCAATTCTCATGCCTCAACCTTCCAAGTAGCTGGAACTACAGGCTTGCCCCCCAACACCTGGCTAATTTTTGTATTTTTAGTAGAGACGGGGTTTCACCATGTTGGCCAGGCTGGTCTGGAGCTCCTGGCCTCAAGTGATCCACCCATCTCAGCCCCCCAGAGTGCTGGGATTACAGGCGTGAACCACAGTGACCATCCAGGATGGTCTTCCTTTAATGTCCAACTGCCTGCACCCAACTCCCAGCCTTAAAAAAAAATATGCTTATACTTAAAATAGTGAGGTCTTATTCTTGTGGGGCTCACATTGGTCTGCTGTATGTAAACAGGATGCCATTCTCACCTGTTTATTTGGCAATTAATTAAGGGCTCACGGGGAAACTGTGCTCTCTGGTGTTGAATCCAGAACAGTAAGAGAGTTTTGAGTAGAGGAGAATGATCCCTCAGCCCTGAACAGCATTGCTATGAATCTCATGACGGAAGCCCATGCTTGGTAACCCAGGGTGGAGGTGAAACTCCAAAACAGCTGACTTCTGTAGTTATCATCTTTAAGGGCAGACTCAGAGGGACTTGGGATCATTTAGCTCAGACCCTTATTAACCATGAAAACAATTACAGCTCACCCCAACATACATGGTAGCCATTTGGTGCAATGCATTTTGGACTTGGCCATTAGGAACTGCACCTTCTCTGGGACGACCCTAAGGTACTTACCTGGGGGCAGACTGATGCTAACTTGTCATGCGTCCTCCTCACCACTGGCGACTTGAAGTGTTTTGCCTTTTGCAAACACTGAAGCTCTGAAAGTTATAGTGGCACCTTGGTCAGGTTGTTGCAATCTAGATAAATTTGGGAGTTCTTTATTATATTAAAGTCTCTTTATTAATACAGATTGAGGGGAAGGGGAAGAGGAAGAAAGAAGCAGCTTGGTTTTTCTCTGCCATAAACAAACATGTTGGTGCTGTTTTCCTTCAGACATGCCCTTTGTGCAGAGCTGCCCTTCCCTGGGGCTGTGTGGGCGTTAACTGTGCTTAGACAGCGATTGTTCCAGCTGCCTGCCCTACTGCTTGGGTTTCACATGAACATTTCATGCAGTGCACCTGGTTTGCCAACTGCAGCCAGACTTTGTGCGAAATTGTATTTTACCACTTTTTAAAAGGTTATGAGCTGTCAAACCTGGAGGCCACTTGGTTATTCAGGGGTATGTTTGGACTAAGACCACCCGGGTTTGTTCTTTGCTGACCAAGGCCCTGTTCCCTGGCGTTCGTGGCAACCCAGCACTCCGCTCCAGCCAAGCTTTCTGTCAGCCCTGGGGTGGGACCAAGTTCAGGGTTTTTTCCTGCTCTGCAGAAAGCAGATTTTAGCTGAGATTGTCCTACTGAAAGACAACTGTGACCCTGCAGTTAAAGATGTCTTCATCTTTAGGAAAGTAGAGTATCTTTGCCCTCTCATCTGTGTGGGGCGAGGAGAGGACAGCCAGGTGTCCTGCTAATACGTTTTTGGAATTGCTTTTAGACTCCATGTGATTACTTCCTAACTGACACAGGCTGGGCTCAGCTCTCAACAAACAGACTTCAGAGAATGCTGGGGGTGAGGGGTGACCTAGAAGCCATCTAGGAAAGGGCCAGAGAAAACAAGCTGAAACCGATTATGGGTTCTGTTTCTCTAGCTGGAACTATCCTCTCATGGGCTCATTCGTAATCAGAAATTAGTGTAATTCAAAGACAGAATGTGTAATATGTGACAAAAGTCAGCAGGAATAAACCATTATGTTTTTTTCAAGGATAAATAACCTTATGGTGTTTTCATGTTAAATAACTAGAAGATACAAACCAAAGAAGTGGGATCAAGAATTAGAATTACAAATCCCTGGGTGGTTTCCAGATGGTGCCTGACTCCTCTACATAAAGAGAGGAGGGCCAGAACCCTAGTGCCATGGTTTACACTCCTCAGAAACAGGTAAATTTTTGTTTCCTCTGTATGGTGGGTCTCCAGGTGTGGTGTGGGACCAGCAGTCGCATCTCTGCATGGAGAACTTGCTGGAAATGCAAGGCAAGGCCAGCAGTGTGTTTCACCACGCCCTCCCGGGGGTTCTGTTTCATGTTCTAGTTTGAGAACCACTGCTACGTGGACTTTAGGTTACAGTAAAACAACAACCCCTACAAAATGAAACATTATCCATGGCTTTGATTGTCATCATAATGTGAAATAAAATATGATGACACTATAAACTTAGAACCCTAATCCCCCCAAAATACTGTGTAAAACAAAAAACTAGCCATCCTTAAAAGTAATATTTTTACACCATGAAGTCTCAGTTACTCTTGAGATATTGCAACTATATAAAGAATATTGTTCAACGTTAGAGAAGTGCAGATGCCATGAGCCTTGGCCTGGGTGTTTTTTTGTTTGTTAGGTTGTTTCTTAGTTTTGTTTTTAGTTCTTTTCATACCTAAGCACAGCTCCGTTCTTCTCCTCTCACCCCCTCTGATAAAAGACATGTGCATCTGCCTGGGGTAGGAAAAGTTTGTAACTGCTGGAAGATCTGAATTATAAATTGTGCTTTCTCTGGCAGAGCAAGTTATATGAATTCTTAAACCCCCGAGTAGCCTGATATGGTTTGGCTGTGTCCACATTCAAATCTCAACTTGAATTGTATCTCCTAGAATTTGCACATGTTGTGGGAGGGTCCCAGGGGGAGGTAATTGAATCATGGGGGCTGGTCTTTCCCATGTTATTCTCGTGGTAGTGAATAAATCTCATGAGATCTGATGGGTTTTATCAGATTTCCACTTTTGCTTCCTCCTCATTTCTCTCTTGCTGCTGCCATGTAAGAAGTGCCTTTCACCCTCCGCCATGATCCTCCCCAGCCATGTGGAACTGTAAGTCCAACTAAACCTCTTTTTCTTCCCAGTCTTGGGTATGTCTTTGTCAGCAGTGTAAAAACGGACTAATATAGTAAATTGGTACCAGTAGAGTGGGGCATTGCTGAAAAGAAACCCGAAAATGTGGAAGCGACTTTGGAACTGGGTAACAGGCAGAGGTTGGAACAGTTAAGAGGGCTCAAGAAAACAGGAAAATGTGGGAAAGTTTGGAACTTCCTAGAGACTTGTGGAATGGCTTTGACCAAAAGCCTGATAGCGATATGGACAATAAGGTCCAGGCTGAGGTGGTCTCAGATGGAGATGAAGAACTTGTTGGGAACTGGTGCAAAGGTGACTCTTCTTATGTTCTAGCAAAGAGATTGGCTGCATTTGCCCTTGTCCTAGAGATTTGTGGAGCTTTGAACTTGTGAGAGATGATTTCAGGTATCTGGCAGAAGAAATTTCTAAGCCGCAAAGCATTCAAAATGTGACTTAGGTTCTGTTAAAAGCATTCCATTTAAAAAGGGAAACAGAGCATAAAAGTTCAGAAAATTTGCAGCTTAATGATACAGTAGAAAAGAAAACCCCATTTTCTGGGGAGAAATTCAAGCTGGCTGCAGAAATTTGCCTAAGTAGCAAAGAGCCTAATGTTAATCTCCAAGACCGTGGGGAAAGTGTCTCCAGGCCATGTCAGAGACCTTCACAGCAGCCCCTCCCATCACAGGCCCGGAGGCCCAGGAGGAAAAAGTGGTTTCGTGGGCCAGGCCTGGGGTCCCCGTGCTGTGTGCAGCCTAGGGACTTGGGGCCCTGTGTCCCAGCCACTCTAGCCATGACTGAAAGGGGCCAATGTACAGCTTGGGCTGTGGCTTCAGAGGGTGGAAGCCCCAAGCCTTGGCAGCGTCCATGTGGTGTTGAGCCTGCAGGTGCACAGAAGTCAAGAATTGAGGTTTGGGAACCTCCACCTAGATTTCAGAAGATGTATGGAAACGCCTGGATGCCCAGGCAGAAGATTGTTGCAGGGGCAGGGCCCTCATGGAGAACATCTGCTACAGTAGTGCAGAAGGGAAATGTGGGGTTGGATCCCCCACACAGAGTCCCTACTGGGGCACTGCCTAGTGGAGTTGTGAGAAGAGGGCCACCATCCTCCAGACCCCAGAATGGTAGATCCACTTACAGTTTGCACCATGCACCTGGAAAAGTCACAGACACTCAATGCCAGCCCGTGAAAGTGACACGGGTGGCTGTACCCTGCAAAGCCACAGGGGCAGAGCTGCCCAAGACCATGAGAACCCACCTCTTGCTGTCAGTGTGAATTGGATGTGAGACATGGAGTCAAAGGAGACTATTTTGGAGCTTTAAAGTGTGACTGCACCGCTAGATTTCAGACTTGCATGGGGCCTTGTAGCCCCTTTGTTTTGGCCAATTTCTTCCATTTGGAATGGCTGTATTTACCCAATACCTGTATCCCCATTGTATCTAGGAAATAACTAGCTTGGTTTTGATTTTACAGGCTCGATTGATGGAAGGGACTTTTCCTTGTCTCAGATGAGACTTTGAACTGTGGACTTTCGGATTAATGCTGAAATGAGTTAAGACTTTGGGGGGACTGTTGGGAAGGCATGATTGGTTTTGAAATGTGAGGACATGAGATTTGGAAGGCACAGGGGTGGAATTATATGGTTTGGCTGTGTCCCCATTCAACTCTTAACTTGAATTATATCTCCCAGAATTCCTATGTGTTGTGAGGGACCCAGGGGGAGGTAAATGAATCATGGAGGCCAGTCTTTCCAGTGCTATTCTTGTGATAGTGAAAAAGTCTCACGAGATCTGATGGGTTTATCAGGGGTTTCCACTTTTGCTTCCTCCTCATTTCTCTCTTGCTGCTGCCATGTAAGAAGTGCCTTTCACACTCCACCATGATCCTCCCCATCTATGTGGAACTATAAGTCAAGTTAAAGCTCCTTTTCTTCCCAGTCTCAGGTATATCTTTATTGGCAGCATAAAAATGGACCAATACATAACCATACTGTGTATGCAAAATATTACACAGCACAGAGTTTCAACTGAGACAATGAGCTTGGGAGAACAGACAGACCAGAACAGAAAGGAATTGAGTCCTTCATTCCCCTGCTCACTGAAGTGCTGGCAAACAAGACTATTGTCCAAGCAAATTGGTAGTTGAGAGAGCCTGCCCTAAATTCTATGTGGGATGAGGTGATGAGGCTACGTAAGGCCCTTAAGGGCAGAGAGATCTTGATCATTCCATTTGCCATCATCATCCTCACTGATATTAATTTCTATGTGCCAGGCACTGTTCTAAGTACTTTGTCTGTACTAACACATAGAATTCTAAAAATGAGAAGTTTCCTCATCTATTACCTCAAATCTGCAGGTAAGGAAATTGGGACACAGAAAAGTCATTTTCCAAAGGTCACACAGGTGGTGAGAGGCAGAGCTGCTTACTGTGACCCTCATGCCTAGCACGGAATGTGCCATATCAGAGCTTGCTAAGTCCTTAGCTTGATTTCTCCCAGACGTAATAGCTACGGAGAAAAGGTGATGGCAAATAAACATACTGACCAGCCTCGCCAGAGAAACGAGTGCTTGGAGAGTTAGGGTTATATGTATCCTCTAATAAAAGTAGATCATCTCCCCTACCCGAGGGAGAAACATGGACTGTGTCGCTTTGGCAGAGGGACACAGTTTGCAAGGCTGAGGGGTCCAGTTCCACAGGTGGACAGTGACTCGATTCTACTCACGGCTTTGCTGTGCAGCAAAACTCATTTGCCATCATTGCAAAGGTCCCAAAATGTTAAAAGGCAAGACCTGAGGCAAAAATGAAACTCACAGGAAGGGAAGGCCTGTCCATGCCACCATAATAGGTCACTGTCCTAGAGGACAAATTTCAAATCAGTAAATGATCCTTGGCACCTCCAGATGCCAGCTGTATGCCCACCTGCCCAGGTGCTGCTACACGGAGCGTTAGCAGCAGCTGTTTGTGCAGGGGCAGGCTGAGCCTGAGCAAGCATCACCACAGATGCACCTCAGAGAGGGGGCAACGGGCTCCAGAAGCCAGTGTGGGCACGCACTTCCGATTCCAGCCTCTTTGGATGGTGTTTTCTCCCCACCTCCCTTCCCAGCCCACTTGCTCACATACCATCAGATGCTTTCTCCTGGCACAGTAAGATTGGCTGGCCTTCGATGAGGTCAGTAACTCTAAACTTCCTGAAAGTTTTATCTAAACAGTAGCCAATAGTTCTGGCCAATATTTGATGCAAATCTGATGTGTGGGGTAGGTCTTTGACCAAGGCTGTAGGGATGCCGTGAGGAGCAAAACATTTTCATTCAGTTCTCAACCCGACGAGGGAAATACTGTTGAGACCAATTTTACACCTGAAAACTGGGGCATGCAGCAATAAAGAAATTTGTCTAAGGCTACAACTAGTAAGTGGTAGAGACAGAATTGGAGCCCAGGTTGGCCTGGACCATACAAGGCCTCCATGAAGAGAAAACACACTGGCCTGACTTCAGTGGTGGCAAGCAGATGTCTCACTAAGCCATCCCTCTAACATGAGAAGTGGTAACATAAGGCTGAGGAGTGGGGAGAGGGGTCACAAAAGCGGTGCCAGTTAGTGGCAGATTAAAGCACTGAACTAGAAGTACCTGGGATAAAGCATGGATATCAGTTGCCTTGGACTTGACCGCATTTCAAGTCCACTGTAGGGTTCAAGAGATCTACTGGCTCAGGGTTTCACACAGGTCCGCCTTGCTGATAAATGTTTTGGAGCTTTTGTGTATTTGGCTGGAAATAAGCAAAAAGTAAATGAGCCAAACCCCTTACTGTATAAACCCAGAAAAGCCTGGAGACTTAGTCTGGGGAGCTCAGGATGAGAATGAAAATTGTGGCCTCTGAATGCCACTCCCATGGCTGCCAGCACCCCTTGTTCCTGAGTTAACACCAGAGCTGGATGGAGGCTGGTGAGCTTGGGGTCTTGGGGGGCATGGGGTCCTAGAGCTGGCTCTCCTGGGAGCCTTTCTGCTCCTTAGGTAGAGTGGGGCCTCCTGCCTTGGGGCTTCCATTGTAGCCCTGCACGCTGGCCTTTTTTCACAACCAAAGCTGTATCCATCCTGGGGATGAGGGTATCCTAAGGGCAGGACAGGCCCCTCCCCAGTGCCTGGCACTGGGCCAGAACCCTAAGGGCAGCTCCACACTGTGAGTAGGGGCCTGAGCCCAGACTGCAGAAGGACAAGACAAAGGCAGGCCCGGCAGGCAGCCTGGCAGCCACAGGAGAGCTCCGGATACCCTCCAGGACTGGCAGGGCAGCTGTTAAGCCCTGGCTCCATGGGCACATATCAGCGCCAGTCCCCGCAGCCCCTTTCCTCAGGGTCCAGCACTCCGACCTGGCCAACCCACAGCCAGAGAGCGCTGGGCAGAGCTTCTTGCCAAGGAAGGCTCTTGCCATTTCTAAGCAGGTGCTCTGGCTTTGTAGGAAAGAGGGAAACTTCTCTGCGGATATGTGGGGGAGGGAGGGAGAAAGGGGAAGGCCTGTTCATGCAGGTGCAGCAGGGCCTTTTGAGTCGCTCCAGAACTAGTCTGGGGACTTGGGGTGGGAAATGGGTTGGGTAGATGAACTAGGGAAGTCCACTTGTTGCCAGGTAAGTTTAGTGGAGGATAAACAAGCAATTCTACCTAAAGAGTCACAATAAAGAGCCCTTGGTACAAGATCCTATGGGATTTAAGGGGAGGAGCCGAAGTCAGCATGCAGTATCGGGAATGCTTCCAGAGACAGACACCTCTAATATTTTTGAAGGCTGCCACGGGGTTTGTGGGGGGACAGGGAAAAGGCATTCCAGCCAAGGCACATGCATAAAGCATGAGAGAGTAGGTGGGTGCATGGATGGGTGAAGTTGGGGCTAGTGGGATCCAGGAGCCAACAAACAAAGCTCCTGCCAATAATACCCACACAAGAATCCTGTGCCCAGAGGCAGTTTGGAAGACTAAGAAGTCCACAGTCGCATCATTGCCCTCCTCTCCTGGGTCATAGGCCTCTTCTTGGCACACCCGGAAAAGAGGTGGAAACAAACAGCTGCCCAGGACACCTGGGCATCTAGGATGGAGGCCTCTTCCCCACTACCCCAGGGGCCAGGCCATAGCCCTGAGGGTTTCTTCTGCCTCCCCGCAGAACAGAGCCATAACCCACTTTAAATTACAACTCGGTACACACTTGCAGAAGCATTTCTCAAAACCTAACCTACCCTTGGCTTGTATAAAGCACTCTAATTTTTATTTTAATTTAATGTTGGTCTCAACCCACAAAATTGCTTTTATAACCCATGAGTGAATTGTGCCTGCAGTTTGGAAACACTGCCCTGGAAAGGGATCTGCCTGCTCTTCTCCAGCCCCACTTCCCAGAAGAAAAACCAAAATGAGAGCCCCTGCGTCCTGGTGAAGGTCAGTGGCGGGCAGGCCAAGCAGGGCCTCCAGAGCTGCTCGAGGGCCTCCAAGGGAGGTGAGCTGCAGAGGGACCCAGGAGGGTGGAAGGATGCTGGCTGGAAGTCACAGAGGGCCAGGTTCAAATCCTGCCTCCGCTTTTGATTGGCTCCCAGACCTTGGATCTATCTGTGAATTAACCTTTGAGCCTCGGACTCCTCGTGCGTTAGCCTGGTATAATAGTCTCTCTCTCGCAGTGTTGCCGTATGGATTCAGGGTGATTTAATGACCTCAACAGAGCTCTGGAACATTTGCGTAGCTGGCAGGGCAAGGCGAGGGACAGCCCAACGAAGGCAGGTCCTTGAAGTCCTGGTTAACACTGGTTTCCAAAATTCGAGCCGGCCTGCGGTTTTTCCAGCACGCCTGAAAGCTGGGGACACTCATGCACCAGGTACTCATTCCTGCACACCCCGCCCCCGCCCCACGGACATGAGGGTCCATAGGTCGCCCCACTTCCTCCCCATCCCTCCGGCCAGCTCCAGCTCATCCTCCCAGTCTGGCTCGGCGCGCCGCCTCCACATCACCTTTCAGCAAGGCCCGGGACCGTGCGGTGCACCAGTAGGCCCCGTCCGCCTCCCCAGCCGTGCGTTTCTCAAAGGCAGGGTGAGCCCAGCAGTGTGTGTGCGTGTACGCGTGCGCGCGTGTGCTGGGGGCGGGGTTTGCAAAACTCCCGCGAGCCCGCCCTCCCTCCACCCTCAGGCTGCAGGCCCCCGCGGCTCTAACAGCCGGTGCCCTGCTGGACACACCCCGCCTCGCGGAAGCGGCCTTGGCACGAAGGCCCTGGCGACCCCCAGGCAGCGCAACGGGCCGCTCCCCTCTCACCCCCGCCCGCGCGAGGCCCCGCGGGAGGACGCGGACAGAGGCTGTTGGCTGTGCTGCCTGGCCCCACGCCTCCTGTCTGCGCGGCGGGAACACTCCGCGGGCGGCCGCGTGGCCGGGAAGGCGCGGCTGGCGCGGAGTCTGCGGGTGCAGAGCAAGCGGCCGCCCGCTGCCTGCCCTGGCCGGTGGGGACAGCCCGCCCTGCCAGGGAGACTTGGGGGGGCACCGGAGTCGCTGCGAGGTTGCCTCTAGTGGCCTGAGGGCGGGGCGGGCGCGGGGCAGCTGCTGAGGGCACAGTCGCCTCCTGGTCGCAGGGCCCGCGACAGACCCCGATTCTCCCTCCCGGGACACCGGGTGCCAGCTGCGGATATCTCTCGCCGCCGCTGCACCCCGCAGCGACAGAGGGGGGCCCCCGGGAAAGAGGGGAAAACCAGCCGCCGCCCGGGACGCTGGTTCTGCGGGTGGCTTCTGAAAATGCCCCCAAGCCCCGAGGAGACTGAGGTGCCTGAGGCAAAGGGGTGCCACTTTCTGCTCCGTGTAGTCCCAGTGTCAGGGGCCTTCTGTGAACCGCGGGAGGGACATAAGTTAGACACCGGGAATACCCACACCTTTGCATGTGGCTGCTTCGTTTCTGTGCCTGAGCCACTTGGCCCTTGCTGTAGCTTCCTACTCGTTTTACAAAGCCCTGCTTGTGCTCACCTGCCCGGTTGGCGCCCTTGCCAACTACCCGGCCAACCACGAATCACGGCCCCAGGCTGTCCACAGGCTACCCACAGGCTACACCGGCTGCAGCTCCTCTTGCAGCATACCCTGCATCCGGCGCTGTAATGTGTGTGTGCCTCCCCCTGGGCTGGGGCCCCTTGAGGCTGCGGGTCTTTCTTAAGTCCGGGGGCTCTTGCCTGGCCTAGGCCTGGTTCCTGGTTAATAAGCTCTCAGTAAGAAGGTTCTGATGGCCCAGGCACTATGGCTCAGGCCAGCACTTTGGGAGGCTGAGTCGGGCGGATCACATGAGGTCAGGAGTTCGAGACCAGCCTGGCCAACATAGTGAAACCCTGTCTCTACCAAAAATACAAAAATTAGCTAGACATAGTGGCAGGCGCCTGTAGTCCCAGCTACTTGGGAGGCTGGGGAAGGAGAATCACTTGAGCCCAGGAAGCGGAGGTTACAGTGAGCTGATACTGTGCCATTGCACTCCAAGCCTGGGCAACAGAGTGAGACACTGTCTCAAAAAAAAAAAAAAAAAAAAAAAAAAAAAGGTTCTGATGTTCCAGTGTGTGAGGCAGGGCTGCCCTAGGCCTTCGAGGTCAGCAGCTCCCCAGGCAGGCAGATGCAGGCAGTTGGGGAAGGTCAAACAGGAGGCTGGAGGAACCAAAGCCCCCTCCCATTTCCACACAAGGCAGGGCCTGCACATCAGGCTGCCCCAGGGAGAAGCTGGGATGCCAGCGCCTTTGCCTCCTTGGAATTAGGTCACCGTCCAGAGGCCTGGGAGCCTCCAGTGTCCCGCGTGCCTCGTGCCCCTCCCCTAGCACCAAGCCTTTTCTGGCATGGGGAGGCAGCTGCAGTGGGAAAAGTGGGCCCCAAGTCAGAGGGGCAGGATTGCATGCCCTGTCACTGCTGCTGAACTTGGTTCCCCATCTATGCAAAATGAAGACAATGAGCAGGACATACCTGGCAGGACTATTTAAGGACTAAGTATGTCACCAGCCCGGGAGGTGATACGCCTGAGGCCTTTTCCCGTCCTCCCAGCCCCAGCCACCCCCTTCCACCTCCTCCCACCTGGGAAGGCAAGTTGTCCTTTTCAGAGAAAAGTGGAGCTGTCTTTGGCCCCCAGGAGCTTTTCTCAACATGAAATTTCTCCAGTTTTGTGACCTTAGGCCAAGAATTGCAGTATAGGAGGAGCCAGGGTTTCTCCACACTTGAAGTTTCTTGCTGTGGGCTCATTTCTACACTTTGAAGAGTGCCAGTGCCCTCTTCACAGCCTGAAGCCCCAAGCACTTGTTCCTCTGGCCCCTCTGCTCACCTGCCAGATCCCCCTAATTCCTCCTCCACCCCCCTACCCCATTCTGTGAGCCATGGGGCTCAGCCCCTCCCTCTCCTCCCATGGGCATCATGAAGACAGGGTTCTACCTGGCTCCTGCTGCAAAGGCCCTGGGTGGGGGAACACACTCCCAACACTGCACAGGACTGCCTCCCCACCCCCACGACCTTGTCCCTGGGCCACAGGCCTGCTTCAGTGTTCTTGCCCAATGAAAGCTGCCCTGACACTCTTTTAAACCCGATTCTGCTGAGGGTTGGGTTTCTTGGTTCCAGGATTTTTTTTTTTTTTTAACCACAGCTGGCACCCTGGCCAGTTCTAAAACAGCCCTGAACTTCCTATTCCACTCCTCAGTTGTGCCCAGCTAGAGTCCCTTGGCTTCTTCTCTCCTGGTCATAAACCTTGTCCAGGGCTTTTCTTTTGCCAAAGGACGGTCTGGAGGCTTCTGCATCTACCCTGGCTGTCACCCTAACCCGTGGCCTCCCCAGCCTTTCCTCTGGCATGCCCACCACCAGCACCCCACTCCCTGGTCCTGCCCATGGCTAGTGAGGGTCAAGTGAGTGTCCAGCCGAGAATTTAGCAACTCAGAGTGAGAGAAGCTTTAGCTTTGCTTTTTAGTAAGTTAAGACTGACACATGGCCATCCACTCCCAAAGAGTCCCAGCCCTCCAGGCAGCACTGAGGCCCAGGCAGATGGCCCAGCCGCGCTCTGCAGCTTCCCTGCTGCCCACCCACCCACCTGCCCACCGACAGCACCGCCAGGAGGTCTGGGCAGAAAGCATGCAGCTGTGATGGCCAGGCACCTGCCGCAGCCCTGTCTCCAAGCTGGACAGAACTAAGATGGAGGCTGCCACAGGTCAGGTTGCAGCAACTCTTGCCTCCACCTGGGCAGAGGCAGCGGCCGGGGTGGCATGGGGCTGGTCTGGCCGGTCCCACTAGCTGGATCCTGGCTACCACAGTAGCACGTCCTGAAATTGGTCTTTGTTGTTGTTGTTGTTGTTTTCAACTTTATGTATAAAAAAATTTTCCTAGAAATTTTTAATATTCTGGCTACCAGATAACATCTCCCAGAATTCCCACACCCCGAAGGGGCATAAAACTCCTGCCAGACCACACGTTCTGATTTTGGTTTGGCATATATGGTCAATGGCTGTAAGGCTGGTATTCCGGGACACTTTGCCCATTTCTGGATAAAGGGCAAGGGCAGTGAATGGAGTAGGGAGGAACGTGGCTGAAATAGGGAAGGGTCAAGGCCAATATGGACATGTGCTTTCTTTGGTTCCACAGTGTTGGAGGCTGTAGCCTTTGACCAGGCATGGGACCAGGAGGTGAGGCCGGCTCTCAGGCATCAACCAAAGGATCCACTGAATCTCCCTTCTCCCCCTGCCAACAAAGGTACAAGTAGATGTTGACACCCCCTCAGACATGGAAGGAGACCCATTTTTTTCTTTTTCTAGTTCTGGATAAATGGCCTTAAACAAAATATGCAAACAGGCTCCTTGCGTCTCCCAAAGGCAGCCCACCACAGAAGCCCTGCCACAGCCCAAGGGGTTAGATGCTGCCAGGATCTGTTTCCGCCACAGAGCAGCTCTGTGCAGCACGTTCCTGCCAACCACCCTGAGTGCTTCAGGGCTTCCGAGGCCGTGACAGTGAGGGCAGCGGCACTTCTGGGTCACCGTGGGACAGGTCTCTGCCTCAGGACACGGATTGACAAGCTCTCTGAGTGGGCCAGGAGCTCCTTAATGTGAGCCAAGCCCAGCCCTGCCACCTTGGCCCCGTTCACCTCGAGGATCTCATCGCCCACCCCCAGCAGCCCTGAGTACAGCTTGGCCATGCTCATGTCAGCCATCTCCTGCACGTAGATCCCTGCAGAGGAAAACAGGAGAATTTCACAATGACACCCAAATCGAAGAAGTGCATCTCTGGAATGCTGACCATGTTGATGAGGTGCTGTTTGTGTGGCACAGGGAGGAGGTGCTCATACCAGGCACTTCTCTGTGCGCATGCACACATACACACACCCCTCATTATTCCATCTCACAACCACAACTGGCTTTAGACATAGATACAGTGCGCCTCCTCCATGGTCTAACTCCATTCCACTGTCTCTGCTTTTAAAGTGGAAATGCTCCTAGTGCAAATAACGCGTTAAACTGTTGTCATTTATTTATACCTGACAGTGAGTGAGCTAATCTTTTTCTGAGATGAGCTTTTCTTGTAGAATTGGGAGGAAAATAGTTTTTAAAAATTAGGAACCATACCTACTCAGTGCCTGGCACTATGATCCAGTTGCTGCCTCAGGTCACCCAGGCCCAGCGTAAAGGCCGGGGTGGTGGGAAGGTATCATCGGAAGAGCAAAAGTGGCTGAGCCACATCCAAGCCTGGTTTGCTGCACTCTATTGCCAAAGACTGACACTGGCCTCAGTCTTACTCAGATATGGCTCCTCAATTGGGATGGGGAAGCATCTGAGCAAAAAACCCCAGGAAAAATAAAAATTCTAGCCACATATTTCAAAGCTGCGGTGGCTCCCTCTCCTCTTCTGCACATGCCCCCTCCTCCCCACCCCAAAGAGGCCCTGCCTGGGTCTAGAAGGTGCCAAGAGCCAGCCTGCGGGAACTAGCTTCTCTGCTTCTTTGCCAGGCTCCGGCTCTCAGGGAGCCCCCCGTCAGTGGGGCAGGCCCTGTGGGGCTTGGGCTGGCTGGGCTGGGAAGTGTCCAGCTGAGGAGGCCCCCTGCCCCCAACCCCCGCCCGCCGGCCTCAACCGCGGCTGGAAACCTTTCAAATTCCCCTCCAGCTGCTCCCACCTGGGAGAGTAAGTGAGGTGCTGGCTCTCCCAGGGCAGGCTGGACCCCCTGATGCCCATGCTTCATGCTGGGTGGACACAGGGGCTGAGACACAAGCTGAGTTTGCTGGAGGGACTGCGGGGCACACCCCTGGTGTGGGCATCAGCACTGGCGGAATTCAGGCTGCTCAGCGCAGCCTTTGGCACCCTCGCTGTTCGCAGCCCAGCTCGGCTCACTCTGCATTTCAGACATGAGGCCACTGCCCACGCGTTACTGTCTTCACTTCCTTTTCCTCGAATCAGGTTCTTAGCAGGGGCCCGAAAGGGCATCAGGTCTGCTCCTCAATCTCTGGCTTGAAACTAGTCACCACATCTTGGACTAGTGGGAAGTCCTCTCTCGGATCCCCCAGCCCCGTAGGAGCTTTGGGCAGCCCAGCCTGTGGCCCTGACAGAAGTCAGGCGTTTTAAAGCCTGCCTCTGAAGTGTGGGTTTGAAAGAGCACTGATCTTCACCGAAGTACCTGAAAGTCTGTGGCTCTGAATTTAGTAAATCCAATCTTTGTACACATTCCCCCTCCCTGGTCTGAGGTGTAGAATCCCTTTTGTTGCTTCTTGGCCAAGCCGAGCCTTTTCTGTGGGGCTGTCTTCCCTGACAGAGTACATCTGCCATCCTGACTGTACAAGGCGTTTTCCCTCAGCCCTGTCTTTTACCTCCTCTAGATGGACCTTTCACTGCTTGCCCTCCCTGTCTACGGGTTGGTGGCACGGGGAGGGGGCAGGTAAGAAGGGGCCCCTGGGGCAAACCCAGAGAAGTGTCTGATGTGCTGTGGGAGTTGCAGGTGGGGACTAATGATAAACCCTGAAAGAATGCTGCCAGAGCTAGGCCAGACACTGACGTCACGCCTGCCATTTTGGGGAGACTCGGGTAGGTTTCGCAACTGAAATTCGTGACACAAATATGACAGCCTGCTGTCATAGGCATTTATTGTCTGCTGGAAATGGCCTTTGTTGAGGATGTGTGATCTCTATGTTGTATCCAATTAGAAGCAGAAGGCAAAGCCTGCTGTTCTCACAGGCTCATATAGAGTCGGATGTGAAAGCCAGCAAGTTAATACCAGCATCCTGCCGGTTCAGTGCGGGGCGCAAGCCAGCCCTCCTCACAGCCCCTTGGAGCCTGGAAGAAGCGACCCTCTGCTGTTGGAGGATGGCCTGGGACACGGAGGCCCCAGCACTCGCCAGGCTTCATGTGCGTGGGGACCCCTGTGTGCCATCCAGCGCCCATGATGGCAGCAGGACCAGGGAGTGCCTGGGCACAACGGGGAGCTGGCACCAACTCAGGCGAGGGTGCCGGGGGCCCTGGGTCACTAGAGACCCCTGCCCATCAGAGCTCCCTGACGGGTGACAGGGAGGGGCTCCCACTGCCTACAAGGGAGCAAAAAGGGACTCTGGGGGAGGGTGGGCGGCAGAGTACAATGACCTGTTGTGTGTGCACTCACATCGACAGGTGAATGCGGATCACGCTGGTCCCTGTCTGGGGTTCTCTTCCCCAGACTTTCTCTTTCTGAAGGGGAGGGAAGAAAAATGCTAGGCCCTTTCCTGTGTGCCTTACCAAATGCTCCTTATGACTCTTCTAGGTAGGTTTTGTCATCCTCATTTCACAGATTAGGGAACTGAGTGAGGCTCAGTGGGGATGTCGCCTGCTCTAGATCACATAGCCAGCAGAGGTGCCGGAGCACAAACATGCTGCGTTGTCTGCCTCTGCCTTCACACCACCTGTCCGGGGGGCCTGTCCTGCTCCCCTAACGGGAGAGGAGGCTACGGGAAGGCCTGTGAGGAAGGACTTTTTATCCTCCTGAGGTCCAGAGTAGGCAGAGACCTGTCCTCTCTTCCTCTTACATGTCCAGCTCATCAGCAAATAGTCAAATCAACCAGAATCCAACCCCTGTCCCCTCTCCCCTCTCCCCATCTCCACAGCCGTTCCCAGTCCAGGCACCACTGTCTCTGTCCTGGACTGCTGAAATAGCTTCAACACAGGGCTCCCTGGCTCCACCCGTGTCCCACTGGGGTCTATTCTCATAGACATTAGAGAGTCTCAGTGCTCGCTCCGAGCCCTCTAGTGGCTCCCATCTCATTCGGCATGAAAGCCAAAGCCCCTTACAGTGGCACAACCCCATCTTTCCAAACTCTGCTCCTCCCAACCCGTTGCCTGCTCTGCAGTGTCCAGCCTGACCCTCACAGTTCTCACAGGCCAGGCTCGCCCCTCCACCAGGGCTCCGCACTTGCTGTTCAGTCTGCCGGAATGCTCTTCCCCAGACACCCATGGGGCCCCTTCCTCGCCCCATCCACGGCCCTGCTCAAGTGTCATCTTCTCAGAAAAGCCTCCCCACACTCCTGTCTATACCAGCACCTGCCACACCTGCTTTATCTGTCTGTTTCTCAGAACTTTCTTTTCACCATCTGACATACGTAGCACATTATACATAACAAGAGTACACATTTTATAGATACAATCTAACTGCTCACTGGGTAGTATATTCATGAGGATAGGGATTTGGTCTGTTCCATTTACTGCTGTATCCCCCGTATCTATAACACATAGTAGGTGCTTAGTATATATTTGCTGAAACAATGATGGAACAGACATGAGAACTCATGCTGTGGTCTGCAAATGTGGTAGCAGGCAGACTTTTTTCCAGGCTAAACAGCATTGAGCTAGGAGATCAAAGCACAGGACTCAACCCCCCATCGGCAGAGCCCGGCCGCAGCAGGCTTCTGTGTTCGTCTTTCTGTATCTGTCTCTCCCTTTCTCTCTCCTTCCTTCCCCTCCCCTCCTTCCCCACCCTCACATACGTGTCTTCCTTCCCTGATCCTCTGGGGAATGTCTTTTATGGGCCCTTGAGATGCATTCTGGACCACAGACCTTGGGCGTGGGCTTTTGCAAGTCACGTTGCCCTGAAAGACTCATGGATGGGGTGGAACTGAGAACTGGTCAGAGTGCAGAATGATGTCCAGGACTTCTCCCTGCCATTGCCTGGGTTGAATTGAGACCCAGAGCACACCCCAGTCAGAGGCCTGCAGCCAGGATTCATCTGAACATAATCATCGGGCACAGGCCTGAGGGAGGGACGGGATGCAGAGACAGACAGGCATGCTCCACGTGCCCAGACATACTCCACAGCCGGAGGAAAGGAACCGTTTCAACGCAGCCACATCAAAGGGACTGCTGAGAACCAGCAGGCACAGACAGTTTCCCTCTGGCTCTCCTCTGCAAAGATGGCCTTCAAAATTCTAATTTATTTATTTCTTTTTTTTTTTCCTTTGAGATGAAGTTTTGCTCTTGTTGCCCAGGCTGGAGTGCAATGGCGCAATCTCGGCTCACTGCAACCTCTACCTCCCGGGTTCAAGCAATTCTCCTGCCTCAGCCTCCCAAGTAGCTGGGATTATAGGCATGCGCCACCACGCCCAGCTAATTTTGTATTTTTAGTAGACATGGGTTTCACCATGTGGGCCAGACTGGTCTCGAACTCCTGACCTCAGGTGATCCAGGCGCCTCGGCCTCCCAAAGTTCTGGGATTACAGGCATGAGCCACTGCGCCCGGCCTAAGCTTCTAATTTCAAGATGTCATCAGACAGCAGGGGGACAGTGGAGTCAAACCTGCCAACTCTACCCCCTCCCGCACACTCCCCACCAACGCACTCTCAGCTGCAGTTGCCTAGGGCAAAGGCTCTGCAGGTGCAGACTCCTAGAGAGCCCTGGACAATTCAGAAAGAGCCCCTGAGGGGAGAAGCCTAGTCCTGTAGTCAGAGGCTTTCTGAATTCCCAGAGCTGCACGGCTCAGCCAAAGACCAGAAAAGCCTCTGACCACAGCCAGAAGGCCCTGCCTTGTTTGCTAAGGCCGCCCCAGCCATGGGGCTGAGGAAGAGGAGAGGGCATACCTGAGTCTGGGCGCCCATTCCCAGAGGCCACGCAGAAGCCGAAAGTGCCCCCTGGGGAGCGCTGCAGCTGCAGCTGGCTGGTGCCGTCTGGGAACACCTCCACCAGGCGGCCCACGGTGCGAGCCAGGCTGGGAGCACCCACGTCCTCCACACTGAGGGCACGCCGTGGTGAAGTCTTGGCCGGCCTGCGAGGGAACCAGAGACACAGTGAGGGCAAAAAGCATCAGGCACTGGGCACAGCTCTTCCCTGGCTTACAGATGACCGATGCCTCACAGACTTAAGAGCCTGGCATTGGAGGCTGGGGTTCTGCTGACTTCAGCCAGCAAAAAGAGCCTGCTAGGGCCAAAACTGGTGGGTTTCCGCCGCTGTGCAAGGCCCCCCAAGGCCTGCTGTGGAACTAGAAACCCCACCCTCCCAAAGCAGTGGTTTCAAATTTTGGGGGGTACAGAGACCTTTGTAAGAATCTGACAAAAGGTATAACTTTATGTCACATTTCCAGGAGCTAACATACACCCTGAAGTACATCCACGCCCCAGGAAAGAGCAGCCAGCCTACAGGGCCTCATCGGACAGGGTGGGATTTTCCAAGCAGGTCATGGGTCACGGGCCTCTTTGGGGGCCTCTGTCTCTATGTGTTTATTCAGATCTTTAGCTGGGCTAAGAAAACTCTCTAAACTTTCTGATTTCAAGATGTCATTGCACAGCAGAGGGACAGTGGAATCAAACCGGCCAACTCTACCCCCTCCAGCGACCCCAGGCCTTCTCAGAGCCCAATGCACCGAGGGTCCATGCAGGGCACTGAGGTGCTGAGACTCCCGTGGCAGCCTCGTCTCCACACATCACATGTCCTGTTGCTTTCCCTTCAAAGGACCCTGCTCAGAGCCATGATGCTGAGGCAGGAAGGAGTTAAGCTTTTGGCTCCGCTGGTCACTCTCTGAGTTTATCCTCCAAACCATGTGTGCCCCTCATACCTGCCAGCTGCACTGTGGTCCCCTGGCCCTGCTACCAGGTAGAGGCTGGACCGGTTCCCCTTGCTGCTCAGCAGAGAATGGAGGTTCTGAAAAGAGGCAGCTTTCCGACGCTGGTGAGAGGGTGACACCTGATGAGAAAGGGACAATATTGCGGGTGAGAAAAGCTACCTGGGAGGTGCTGACAGAGGACTTGGCCCCACCATGAACCTGAGGGCCCTGTAAGAAAGTGACAGCACAAGCTTTTATCATTGCTTCCAAGAATTCAACAGGAACCACCATGACTTACTCAAGGACATCATGGGTCTACATAGGCCATCTGAGGAGTCAAGGGAGTTTTTGTTTTGCTTTTTAGCTGAAATAACAACTTTAGTGCTATACTAATTTCCTCATTGATTAAGGAAATCTAATGTACTCATTAAGGAAGAAATGAAAGTAAGTTTATTATACAGTAATAAATATCACTTTAGAGTTAAAATTCAAAATATTTTGTGATTCTTTAGTATGTCTTTTATGATTGCTTTCGTGCAAAAATTTAAATTGAATATTGCACCTTCAAACATCGTGGATAAAAAGACAAGAAATCATTCAAGGAGTTCACAAAATGATGGGGGCAGGGCTGAGCACAGGTAAGTTAAAAGGTTTCAGTGCACATTAAAAAGAGATGGTGTGTGCCGGGTGCAGTGGCTCATGCCTGTAATCCCAGCACTTTAGGAGGCTGAGGCGGGCAGATCACCTGAGGTCAGGAGTTCAAGACCAGCCTGGCCAACATGGTGAAACCCTGTCTCTACTAAAATTACAAAAATTAGCCGGGCATGGTGGCGGGTGCCTGTAATCCCAGCTACTCAGGAGGCTGAAGCAGGAGACTCACTTGAACCTGGAGGCGAAGGTTGCAGTGAGCTGAAATCATGCCATTGCACTCCAACCTGAGTGACAGAATGAGACCCTGTCTCAAAAAAAAAAAAAAAAGATCTACTACCATTCAATCCTACAATCCCACTACTGGGTATCTACCAAAGGAAAGAAGTCATTGTAAGAAAAGTTTGGTTCCATATATTTGCAATTGCAAATTGTGCTGCTGTGTACATGGTGTGCACATGTATATAACAGCACAATTTGCAATTGCAAAGATATGGAACCAAGCTAAGTGCCCATCAACCAACAAGTGGATAAAGAAAATGTGGCATATATACAGCCGGGCACAGTGGCTCATGCCTGTAATCCCAGCACTTTGGGAGGCCAAGGCAGGTGGATTACATGAAGTCAGGAGTTTGAGACCAGCCTGGCCAACATGGTGAAACCCCATCTCTACTAAAAATATAAAAATTAGCCGGCTGTGGTGGCCTATGCCTGTACTCTCAACTACTCAGGAGGCTGAGGCAGGAAAATTGGTTGAACCTGGGAGGTCGAGGTTGCAGTGAGCAGACATTGCGCCACTGCACTCCAGCCTGGGTGACAGAGTGAGACTCCATCTTAAAAAAAAAAAAAAAACCCAAAAAACTAAGCCTCCCAGCAAACACACTCTTGGCAGCACCACACACCAACAGCAAGTATTGGAATGTCACAAATACTGCAGGGGAGACAGATTCTTCCTTTATCTTCTTTTTTATTTTCTTGAAAATTTCTGTCTTTTTTCAGTTCTTGAAAATTTATCTCTGCTGCTCATCCTCCCTGCTCTGCCTCCCTTTCTTGCCCAGTCGACTTCCTATCTCTGTCCATTCAGCTCAGATTGCCTATGAACCTCTCCATGACACCGACGGGGGTGGTGTTTGCCTTGGAGGGCTTACAGAGATGGAAGTCCTGATGACAATAAATCTGGGTGCCACGGCTCAGACACGCTTTGGATAAACCTAACTTCATAAGAACAGTGAGCTTCCCGAGCACAAGTCACCGCTGCCGATTCCCCCCAGCTTCAATATCTGCGGCGGTTTCTCTGCCTTCCATTCACTCAACCAGCAAATATTTGTTGAGCACTGGCCACACGCCTTGGACAGTCTTTGGTGGAAGACAGTCAATGGGACCTTCATTCAGTCCGCATCCTCTTCTCGCCTGCAGCCTGGGAAATGAAAGGCGCCAGCGACGCAAACCGCTCTCACCTGCTTCACTCTGCCTAGGAGAGCGGGGAGGGAATTAGGAGAAACAGACCACCTGAACTCCCTGGAACAGAAGGGGTGTCCGAGGGGTGCTGCTCCTGGTTGCAGAGCGTGGGGCGCTTCGTGAGGGAGAGCCTGAGCGAGCTGCCCTGCGCGTCCCACCCACTCACCACTCAGTATGTATTGTGCGTACTGCACTAGCTTCCCTAGTAAGTACCGGAATACAAAGATCAAGCGTTGTTCCCTCAAATAACTCACACTCCAGTGAGGGCTGAGAGACAAAAACCCAACTAAACATGATGCCTAAACATGAGTTCCACAAAGGAGGGAGGCATAGGAGAAATGGGAGCGGGGCTGGGGGGGTGGGGAGGGGGGTGGAGCCCCAGTTCGGCCTGAGGCAGGATTGGGAGCGGCTCCCTGAGGGGCGTGTGCCTGCAGTAGATGGATGAGTGGGCATTTGCAGGTGGGGAAGGTGGGAGAAAGAGCCCTGAAGGTTCGAAGTCAGACTGTGTGTGATCGACAGAACTGCAAGGGGGTCAGCTGCAACCGGGGTCAAGCGTGTTAAAAGAAGAATGAGGAGGGATGAAAGCAGACAGATCCCAGAAACTCTCTGGCCATGCCAAGTGGTCTGAACTTTGTCTTGAAGGCGATAAGGGACCAATGACAGATGTTCGGCGAGGGGGTGGCGTGGTCGGATTTGCATATCAGAAGGACCACTCTGGAAGCCACATGCAGGACCATGGCAGGGAGGCCAGTCAAGGGACTGCTGAGGGAATCCACGTGGGAAGTGATCTGTGCCTGGGCTCAGAGTCACTATGGCCATGGAGAAGTTTCCAGAACCATCAGGCTGTCAACTCTCCGAGACTTGGCTGAGGTGGCAAAGCTGAGGAAGAGGGAGTAGCCTAGAGTGACCCCAGGCCTGGGCGGCTGGCGGGGAACAGCAGTGTGAGGAGCTGCTGACTTGGTTCTAGGGGAACCCAAGTCTCATGGGTCAACCATGGGGATGCCAGCAGCTTCCGTCTCCCTACTGTGGGCTCCTTGGGAGGCATCCTCATCACCTCCTCCCTCCTTTCACTTTTCATTCTGATGGTGGTTGCACCGCTACTGGCTTCACTCCCTGGGCTGGGGCCCCTGGACTCACCGGGTGCAGGGATTGTAACGATGGGGCCCTGGACTGTGACGTCAGGCCAGGCGGGGCGGGCTGCAACTGCTCCACACTGTAGCTGCGGGACTTGCCCAGCTTGGGCCGGGAACTCTGGCCCAGGGCTGAGAAGAGCTTTTTCAGCCCCAGGGTGGAGGCTATGCTGCTGCTCCTTTTCTTGTTCTGGTCCAAAGGGGCAGCCGAGGGGGAGCCGGGTCCTGTGCCAGCTCCTGCTGATGCTCTGAAACACAAGGGTGGAGGTGAGGGGGCGGGGGAGGGCCGGGAGGGTGGCCAGGGAGACTGTACCCTGGGGCCATCTCAAGGGCCGCAGATGGGCCAGCACCAATGCCTCTGGCACATTTGGGGCCAGGAACTAACAACCAGGCTGTAGAAAGAAAGGCCAAGTGGAAGCCGGGTGTGGTGGCTCCTGTCTGTGGTCCCAGCTACTCGGGAGATGGAGGCGGGAGGTTCACTTGAGCCTGGAGGTCAAGGCTGCAGTGAGCTGTGATCACGCCACTGCACTCAACCTGGGCGACATAGTGAGACCCAAAAAAAAGAAAAGAAAGAAAAAAGGAAGAGAAGAAAGAAGGAAAGAAGGAAGGAAGGAGAGAGAGAGAGTAAAGGAAAAGAAAGAAAGAAAAGAAAAGAAAAGAAAGAAAAAAAAGACTGCCAGATACTCTGCTTGGGTTGCTTTTGGGGAGTATAGCTCAGGCAAGCCCCCCGCCATAATACTCAGCTCAGAGCCCACCCAATCATTCATTCAGTGTATATTTTTTTTCTTTTTTGAGATGGAGTCTCACTCTGCTGCCCAGACTGGAGTGCAATGGCATGATCTTGGCTCACTGCAACCTCTGCCACCCAGGTTCAAGCTAGTCTCCCACCTCAGCCTCCCGACTAGCTGGGATTGCAGGCACACACCACCACGCCCGGCTACTTTTTGTATTTTTAGTACAGACAGGGCTTCACCATGTTGGCCAGGCTGGTCTCGAACTCCTGACCTCAAGTGATCCACCTGCCTCATCCTCCCAATGTGCTGGGATTATAGGCATGAGCCACTGCCTGGCCCATTCATTCAATACTTCTTAACGACCTACTATGTGTCAGCCTCTTCTAGGTCCTGGGGTGTGTGTATGCAAGACAAACAAGGTGCCTACTCTCAGGAGCTTATGAACAACAGACCATGAAAACCAAGGAGACCCATCCCATGTGGGTGAAGCAGACTGTGACCAGGCACTTCTTTGAAATGGAGTGGTGGGGAAGGTCTCTCTGAGAAGAGGAGCTTTAAACTGAGAGTTGAAGAAGGAGCCAGGGCTGCCACGCCTGGAGTTGAGTAGTCCAGGTGTGGGGAACAGCTGGTGCCACAGCCTTGGGGCAGGAAGAGCTCTGGGTGTTTAAGAACAGAAAGGGGCCAGGCCATGAGGCTTGGGTGTAGGTGATGAGAAAGGGGGAAGAGGCAGGACAAGATGAGGTCAGACAGGCAGGCAAGGCGGATTCCACAAAGCAGGACCAACCACAGCCGGGGTGTGAAGTCTACTTCAAGTGCAGGGAAAAACCATTGCAGGCAGGGTTTTCAGTAGGAGAATGACACCATTTAATCCAAGTTTTAAAAAGCGACCCTTGACTATTGTGTGGAGAAGGAAATGTAGGGGCAAGAGTGAAGGCAGAGAGCAGGTAGGGGCGACTAGAATTGTATAGCAAAGAAGCCATGAGTTCAGGCCAGGAGAAGTGGTGGGAGGCAGGGGGTTCCGGAGCTGGCAAGGACTTGCAGAGGGTTACAGTGGGAGAGAAGGAAGAGGAAGCAGCCCAGGACTCCTGGATTCGGGCTTGTGTGCTGTGCAGACAGACAGTGATGTGTTTGCCGGGAAGGGGACATGGGCGAAGCAGTTGTTGAGCTTTTTGTTTGAGAGGCCCATCAGACCCCCTGATGGAGATGTCCAGGAGAAACTGGGCATGCAGCTCTGAAGTTCTGGAGAGCAGATGGTGCTAGAGATGGAGAGCTGGCTCTGGTGCCTCTTCAGGCTTAGAGCTGCCTGCAGCCACCAGGCATAGTGTGTCACAGGGAAGAGAAGGCCCTGGCCAGAACTCCGGGCTCACCAAGGCTTTGAGGCAAGCCAAGGAGGTCCCGAGGGCCAGGACTCGGTCCCCACCCTTCCCCCACTCCCCCCTTCTCCCCCCAGCTCTGCCTGAGCTGAAGGAGAGAAGGGAAATGTGATTGCATCTGGTTACTTTCGAGAATCCAAGCAGAGAGCAGGAGGAAGCCTCTCAGACAGGTAACCCCATTCTGGGCCCCTCCCCAGGGCTAGGGCTCTGCTAGCTTTGCCCCAGGCACCGGCACAGTGTCTGCAGCTAGAGGCCGTTCAATGGATGCTCCATGAATGAATGATCAGGTACATCAGACTAAACGACACTGGGAGAGGAGTGGGAGGGCTGCCAGGCTTGTTCACAGTCTAGGGATCCTCTGAAGACTAGGGGCAGGGAGGTGGGTCATGCCACCACTCCAGGGGGTCTCTGTCCCCTCCCAGAGCCCCCATTCCCACCTCCTTCTGCAATCTGGCTCTTTCTCCTGTCACTCACCTTGACAGCACATGTCCTCCAGATCCTGACCCTGTCCTCTGCAGGCTTCCCTCTGATTCCTTGCTGGACTCTGACTCCTCTGAGGACAGGGAGAGGGTGATGCCCGTGGAGTTGATGGTGGCAACATCTGCTGAGCCAAGAAAGCCCTGGGGTCCTCCTGAAACAAGCACAGCATCCCACCTGAGTCAGACCGGCTCATCCCACAGGTCCTGTGGGGGAATGGGACATTCCCAGCAACAGGGGGAGGGTGAGAAGAAGCTGGAGAGGTGGAGCTCAAGGAGAGCAGTGGAGAGACCTGGGAAGCAGCAAGGGAAGGTGGGGTGGCCTCTTAGATGACCAGGGCTGAGGACCCCTCATGAGTGTCCTCTAAGCTGGAAACTATTTGAGGACAGGGACTGAGTCTTGTTGACTGCTGTAACCTCGTCACCCAGCACAGCACCTGGTCCACAGTAGATGATCACTGTTTGTTAAATGAAAAGGTTGACTATGATAAGCCATGTCCCTTCTATATCAAGGGACACAGTGGGAACAGGGGAAAATTTTGTATTCCTGGGACAAAACCCACAATCTTGTCAGTTGTGATTTCTGAGAGCTTTAAAATAGCCATCATTTCTGGAGATCTGTTATGTGCTAGGCAGCAAGTGGAATCCTCTCCAGAGATGAGTTCACGGAGTCCTAGGAGATGGTGCCGTCATCGTCCTCACTTTATGGAGGAGGATGCTGGCAGGCTAAGGGACTGAGGGACTCGCCGAGGGCCTCACTCGCTCTGCTTCAAGCTCCAAGGTAAAGGCTCACGTTGCCCAGAGAGGTCAGCAGGTCTCAGAAGGGAAGCCCTGCAGGAAGTGGTTAGGGGCAAGCCCACAGCCTGCCTAGAGCCCACCAGAGAAGGAAATCGCCACTCAGCACAGGGTGGGAGGGACCCCAGGGGGAGGCGGTTGCCTCAAGGTTTGTGTAAGCAAGGGAGGAAGAGGGACCAAGTCTGTGTGTCCCTGTGCAGTGGAGGGGACTTTGCATCCACATCCTCAATAAGGTCTGTCATCTCTCTGCCCTCTCTCCCTCCACTCTGTTGCCAAGCCCTGGGTCCCTCTTGAGCCATCCCAGCCCCAAGACTGTCAGAGCCGTGGTCACATTAGAGCAAAAATGTGTGGAGTGAGCCTGTTATCTCTGCCTAAAAGTGAGCGGCAGAGTTGGTCACCTGGGATCACAACACCAGGGATCAGAGCCTGAGCCTGCCAACCCCCAGGATTCTCCCACAATATAAGGACCCCTTCCAAAGGCAAAGTGGTGAGACCCACACCCTTCAGCAGCCTTGCCTGCTGAAACCTACTGGTCCACCAACAGGCCCAGGGGCCAGGGAGGGTCTGGTACCAGAAAGCACACCACCTAGGAGCCCTGTTCCCTTGGTCACAGGGTCCTCTGGACAGTGTGTCTGCCTGGCCACAGAATGCCTCAAGGGCAGGACTCCTGCTCAAGTATTCACATGTGCATTCCCCACAGTGCCTAGTATAGTGCCTGGCACATAACAGGTGCTCAGCCAATGCGGAAGGAATGAATGAGTGAATGAAATGAAATAATGATGCTGGAGGGGCAGGGCCTCAGCCATGTGATTAGTGGACATCTACTGTTCTAAACAAATAGTAAATCCTGGAGCTGTTGCCTCTTCCTGAGCTGTTGGGAGTACATCCCTTAAAGTCCAGGCCTCCAGCAGCCATGGAGCTTGGAGCTTGGAGCTTGGAACCTCAGGGTTCCCAACAGGAAGAGGACGTCTCCACCACCTTCCCCATGGTTCTGCCTCCCCCGGGAGGGAGTTGCTTAGTCTGCCTCCAGGCCGGCGGTCAATCCTGCATCCAGCCTCCACCAGCACCCCTGACACCTCAGAGCAGCTCCAAGGAGCTGCCGAGGTGGTATGTGACGCTGCCATCTGACTATTGAGATAAAAGGGAATGACTCTGAAGGCCTGTGTGTCATGGATTGGGTCTGGGCGTCTGCTGTAGAACCACACCAGGCCTGGGCTGGGCAGGAACCAGCGGCAGCCCCTTACCATCTCTGCTGTTCTCCAGGGGCGGCTCCGGTTCCCGGCTGCAGGGGCCCCTCTCCACCCTACCCTCGTGGACGGCTCCCCCGTAGGGCTCCTGCAGCCCCCGAGGTGCGCTGTTGTTGCAGTTGTTGGTGGACAGGGCCAGCAGTGGGTGCCTGACCTGAGGGCGGCTGGGCTGGGTCTGTGATGGGGGCAGCTCACAGGTCCTGAGAACCGCGCTTCTTGAAGGAGGCCGAGGGATACCCACAGGCTCTGTCTGGTCACCCAGCCTGAGCAGTCCAGCCAGGGCTGCCTTCCTGTGAGACACTGGCGAGGTGGTTTTCCTCGAAGGGGGAGGGGTTGGCGCCCAGCCTTCAGGACACAAGGAAGCTGTTGGCTGCCAGGCTTGGTGTGGGGCAGAAGGCTCTGCATGGCTCTGTTGCAGGGAGGAAGGAGAGACAATTTCCAGGGACTCGTGGCTTTCTGTAACCTGGGCCTGGCCTCCTGGCCCCGATGATTCAGGCGTCATGGGGGCGGTGGTGGCATAGGCTGTCCTGCATGGAGTCCGGGAATCCAAAGGGTGAGGCTGGTGACTTCCCAGCCCTGGTCCAGGCTGCCACTGGGGTCCCAGGGACACCCGCTTCAACTCCAGGTCAGGAGGCTTGGCATCTTCTCTCAAAAATAGAGTTCCTTCAGGCGTGTGTCCTCTGCCCTCTTTCACCTCATTTTCCACCTCCACATCATCAGCCCTAGGCAGGTGTTGCTGGGCCTGAAGGCCCCAAGGGAGCTCCGCCTCAGCCTTCTTGGACCACCTGTGGCCTCGAGGCCTGGAGCCCCGCAGTCGCAGTCGCGGGCTGCTGCCTTGGGTCCGCCCACACGCCCAGCCAGCCTGAGAGGTCCCCGCCTCCTCACTGTCGGTCCTGCAGTTGTCAGAGTTGTCTGTGCTGTCCAGGGCAGAGTCCACCTCCGCAGGGCACACGGTGTCTCCGATGTGTGTTTCCCGGATCCATTCCATGTGGAGCCGGGGCTCTGCAGGAAGGAGCCGGAGTGGGGAGCTCAGGCCACCCAGCACCCTCTCCATCCCACAGGCAGCCTGGAGCTCCTGGAGGGTCCTGGGGACGGGGGGCGCCTTCCCCTGGGCGGGGCGCGGGTCGTCGATGCAGCTGCCGCAGGCCTGGCACCTCCTCTCGCTGCCCGGTGCCGGCGGTGCCGGGTGTCCCCTGCGGTCCAGGCTGCCCACAAGCCTGTGGAATGTCCCCTGCCCCGCGTCCCGGAGCCGGGGAGCCCCGTTGATGTAGTCGGCGAGGTCGGGCTTGGAGCGCAGGGGGCCCTGGTCCGCGGCCTGCAACACGGTGCTCAGCACCTGGCGCTGGCGCTGCTGCAGCCGCTCCAGGTGACGGAACTCGGCTTCGCGGGCGGACTCATCCTCAAAGCGCACGTGCGACGGCGAGGGGCCCCGCCTCGGCCTGTGCCCACCGCTGGACTCTCCGCTGGAGGAATCGCTCGTGTGCCCGTTCTGGAGGCTGTCTCTGCAGGCAGGGGTCGTCCTGGGGTCCCGGGCTGGGCTTCTGTGGCCATCTCTGATGAAGAGACAGGAGGAGAGAGGTCAAGGGCAGAAACCTGGGGAGGTATGGACACGCATCGGCCCTACCCTCTCCACCCTGGGCTACAGTCTCCCACCGTGCTCTGTGGCAACCGCAACCCACAAGGTTACTCCAGAGAGGATTTCTGGGGGCGTCTCGGCAAACCAGAGTAGCTTGCCAGCCCATTCTGATCCTGAGACAGCGCTAAACAAAACCAAGGCCACCTTCCGTGCTTTTGGCTTTCCCTCTCTTGCATGGCTCAGCCTGAGTTAAGATGAAACACTATTGAATGGGAAGATGCTGAAGTCCTCACAAGTGTGTGTTGCTGGGGTGGTGCGGCGTCTGTGTGTGTGTGTCTGTTAGGGAGAGGAAGTGAGCCTGACCACCATGTATTTTTGGTAGTGATTGTGGAAATATGTATTTGCTGTAATGCTGTCACGGGAACAGGATATTTTAAGTTTCCACTTAAAGGAGAGGCTGTGTGAGAACTGAAGTCAGAGATTCTTTTTTTTGTTTGTTTTAGTGGCAGGATCTCTCTATGATGCCCAGGCTGGAGTGCAGTGACATGATCTCGGTTCACTACAGCCTCGATCTCTGGGGCTCAAGTGATCCTCCCACCTCAGCTTCCCAAGTAGCTGGGACCACAGGTGTGCTTCACCATATCTGGCTTATTTTGGTTATTTTTTGTATAGATGAGGTCTCACTATGTTGGCCAGGCTGGTCTCAAACTCCTGGGCGCAAGTGATCCTCCCACCTCGGCCTCCCAAAGTTCTGGTATTACAGGTGTGCACCACTGCGCCCAGCCTGAAGTCAGGGTTTCTTTTTCTTTTCTTTTCTTTTCTTTTTTTTTTTTTTTTTTGAGACGGAGTTTTACTCTTGTTGTCCAGGCTGGAGTGCAATGGCGTGATCTCAGGACCGCAACCTCCGCCTCCCAGGTTCAAGCGATTCTCCTGCCTCAGCCTCCCGAGTAGCTGGGATTATAGGCATGCGCCACCACGCCCGACTAATTTTGTATTTTTAGTAGAGACGGGGTTTCTCCATGTTGGTCAGGCTGGTCTTGAACTCCCGACCTCAGGTGATCTGCCTGCCTCGACCTCCCAAAGTGCTGGGATTACAGGCGTGAGCCACCGCACCCGGCCTTAAAGTCAGGGTTTCTAAGCAATTGCTCCCGAAGTTTCCACACAGGGTTCCACATCACCTTGCTTATGCATAATTCAGACAAGGCAACAGTGATGTTTCTCCTTGGCCCCTGAGTCTTGACTGTTCCAACCCCCACTCCAGGCACTGTCCCTCCCCAGCCCTCACACACACTCTCGTCCTGCTTTTGCTGGGGATGGCACTGCTGTGCTGGGGAGTCTGTCCATCTGTCATCCACTTTGGCTCTGGGAGACACTGTGGCGAATAGTCAAGTCCTGCTCAGTTCCGGAAGACACCTGTACACATCTCACACCAGGGCCACCTGGAGCCAGGTAACCCGAGTTTCAGGCCACTATGCAAATGGACCCAGGTCCACAGGCCGTTTTCTATCAGAAGGCACCCAAGAAAGGACCATAGTTCTCCCTTTCTTTTCCTGGTAGTGGCCTCCCCACCAATCCACTGCTAAGTGTTGGGATTCCATCTCTTGTTTCTTTCATTTATCACTTCTTTATCACTCACACTGGACCCCTGCAGTGGCCTCTTATCCAGCCTCTCCACTGCCTCCTGTCTGTAGGTCCAACTGATGCACAGCCTTTATCACACCAACCCAGAAGAGGGCACAGGGTCAAGTGCATACACTTTGGAGGGAAAATGCAGGCTCCCCACATTCCTTCCTGCTTCCTCTTACACTCCCAGGCCTTCAGGGCCTCCAGGCCTCCTTCCCTGACCTCATGCAACCCTCCTGCCTCATTTCCTGGATCTTTCTTCTTAGCCTAGTAGCATTTGACTTCTATTTATTAGATGCTGAATGCTCACTGGAATGCAAAAGGCAATGGACAATGGGGGCTCCACACCTGCTCCTACCCCTGACTCCAGTCATTTCCCCCCATAAGCACTGCTCCAGAACGAAATTTTTTTTAAAAAGAACTCCTGCTGGCCAGGCGCAGTGGCTCACGCCTGTGATCCTAGCACTTTGAAGGCCAAGGTGGTCGGATTGCCTGAGCTCAGGAGTTGAAGACCAGCCTGGGCAACACGATGAAACCCTGTCTCTACTAAAAATAGAAAAAATTAGCCGGGAGTGGTGATGCGTGCCTGTAGTCCCAGCTACTTGGGAGGCTGAGGCATGAGAATTGCTTGAACCCAGGAGGCAGAGGTTGTGGTGAGCCAAGATCGTGCTGCTACACTCCATACTGAGTGCTGCTACACTCCATACAGAGCAAGACCCTGTCTCGAAAAAAACAAACAAACAAAAACAAAACCAAAAAAAACATACACAAACTCCTCCTAAGCAAGTAGATCTGCCTGCTTTGAGATTTCAGCAGATCCTGTGCTTAAAAAGGCTGCTCTGGGGAACACTGAAGAGGTGTCGGTCAGCCTGTTTTCTGGAACTCACATTCAGCCAGGGCTACTCATTCATCAGGCACAACAGCCGCTATGCCAAGGACGCACAATATGGACAGGGGCCCAGGAAAATGTTGTAATTTCTTTTAAAATCAGAAGAAAATAAACTTTTGGGTCAAAGAAAAGATTTTAATGTAGAATGACATATTTATCTTTCAACCAGCATGGTCATGAAATATATATTTTTTAATTTTTTTTTATGGAGAAAGAGGCCCACGAAGGCAAAAGTGCCTAGGGCCCCCGAAAGTCATATTGCAGCCCTGCTTTCAGAGAGGGATTTGTAGCCGAGAGATGTAGGCTACTGAGCAGGACACCCCGCTGCTGAAGACGGTGCAGGATCTCACTACTCATCTCAATATGGTCGTCGGGAGGCCCCTCTGATATTAATAACTATGGTGGTGATGATTTTCTTTTGGGGATTGTAAAGCACTGGGACTCTGAGCCCCAGAGAACCCACACGAGGATTCTGGGCCCTACCTGTACTTGTATCTAGGTCAGCTGTGGGGTCCCTGTTCCTGTGGAGCTCATGGTGAGCTCTTCAGAAGCATGCTTCCCTCCCCATAGCCCCCAAAAAGAAGACTCCATCCGGAGAAACAGCCTAGCCCACTGCACAGAAAGGACGCCCTCCCAGCCCAGCCGACCCAATGCAGGCAAAGGCCCACAGGGAGATTCTGCACACAGCTTCACACAACGACCCCTCCACAGGCCCCAAAAGCTAGTGCCCTGTCCGCTGGCAGGATGTGGGCTGTAATTTCTAGGGAGGAAAAGAGCCTAGCTTTAAAGGCAGTGCGGTCCTAATCTAACAAGGGAGCCCAGGTCCCATGAGCCACATCAGTGGTCTTAACTTTCACACACAGGGTGGTGAATTGAGCAATCCTGGAATTCACTGCAGAGGCAGACATTTTTGTTCTAAAAAGAGAAATTGAGGAGCGCTTAATCACATAAGGTGCTTTCAGCCCAATTATTCAAACCCAGAAAGCCCCACTAGCAGTGTCAGCAACTGTGCATAAAGGCAGGATGAAGATTTTGGAGACAAGTGCAGGACGAATGAGGCAGCTAAGCGTTGAGCAAATCCCACACCTGCCAAGTTCTCAAGGTGATGCTCCACAGAAGCTCCAGTAGTCACTCCTCTAGGGGAGGATCCCGCTGCAGTCCTGGAGACATATGGCTTCACAGGGACCCCTTTCCAGAGTCCCACTTTCCATAGCATTGCTCCCCTAACCACACAATCAATGTGATGTACACAAGCTCTGCAGTCTCAACACAGCCACTCTCTCTGACCCAGGACAGTACCACTTACAGTGTCACCCTCCCAGCCCTGCCTCTTGCTGACATGTCCTGTCCTCCTGCCATCAGTAACACCAATCTAGGCATGTCTATCCCCAAAATGGCAAAATCTTGTGCTTCCAGGAGCTGCTCCATTTCTGTATTAATTTGTTTCCAGAAAAATGCAGCTGCTGCTACCTCTTCACCTCCTGGAGTCCCTGTCTGTTCAGGCTTGCCCCAGCTGCCTCTAGCCAGACCTAGGATAAAGAAGGCCCTCTGAGACTGCTCTGCCTGCCCCTCCTCTTCCATCACCTTTCACCAAGCTGCTCTTTAGAAGTGATGCATCTGGGCTGGGGATGGGGCCTCCTGCATCTAACTGAGGCCTGGGGCCTGTGTGCCATTGCCATGTTAACTCAGCATGGCCCTCCAGGGTGATTTGACGGAGCGTAACCTTTAGAAGCATCTGCAGCAAGCCATCTGGCGTTGATTTTTCAGCTATACCCTCTGAGGATTCGCCAGCGCTGCCAAGTCACAGTAATTCTTTTCTGGACACAGCAGCTGCTAAAGTGGGTCACCTTGCAATTCTATAGCATTTCTATGGCCTGGAGACAGCCTGCAAAAGGGAGCCTACGTTAAAGTTAGTGATTGGGGTTGTTGTGAGCTGCTAGAGTGACATGAGGAAGAAGTGTCCAAGAGGACCTTTACACAATGCAATCTGTTTTGCAGATAGTCTTGACTATTTTGAGGCTATCCGACCTAACCTAAATGCCTCTACAAAGTAGAACAGGAGAGTTGCTTGGAAGTCTAAGATTTCTCACCATATATTTATATACGTGAAGAAGAATAGTTAGGATGCCCTGAAGAAGTCATGCCCATTCCTTTTTTTTTTGAGATGGAGTTTTGCTCTGTCGCCCAGGCTGGAGTGCAGTGGTGTGATCTCGGCTCGCTGCAACCTCCGCCTCCCGGGTTCAAGTGATTCTCCTGCCTCAGCCTCCCAAGTAGCTGGGACTACAGGTGCCCGCCACCACGCCCAGCTAATTTTTTGTATCTTTAGTAGAGACGGGGTTTCACCATGTTAGCCAGGATGGTCTTGATCTCCTGACCTCATTATCCGCCCGCCTCAGCCTCCCAAAGTGGTGGGATTACAGGCGTGAGCCACGGTGCCCAGCCCACCATGCCCATTCCTAACAAGTGCCCTCCATCTAGAGAGAGAGGCAAGGCCCAAAATGTGGAAATACAAGGGCAGTCTGTTTGGCACCCCTTGCCAGGATTTATGGTCTTCTGAGCCCCTCTCCTAAGGGTCACAATGACCTCTGCTCATGAAGGAGTCGTCTCAGTGGTTCCATGAAGGTCCTTAGCCTTTAATGAGCAGTTCGGCACCCTCCATCAAAGAGCATGTGGTCCAGTTCCACCAAGATCCCTGTTCCCTAAGAACCCCTGCTCCCTCCACTGCCACGTGGTGATTCAAACAGGCTGATGCAGCAGGCCCACCATGCCAGTGAAGCCACAGGCTTTGCTAGCTGCAGAAGTGGTCTTGCTTGGGCCTGGTGAGACCTGGCATAGCCTGGTGGCCTCATCTCAGGCCCAGGTGCATGACTGGAAGACAGCTCTGTGTGGTGGTGAAGTCCACATGTAAGTGATTCTTCAAAGTGCACCATCGGCGGAACAGGCAGGAAGATGGGGATGCAGTGTGTTGCTCAGGGGGCAGTCATGTGTGTGATGTGCTGGTCTGAATGTCCTTGACCTTGTTGTTTTCCTACCTTACCACGGCTGTAGCATTATGAAATCAGGGATGACATCCAAATCTTCAGTTCTGATCTCTCCTCCTCTAAAGATCCTGTATCCAACTGCCTGGTGGGCATTTCCAGTGGATGTTCTGGGACCACCTCCCCCTCCAATGCCTGACCCTGCACTGAGGCCTCACCCCTCGGCTGAGGCCCCACCAAACACACAGACACCGAGTCAGAACCCTGGGCTCATTCCAGATGCCTCCCTTCTCACACCTCCCACACCCCTGCAACAAAATAAGGAGTCATTAGAGCTCACAGTCCTGCAGCACTCACTGCATGGCGGGCGCTGTTCTAAACTTGACACGTATTAGCTCACATAGCTCCACAGCAACCCTGTAAGACAGGCACTGTTACAGTTCCCATTTTGTGGGTGAGGAAACTGAGGCACACAGACTTCTGCAGAGGCACCCAGCTAAGTGCCAGAACCAGAAGTCAAGCCCGCATGGTCTGGCTGTAGGTGTTGCGCTCCTCTGTCGCCTCACTAAGCCTGCTTGCCAGTGCCTATCTTGCACTGCTTGCCAGTGCATATCTATACTTCCGTCAAGCCTCAGCTAAGAAGTCACCTTCTCTCAAGAGCCTCACCTGTCCTTTCCAGGTGGAGTTAACAGTTTCCAGTTCAGCACACACACTTTTCCTCTCTCACACCACAGTCCACATAATTGAATATCTGTTTGCTTCTCTCCCTGGAGACTGTGACCTCCATCCCCCCAGGGATCCAGATCATGTTTCATTCATCTTTGTATCTCAGTGCCTGACTGTAGGCCCTCAGGAAAGGTGTGTTGACTGACTAAATAATCAAAGCAAGAGCCTTATATGGAAAACACACAGACACACACACACATGGAGCGAGCAGCAGCAGCATTTGGCTAGATCCCACTTCTTCCCACTGCTGACTCTTCCCTGCTATGGCCCTCCCAGGCTAGCCTGGCCCAGGTCCCACTCACCGGCTGCCCTGGGTAATGGTGGGCACGATGTCATGGCTGGCACGGAGGGGCCGGGTCCTGGCCTTCATGCGGGCACGCTGCAGCAGATGCGTGGCTTCCTCATGCCTGGGGCTCAGCACAGGCTCCGGGTTGGGACCAACGGTCCTGCAGCGTGGCACACAGGCCAGGGTGGTGGGGGAGGGATTAGAGGAAAATAACGCAGATTAGGAGGGCTTTAGCAGTGTCAAGCACTGGCTGTGCCAGAAAAAGCCCTGCATGTGCAGCCTTCCTCCTCTAGCACCCACGCACAGGGAACCCAGCCTGGGGGCCTGGGGCCTGGGGCCTGGGGCTGGGAAATGGCCCTGCGTGGCTCTGGATGGGGGCTGGGGAGCTGGCCCGGCCTTGGACATCTGCTCAGGCACTGGAGGCAGAGACCTCAAGAGGATCTAGAAAGGGTAGGAGAGTCTCCAGATTATTCTATTGTTCCTTCCCCAGGCAGACAGCAGGAGCTATCTGGGAGGAGGAGGGAGAAAGGGCCCGGGGTTGTTGGGCTGGGCCTGTGCCCAGACAGATGGTCTCTCCACGCATCACCTCTCTCTCCTTCTGTCTCTCTGCACCCACACACAGCACCACACTAGTACCCACTGCAGATGCAAAGAATCAGGGCTCTGTCCAGCATAGATTGGGCCCTTTGGGGGAATGGCATTTTTATAAATCCTGGTGTTTTCTTGCCTTAGTCCCAATCCAAAACCATCAGGCACCAGCTCAGGGCTCACAGGCTCAGGGCTGAGAGAAATTAAGCTGGACCCAAACCAAGCCAGCAAGTGGTTCGACTTTCATAATAATAAGGGTCCTCCACCAGCCCCCACCCCCTACCAGATGTGCTGCCTCCCTGGCCAGTCCAGAGTGGCAGAAAATGACAGCAGTCCGTTTTCAAAGCTGTCTCTCAGCCAGTGACATACAGCCCGCGCTGGGTTACAGCTATAACAGCAACCCACAATCTCCCACTGACAAGACGTTGTTCTCCACGGAGCTTGCTCTCCCCAGCCAGGCTGGCCGAGGGCAGGTGTTCTCTCCACTTGACAGATGAGGGTGTCCAGAGCAGAGAAGAACGCTGGCACATTGTTCAAGGTCGAACGTCAATTGCAAGCGGAGCAGAGCACACGACAGCCAGCCCACTGTCTCCAGCATCGTTCCGCACCCTCTGTCCTCTCCTGCCTTGGGTCTCAGGGCAGGCAGAGGATGTTTGTGGCTGGGGGCAGATGCGCTCTTTGGGGTAACTTCATCATCCCCACTGGCTGCCCCTGTCCTCGCCGTCACATATGCTGGGCTGTCCTCAACAGTGAGGGTCCACAGGGCTCCAGCAGGTCCTGATCTCAGACCTGCAGCCCCTCACCATGGTCCTGACTGGGGGAAGGGACCAGGCAGTTTCCTGGGTGACAGAGATGTGAGTGGAAATGGCACAGCTCTGAGGCCTCCAAGGAAGGCTTCCTTGGACATCCTTGGACAAACTCTGGGCAGACTATGATTTCTTTTCTTGTTTCCTTTTCTTTTTCTTCTCACTATTTGCATCCAACCCTGTTTTGGGGCTGCTGGGGAGCAGGAGGAGACTGCTAGAAGAAAGGCACCATCTGTGCCTGTGAACCCTGGCAGGGCCCAGGCATGGCTTTGGAACAAGGAGGGCTTTACTGGAGTGATGGGAAAGCGAATCTCCAGGCCCGCTGCCCCGTGAAGCCTCCTTTGGCAGGAGAGGCCTCCCTCTGCACAGCTTCCCCAGCAGACAGCTCCTCCAAGGCGGCTGAGAGCAGCTGTGCTCCCTGGGGCTCCTGCCCTGACAGCAGAGATAATGAGGTTACCAGCCCGGAGAGGCGCCCCTGCAGCCGTGGGCCTCTGGCTGCCAGCCCGCACACTCGGAGCCTTCCGGTGACAGCTGTGGTTCCACGGCTGTCAGAGGGCATTTGTCACAAGACCTGGTGGGCAGGCAGGAGGGCCCCCAGGCAACTGGCCAGATGCTGCCAGGATCAGCCTTGCCCCCAGGTTTTAAAGCCATTTTCCAGCTTTGCTATTTCCTTTCTGCTCCCTCCTCTTGGAGCTGTTACTTTTTTTTTTTTTTTTTTTTTCTCATCAGCTGTCTTGCTTCAGTTCCTGGCAGACAAAGCTGGTTCTCCACTGATTAGAAAAGCAGGGCTTTTTAGGCGCCTAGAGGCATCCATGCAGTACCACACTGAGCATGGAGGAGTGGCAGTCACCTTCACAGACTGCAGCCAAGGTCAACGTGCACCCTGGTGAAGCGAGGGCCTGACCAGCCCTGTGGAGGGAAGGTGGTCTTTCTCTGAGGCAGGGAACAAGCAGGCAAAATGGGGTGGGTGCTGAGTCTGTCCCATCTCACTGCCCACCTCCCAGCTCCCAGAGTTGCTCTGGAAAATTCCTAGAAGGGTTGGGGTGGTCAGTGCCATGGCCAGGCAGAGGCAATTCCTGCCTAAGAAGAGACGGCTTTTTGCCACTGTCTTGAAAGTCTGCACTTCTGGAGCTCATTAGCTCAGAGGGTGGAGCATAGGAATAAAGTGGCTGAGTGCTTTTCCTCCCTGGGCCTCAGTTTCCCCATCTGCAAGCAGTGGGGGCTGGAGAGGGGAGAGGACTCACAGTGCTACCCTGTGAGCCCAGATCTTTGGCCACATAGTCTGATATGCCATAAGGTGGGGTGTGGGATTTCGAGGTCCCCCCTTGGGGGAGTTCCCACCACAGATGTTTGGCCCTGACCGAGTGGCAGAGCCTATAAAGAGCTCATTGTTGGGGAAAACTAGAGTTCCACTAGAGTATGCTGGCCCTTCCCCCACCCCTCCAGCCACCTGTGTCCTCGACTGGTTCACAAGGACAAAGGGCAGCGTGTGGTCCCCTCCTGCTCTGGGCACTCCCGTCTCGGCCAGTTTCCTGGTGGAGGGACAGGCTTAGCTAAGGCTTTGCTCTCCCTCCAGCCAGCTGGGGCAGGAGAACCACCATTGCTCTCCTAGCCAAGGAGGTCAAGGGGACAGAGTGGCCTTCTTCTGCAGCCATCATAATCCTGGATTAAAATAATAAGCTCAGCGAGTCTGTGTTTAACCCTTTCAACTCAGGTACATGGATGGGGAAATAACTGGGAATGTAGAGGGATCTGCCGCTTCCCAGATTCCAGGATGCACCCAGTAGAGGGAGAATATGGAGTGTACAGAACATAGAGAAACTTTTCTGCTTAGCATTTGTTCCATGTTTGCGTATTTGAAAGCTTTCTGATGACCACGGATAGAGCTCTCCTACTGTGATTCTGTGTGCAATTTTCTGAATGAGGGGAAGTGGAAAAGGTGCACCTGGAACTGATTCTGGGTCATGTGCTCCATGAGGGCAGGGACCTAGTCTCAGACTGTCATGCTTGCTTGCACAGGTCCCTTCTTCCCAGGTCTGCAGGACATGGACAGGACACAGCCTAGAGTGGCGGGGAAGTGTGTGGCTTGGGGGCAGCCTGCCTGGGGTTCTAATCCCTGGACAGCCACTTCCTAGCTGTGTCACCCTGGCAGGTTACTTAGGAGTTGAGCCTCAGTTTCCCTATCTGCTAAATAAGGGCTCAGTTGTTAAGATAAGTGAGAGTGACTCCTTTAAAAGAGATTAGCACAGAGCTGGGCACTTGGTAAGAGTCCACAAATGTTAGCATTTATTATTATTATTATTATTATTTTATCATTAGCACCATTGTTTTGTTAAATTACTCTCACCCCCTTACTAAGCAAAGGATGGAATCCCCGAATATGTACTAAAGTCACCTGTGATGAGATCACTTTGTCGTCAGCAAGGGGAAGGCATGTTTGAAATGACAAACACCATCTTGTAGCTGGAGGGGACCTGGTGGCTTTGCTCTGGACTTTGAAAAGCCCTTGACAGGGCTCCATAGAAAAGGTGGCTTCCATAGGATAGAAAACAGGAGGTGGCCAATTGGTCATGGAGGAAAGCTGACTCCCAGACAGTCAATAGGCCCTCCTGTCAATGGAGAAGGAGGAGTGGGAGTCCTTAGGAATGGCAGCTGGGAGAACCCACCTCCTTCAACACCTTCAAAAGGATCTGTGTGGAGGCCTGCAGTGCACGCCTAAGATGCTGACTTCTGAGGAGAGCAGAGCCACCCTGCCCCTGCCTTCCTGAAGATGAACAGATTCCCTGCTGAGCCCCAGAAGGAGGCTTTGGGCTGCCCCTTTGGTGAGAACCTCTTGGCCTCAGGTGTGGGACCTGGGTGGCCACAGAGGAGGCAGGTGTCCGAGATGCCCTCCGATGGGGGACCAGTGGCCTGTTCAACTCTGGCAGGCAGAGGAGAGGGCTTCCTTTCCTAGAATTTCAGACTGGCTCCCACCAGATGAATTGCCTTGGGTAAATTGACTTTCTCAAGCTCCTTGATTGGTAAAGATTGGGACCATCATGAGATTTTCATGTGTGGTGTGTATATGGGCATGGCAATGACGCAGCATGGGACAGGGTATCTGGAGGATCCAGGTGGCACTGGGTTTGTGATAGGGCTTCCTTCTCCACCCAGGGTGAGACACTGGGAGCGTGTTAAGTATCCTAAAACACTGTTGAGTGGTTACATTTAATTTTTTCTTTTGCTTTAGTCTCGGTGGGGCTGGGAGTGGTAAGGGGGCTTTCCTTTGTGCGTGTATATCAGTGGGGCAGGATGGGAGCTGGGGGTTGGTAAGGACAGGCAGGGGCTCAGGCATTCTTCCGTTCTTGGTTACACCCGTGCCCTGGGGTGTTCTCAGCCACCTCTACAGCCCTGGGCATGCTGGGGTGGTGCTGGGATGGTGGGAGTGTCTCTTCTCCCGCACTCAGCCGGGACTCCCCATGCCTCCTTGCTGAGCCCTTACTCACACTCTTTACGACGTGCCTCTGCCAGACATTTCTGAGAGCCTTTCCCTGCACACACTTGCAGGCACTGGGGCCCGGAGACAAGAACAGCACAGTTCTTGCCCCAGGAGCTCAGGGAGGAGATACACCAGTGCCAGCTATGGCTGCAGCCGGTGCAGGGCACAATAAGAGCAAAAGTGGCCAGTTCCATGTGAAATTGCACTGGATCACACCCAGTGGCCAGCTCGCAGGGGAGCTCTGTGCTTCTGTGATCTAATAAATACGGATTTGGTCCCCACTCCTGGCACCTGGCACACAGCTCCTAAACCCTTGGAATCTCAGGAATGAGCAGAGTGTCTTTTGTATGGTAATGAGACGGCTGGTGGCTGAGAGTCCCTAGATAGCTTCAGGATGTGGGCTGGTCACCAGAAACACCAATCATTTTGAGGGTTGGAACATTAAGCCCCACCTCCTAACCTCCGTCAGGGGAGAGGGGCTGAAGTTTGAGCTGACTCGCAGTGGCCAATGATGTAATCAATCATGCCTACATAATGAGGCCTCCACAAACACCCAAAGGACTGGCAGGACAGCTTCAGGACAGCTGGGCTTGTGAAGGTTTCTGGGGGGTGGTGCCCCATCTCCCATACCTTGCCCCATGCCTCTCCTCACATGGCTGTTCGTGTCTTTTATAACATTCTTCATAAGAAATGGGTAAATGCAAGTAAAGTGTTTCCTTGCGTTCTGTGAGCCGTCCTATAAAATTAAACCCAAGGAAGGAACAGTGGGAACCCCGATTTATAGCTGGTTGGTCCGAAGTGCAGGTCACAACCTGGGACTTGCAATTGGCATCTGAAGTGGGCGCAGTCTTGTGGAACTGAGCCCTCAACCTGTGGGGCCCGATCCTATCTGCAGGTAGACAGTGTCAGAACTGAGTGGAATCACAGGGCAGCCAGCTGGGGTCTGCCAGAGAATTGCTTGGCGGGTGGGAAACATCTGCACACGCTCTGGTGGCTTGAGGTGAAGTGCTCTGTGCTGTGTTGAGTGTGTGAAAGTAGGAAAAACATTTTGGTTTTTTCCTATCTCAGTTTCCAAAAATGCTAATTAACATATTAAGCTTTAAAAGCCTGAGATTTTTCTCACAGCTGAGGGCCTGACCACTTGAACCACAGGCCAAGCCCCTGAAATTCTTTAGGGCTGCCTGTCTTTAACTTAGAGTCTAGAAACTGCTTGAGGGGAGGGAGTTTTTACCCCCCAAGGAATCCCAGCAGGGGCCTGAAGATCGGGACCCGCCCTCCCCTTCCCCTCGCCTGTGTGAAGTGTTTTGGTCCTCGATCACTCACAGGGATTTCCTGAAGGGTGTGTACACCAGGGACTGGGCTTGTGGATCCCCACAGGGGCACGACTCCATCACAGCGATGAGGGGAAAATAAACAACCTAGGATGTTCCCTGCGCTTCCCTCATCACTACAGCACACATAAAACAAAACCGAGACCTTCTCTGCTCCCTTCTCCCTGTAACTAAAGCCCCTGCAGACACACTCAGCACCTGGGGCCTCCCAAATCACACATACAGAGAAGGTCCTGATTTGCACCAGGGTGTGCCTGGGCCATGCAGAAGCACCGCCTCTATGGAGACGGCCGAGGAGGCCGAGGGCCTCGGGCTGGCCGCCCTGGCGCGGGCTCCTGAGCCTCCGAAGTGGATTTGGTGTGGGGTCTGGAGCCAGCGTTGCCCTGATTGCTGTGCTCCTCACTGTCACACCCTTTCACTTGCGCTAGGTTACCGGGATCCTAAGGCAATCTGCGTTCCCAGTATGTCTCTCAGAGGCTCAAGGAAGGGAAGGGGCCAGAGCTGGTACAGAGAGAGCCTGAGCGCGGCCCCCTATTTCAATGTCCTCCCACTTCTCTCTTATGAGTCCTTCCAGGCACAGATCCCTTTTGCCCTCTGTGAGGCCCAACGTCTCACCTCATCCTCTCCCCCAAAATCCAAACCCCATTTCCTGAATCATCCTAATAGTGACCTAGGAGAAAAATAAGCGTATCCCATGGAGTCCATCACCTGCCCTTCTTTGCCCACACCTGAGAACAGAGCAGGCTGGGAGGGGAAGGAGACCCCCAGATCCCTAGCCCAAGGGGTGGCCTGTGGGGGCAGGGACAGGGTGGCTTGTGGCAGTGCTGCACGATGGCAAGAGCGCAGCCCTTGGGGCCGGCAGCCCTGAGTGCAAAACCTGGCTCCAATACTTGGCAGCTAGAGGACCTGGGCAAGTCCCTTAACTCCCCCCGCCACAGAGGTCTCTCTCTCAGTGAAACAGGAACAATAAATACTGTCAGGCCTCTGAGCCCAAGCTAAGCCATCGTATCCCCTGTGACCTGCACCTTTATGTCCAGTTGGCCTGAAGCAAGTGAAGAATCACAAAAGAAGTGAAAATGGCCGGTTCCTATCTTACCTGATGACATTACCTTGTGAAATTCCTTCTTCTGGCTCAAAATCTCCTCCACTGAGCACCTTGTGACCCCCCGCCCCTGCCCGTAAGAGAAAAACCCCCTTCGATTGTAATTTTCCTCTACCCACCCAAATCCTATAAAACGGCCCCACCCCTATCTCCCTTCACTGACTCTCTTTTTGGACTCAGCCCTTCTGCACCCAGGTGAAATAAACAGACTTGTTGCTCACACAAAGCCTGTTTGGTGGTCTTTTCACACGGACGTGCGTGAAAAATACAATTTGTTATTAGGATAAAATGGGAAAGAAGGAACAGCACTTAGCATAGCTCTTGCCACATAATAAGAGCTCAAAAATGGCAGCTGCTGGCATGGGCTTTTGCCTACCACTAGGAGGCTCCAGTCCTCTGCAACTGAGCCTTCTCTTGCCCCTCATTAAGTGGGGGACAACCCTGGGGTTGGGGGCCGGGGGTCTCCTCCGCATCTGACCCTTAGCCTTTAAGGTCCTGGGTCGTTGCCTCCCAGGCTGACTCCTGGTGACTGCCCCACACAAGCCAGGCCAGCCCCAGCCCGCCCCCAGCCCGCCCCCAGCCTGCCTGCTGTGTTGAGCTCTGCTGTCACCATCATGTCATGAGCTACTCGTCCCATTGCCTGCAGAGCAGTAACCATTACGGACACCATCAGATGCATGCTAGGTTAACTTGGTTGTAATGGTTATTTGATTGCAACACTTGACTGAATGTGAAGCAGCACCTTAAACCCTCAGAAGATCCAAGGGGCTCATGACCTCATGAGTGAGGTCCTGCGCTTTCCTCCTGCCAGAGCACGTCCTGACTGATGTCCTGGGGCCCCCTTCGGGGTGGCCATCAAATGGTCTGCCACAGCCTCAGCATTCTCTCCCCAAAGTCCTAAGCCCCTTAGAACAGACACTAAGCCCCAGGACCCTGGCTTCGAGTGGCACTCCCGGGGCATAGAGCCGAGGGAAGCATGCCTTACTCCAGAGGTCTCTTGGGAAGTTCATTGATACAGAAGTAACATCAATCACTCCATCCTGCTCCGGGGAGAGAGGGAGCCCTGCAGGGTCTTGGGGACCACCTTTAATGTCTGCCCAGGAGACTCGGGGATAGAGCCAGACAGGGAACCCTATCTGAGGGGCTTCAAGACATGGCCCTATAGCCTGGGCGTCTACTCAGCAGGGACCTCACTGCAGAGCGCCAAGCGAGGCCAGCAGGGTACTTGGAATGACTCCCAAACAATGCGTGTTTCCCCACAACACTCTTTGCCCTGATCGCCAGGCACTCTAAGGGGACATTTTGTTAACAGTCTTTGAACAGAGTCCTAAAACTCACTAAGAGACCTTCTCTCTCTCTCCACACACCCAGGCACACACCATACAGTACACAGGTACGCACACCCTGCCTGAACTCTGAAATGCAGCCCATGGATGCTGGGGGCCTGGCAGGTTAAACAATGGCCCAGAAACCCCAGTCCTGAGGATTCTACACAAATACCATCTCCTCACAGCACTAAGGGAAAGCCCCTCCTTCCCCCATGGTTGAGGTCTCCTCCTTGAAAATGAGGGGGCCTTATTCCTTAGTATCCAACGGGCTGTCAGGAGCTTTGGCTTCTCCTTTCAGCAGTGGCCACTGAGCAGAATCCCCAGTGGCTGCATCTCCCCACTGGGCCCTTCCCTCATCGAGGGAGGAAGTGTGCAGGGGGTGGGGGCAGCTGCAGGCAGAGGCGGCACCACCTCTGCAGAAGAGGGCATCTGCCCCAGCCCTCTCCTCCAGGGCTCCGCACAGAAAGAGGGAAAAAGACAGAAGGCAACTTGAACAGGGCGCAGACAGGGGAGCAGAGCCGGCTGAGGCCCACAGGCCTTTCTGTAGTCACGCTCCTCAACACTGTGGCAGGGCCAGCTGGGGACCAGAGGAGGGTCTGGAAACAGCGGCCAGGGAGGTAGGGGAAGAGATTCCTGGCAGAAGGGGAGGCAACTGTGATTCCAAATCATAAATAGCAAAGGATGAAGGAGCCAGACATCCCCCTCTCCATCAGGCCCTTAGGCAAGCAGAAGCCCAATCACATGAACCTGGGCTGCCCTCGCTTGGTTAAGGCAGGTGCGGGGGTGGAGGACTACGGTGGACTCAGTGTTTGTGTCTCCCCAAGATTCCTAGGTTGAAACCATATCCCCAGTGTGAGGGTGTCAGGAGGTGGAGCTTTGGGAGGTAAGTAGGTCATGGGGCATGGCCCTCATGAATGGGATTAGTGCCCTTCTAAGAGGCCCCAGAGGGCTGCCTTGCCCTTTCCTCCACCTGAGGGCACAGCAAGAAGGCACCATCTATGAATCAACCAAGAGCAGCCCTCACCAGATGCTGAATCTGCTTGTGCCTTGATCCTGGACCTCACAGCCCCCAGAACTGTGAGCAATAAATTTCTGTTAGTAAGCCACCCAGCCTCTATAGGCTTTTTGTTATAGCAGCCCAAATAGACTAAGACAGAGGTCTGTCCACGTTTTCTGGAGGTGGTTCTAACTGAGTGGGATTTGTGCAGGAGCCGCCTTACACCGGAGCAGCAACCGTGTCGACCTCTGCCCTCCGCAGAAACCACAAGGCCTCGCAGGGGCTGACAACACCAGACAGCTGGGGAAACGAGAGCTCCAGGACCTCTCAGCCTTGTGGACCAGGAGCCTCGCAAAGACTGAGGCTGGGTTCAACCTCTGTGCAGGTGCCAGCTGCAGTCAGGCCTGCCGATGGCCCCACTCCCACCTTGAGTGTACTTTTCTCACTCTGCCTGGCTCAGGACACTGCCATGAAGGACAGGCAGCCCCAATTCCCCCGCTACACCTTGGTGGGTCCAGCTTCCCCAAAATATTTGGTGGAGGGGCTGGAGCGAAGGCCGTGGGATAGCATGGTAAGGTTGGAGGTGAAATCTTTGACATGATCCCAGCACAACCTCTTGACTGGGAACGGAATTGGGGTAAGGCTTTGTACATTTTCCCCAGTGATTTTCACAACGATGATCTCACTTCGGCCTCACAATGGTCCTGTGAAGTGAACCAGACAGATGCTATTTCCCCAACTTTAAAGATAAAGAGGCCTGGGCAAGGGAAATGGCTCCATGGACATGGAGCAGGTAGTTAGCAATGCGCTTTGTTCCCTGGTGGTTTTGCTCAAGTAGCAGGGAGGCACCAGCCTGGGGGATGTGGCGGTGGGGGTTACTGGCAATTTCTGCAGGGTCTCAGGGATGATGACGTCCACTGGTCTGCTGGTGCAGGAGTCTGCCTGCCCTCTCACTTTGGGAGGTCTCTTACTGTCCTGATGCTGAGTAAATAGAGGGACCATGGTGAGGAGGGAGGGAGAGAAAATGTGGGCTCTGAGCTCTTACCTGTTCTGGCCGGAGTCCTGCAAGGAGGTGCCCGAGGCCCAGTCCACATCCCCCACTGGTCGCTCTAGGATCCAGAACAGAAGCAGAGATCAGGACAGAGCCAGAAACAGGGCTCTCAGCTGCCACTTAGTGAACACTGAGGAGAAGAGTTTCTCCAGAAGCAACTTACTCCCCAGATAAATCTAACACTTTGCCTGAAAATTGGAGGCTGAGCCTGTCACGATGACTGCTGTGGGCACAGCCATATGCTGAGAGGACCACATGCCTGGGCTCAGGCATGCGGTGATGAATGAGCTTGTGAGATTTTGGAATGAGAAGGCGGGAGGGGAAAGAGGCTGTCCTCTAGGGTTTGGACACTTGTACATCCCATTGGTGCTACCGTCTGAGCTCAGCCCAGCTGCTAGAACGCCCAGCCTCCTTTTAGGAAGGGATTCCTGTCTGCTTGCCCCACCAGAGGGCCCTCACTAAGGGGTGAGGGCATGTCACTTGAGGGAGAGGCAAAAAGCCACTCCGGAAAGGAATCCAAGCCGCAAAGAAGACATCATAGTGGCCTCTAACCCCAAGCACGCAGGGTGGCCTCCTATTGGTCTGCAGGGTCATGGGGGGCTTCGGCAGACAGGCTGCCTGTGAGGCTGCAAAGAATCTGTCACAGCCAAGGACAAGAGGCCATCCTGATGATTTTGATGACAGGCAACTGTCAGGCTCTCCCTCCTTTCCTGCCCCACTCCCTCTGTGGGACCCCCTCGTCCCCTTTTCCTCCCTCTGGATTCCCTCCTGCTCCCCCCACCACCTGGACCTACACAGTGAGCTTCACCTGGTGCAGCTGTGTCCCAGGATGGAGTCCAGGCAGGGGTTCCCACCTTGCGGGGGCTCTGCCCAGAAACGTTGAGCATCTCCTGCAGCAACAGGCGGTTTCTCTCCACCCGATCAGACAGGGACAAGACACTGCTCCCAGCGCCCAGAGCCTCCAGGTCTCCAGCTCTCCAGCGCTCACCCAGCAGGGCCGTCCTGGGGACAAAGACCTCCTCGGAGGTCAGGGATGTGCTATCCAGATCTGCCTCTGTCACCACGCCATCTGGAAAAGGGTAGGACCTTCCTGTCCTTGGGCTGGGAATGTGGATGATTTTGTTACAATGACCAGGACCCCCAGGCCGTCCGGGAGTAACTCCATGGATCGGGCTCTGTTGCAAAGAGCTGGGCCCCAGCAGCGGACCTCTGTCATGGTCAGGAAGTGTCCATTCGGCTTCTGGAGGCCACGGGCTCCCCCTGTTGCAGTACTCACGTCCAGGGGCAGGCGGCCTGGGAAGCCTGGGGCCTCCATCCCTGGCGGGTTGCTCCTCATTGATGCTGCCGTCCAGCTGCCCATCAGGCAGGTTTTGGGTACGAGGAGCCACCACAGCACCTGGCAGGAAAGACCCCTCTGATGGAGTCCCGGCTCTCCCTGCCTTGCCTCGTCTGCATTGGGGTTTCTTGGGGGATGACCACTCTTGGGAAGCAGAGCAGGGACTCACTCCCTGTTTGGCCACTGTCATCTTCTCCTTCAAAGCCCTCACCTTGGATTCCAGCACAGAGGGGCCCTGGAGCTGTACTCCCCATACCCTGGGAGGCTGGGGGGCCATCAGGCTGGATGTTCTGTTTTCCTGAGGGCAAGGCCAGGGTCTTGGGGGGTGTCCGTTATCCAGCTGTGGCTCAGGACCACTCCACTCCACAGCTGAGGTCCCCTCCACGGGGCTGGCTGTTCCACTCCCTGTCTTGGGCCCTCTGGAGGAGAAAACAGACAGAGTTCCTAAGACCCAGCACAGGACTAACCCCCACAACCTCCCGGGGCCCCAAAGTGTCTTGGCGTTGAGTCCTGTCCAGATGAAAGTAACCTGGAGACAGAGCAGGGGATGCTCTCTTGATCAGTGGTCTCCAACCTTTTTGGCACCAGAGGGACTGGTTTCATGAAAGACAGTTTTTCCATGGATCGGGGGCGGGGTGCGGTGGAATGGTTTTGGGATGAAACTGTTCCACTTCACATCATGAGGCATTAGATTCTCATAAGGAGCTTGCACCCTAGCTCCCTCACATGCGCAGTTCACAATAAAATTTGTGCTCCTATGAAAATCTAATGCCACTGCTGGTCTGACAGGAGGCAGAGCTCAGGTGGTAATGCTCACTTGCTCGCTGCCACTCACCTCCTGCTGTGCGGCCTGGTTCCTAACAGGCCACAGACTGCTATGGGCTGTGGACCGCTATTGGTTCGTGGCCCCGGGGGTTGGGGAGCCCTGCTATAGATAACGTGAAAGCACTTTTAAAAAAATGCAAGTCATTGAAGAGTGCAAATAAGTTATTGTTGAATTTTTTCTTCCAAGTCTCAGTAGTGTTCTAGTTTTTCTATCCCCATTTTATAGACGGGCAAAATGAAGCTTCAGAGGACAACTAATCCTATGCCAAATGTGGACCAGAGTGAAAACCAGGGTGATTTCCCAATCCCTGGCCTCTTACTTTGCTGAAGGGTAGCTTCAGTGGAGGATGCCCGCATCTGCTAACAGGCAACATGCTCTTCCCTCTCCAAGGGGAGCCAATGAGGATGATAGACATCAGGAAGACACCAAGCAGGATCTGACCTCCAGTAGAAGGTGCTGCATCCAACCTCACCCCTGACCCCTGATGCACAAGCCACAGGACCACAGCATGGGGTTGAGCTCAAAGGGAGACCTTGACCAGTCAGGAACGCCGATTAGGCATCTGCTCTATGCCAGGCGGGACTGCAAGTGCTTTCAAACACACTCCCCCCAATAATCCTGTCCCTAACACAATGGCATTATTGACCAGGAGCGGTGGCTCACACCTGTAATCCCAGCATTTTGGGAGGCTGAGGCGGGTGGATCACTTGAGGTCAGGAGCTCGAGACCAGCCTGGCCAACATGGTGAAACCCCCTCCTCCATTAAAAATACAAAAAATTGGCTAGGCGCGGTGGCTCACACCTGTAATCCCAGCACTTTGGGAGGCCGAGGCGGGTGGATCCTGAGGTCAGGAGTGCTGCTCACCTGTAGTCCCAGCTACTCAGGAGGCTGAGGCAAGGTAATTGCTTGAACTCGGGAGGCAGAGGTTGCAGTGAGCCAAGATTGCACCACTGCACTCCAGCCTGGGCGACAGAGCAAGACTCTGTCTCAAAAATAAAAAAAATAAATAAAAATAAAAAATACAAAAAATTAGCTGGGTGTGGTGGCAGGTGCCTGTAGTCCCAGCTACTTGGGAGGCAGAGGCAGGAGAATCACTTGAACCCAGAAGGCGGAGGTTACAGTGAGGCGAGATCCCGCCACTGCACTCCAGCCTGGGCGATAGAGCGAGACTCTGTCTCAAAAAAAAGAAAAGAAAAGAAAAGAAAGAATGGCTTTATTATATACTTCTACAGATGGAGAAACTGAGGCACAGATTACAATACACAGGTGCTAAGAGGAGGCCCAGTTTGGAAACCAAAGCTTCTCATTCCAAGCCCAGGCCTTTTCCAAAACATGTAGTGATCACTTAACCCTACTCCCCTTATTCTGTAAATGATAATGTTCCATCCCCAGAGGCTAGGTGGCTTGTCAGCGCTGCACAGATCCTTAGCAGCATGGCTGATGTTTATCCCTTCACAAGGAATGAAGGTGAGCAGGGGTTTGACTCAGGGTGTTGCATGCATATCTACATGCCACAGCGTTTTAATATTGATTCTACCTTCTGAGAAAAATACAACTTTAATATCACACATCTAGATGTCCCCCCCCCCTTGAAGTAAACTTTGTGCATAAAAATCCTTATGTGTATACACTACAAATTAGGAGTTATCCACTTCGTAACACGGACCAAGTATTCACCATAAAATTCTCTTAAATGGCAAGTCTCTCTGTAGTCGTTTATTACAATTCAATTTATACACAAGCTTTCAGGAATGCACATATTTTATAAAGCAAAATACACATATAATGCGAAATGTCACACCAGTTTTAAGCCAGTAAAGTTTAAGGATTATCTTTAGGAGGACAGAAATAATTTGTTCTATGAGTTAATCTAGAATGCAGCAAGTTTCTCTTTGCATCTCCTTCTTCTCCTCTAAAGTCCAATCCAGAAAACAGGGGATTAGAATGTAATATGAGCAATTTCTGTTAAGTTAAAATAACTTTTTGTTTTTGGGGAGGCTGAAGCCAGAGGAGGCCGGGCTTGAGCCCGGGAGGTCGAGGTTGCAGTGAGCCATGATCGCACCACTGCACTCCAGCCTGGGCGACAGAGCGAGACCCTGGCTCCAAAAAATTAAAGTAAGAATTGTTGATGGGTAAACTCTGGAACAGCACGCCAGAGACCTTAAAGAATGAGACCCTCCCACTGGAGTCCCCTGGGCACGGGCTTTCGGGAAGATCGGTCAGCTCGGAGCTGCCTGGTTCTATGGCCCAAGCACTGTGATGTATTTCCCCTAACTCAGAGGGGCCAAACGAAGATGGACGTGAAGGGCGGGCCTCCCCACGACCCTTCCAGCTCCGAGCCCGTGGGAGGCCCGCTTCCCAGTGGCCGGGGCGACCTGGGCTCCCCGCTCCTCCGCCCCGCCGGTCCGCCACCCCCGCCCGGCCGGCCCGGCGCTGCCTCCTCTATACTCACTGGGGGCTGCCGCCCGCGGGTTTGGCCGCCGCCGCCTCTGTCCCCTCCATCCCTCGGAGAGGCCAGGCCCTCTCCAGCCCCTTCTCCCTCCCAGGCCAGCTGCTGGGTTCGGGGAGGGACTTCCAGCCCCGAATCCGGGGCCGGAGGGAGTGCGGCCCGCAGGCCTCGCCCCTCGGGGCGCGGCCGACTGGGGGTCCGGGACGGCGCCGAGGCCGGGCCAGCTCCCGGCTCTGCTGGCAGCCCCCGGGCCCCGGGTGGGTCTGGCCGGCGCAGCGCCCCACGGGCCGCACTCCCTCCCGGCGAGAGGACGGGAAGCGGGGTCGGGCAGGGAGGGCGCTGGCAGGGAAGGAAGTGGCATCAGCTGTCCGTTCACGGCTTTGCCGTGGAGGGGAAGAGCGGCCAAGCCCGCGCCTTCCCGGCCCGCGCTGGGCAGAGGGAGCCGAGCGCGGAGAGGTGGGGCCGCGGGAGGGGCTGGAGGAGCCGGGCCTCGGCCTCCCACCCCGCCCGGAGCCCCGCGGGGCCGCCTCTCCTGAGCCGCGGCCCAGGGAGCGAGTGTCCCCGGCCGTCAGAGGCGCGGGATGGAAGTCCAGGGCGGCCCCGAGCTTGGGGACGACGGGGCGGCCGCCAGCCTCGCAGGGCGGTGGCCCCTTCCCCGCGGGAAAGCGGGCGCAAGAGCGGAGGCGCGCGGGGCGCACGGAGGCCGGGGAGCGCGGGCAGGAGCTGGGGGCGCACCACGTTCTCGGCGGGCTCCGCGCGCCGCTGGTAACCCTACACCCAGGGCTCGCCTTTCGGGGTGGAAGCTGAGGAATGCCTTTTGTGTGGACAAGTTTTCCAGAGGAGCCGGCCGCCCTCTCTGTGGGGCCGTCCATCGCTCCGTAGAGCCGTTTCCTCCGAGGTCAAGGTCGTTGGTTCCCGCTCTCCAGAGGCGTGAGGGAAACCCGGAGGGAACGCGCTCCGCGCATCCCGTCTGCCGCGGTGCCGGAATTGCCCGCCGCCGCCTTGGGTGGGGACCGGTTCTCAGGGTCCTGGGGGCTCTCGAGCAGATCACTTTCCCCAGCGCGGGACGGGGGTCGCAACCAGGGGCATTCCCTGCAGCCGCGGCCCAAACCGACGGAGCTTGCTTTCTCCTTCCACCCAGAGGGGGTGACCGAGCCTCACCTATTTCCAAGCCTATTTTTTCACAAAGACGGGAAGCAATAAAAGTGGCCTCAGGAGATTCCGGAAATCTCTACAAAGAGAAAGTGCCCGTTCATCTTTCCTTCAGCCGACTGGCTTCACTGTGAAGCATGGGGTAGTTGTGCACCTCCAGATGACAGGACAGACACAGCAACAGTAAGGGCCGCGCAATATGTACCGGGGCAGGGGAGGAGGGGAAGGAAGTTTTCTAGAGGGGCTGCCTCTTGAGTCAGGAGGGGGTTACTCTGCACAAGGTGGGGGAAGGGGCGTCTGGCAGGGCAACAGGAGAGCGGAGCCTGGGGAGCTGTGAGTGGACTGGCGTCTTGGCAATCTAGGAGCTTGAGAGATTATCCAGTGCAAACCCTCTGTGTCACAGTACAGGCCCAAGGTTACGTCAGAGGCTTCGAACCAGAGCGACTCCATCTTGTGTGAGGGCGAGGAAAATGAGGCTGGGACTTGCTGGGCCACATTCCCAGTGAGTTAGCTATACCCAGCTTCTAGATATTTACGGTTAAGAGAACAAATTAATAACGTTTGCTAAACAGACCCAGACTTAGGAGTGTCCTGATATCCTGATATCTTGAGAACAGACTCATTTGTAATTATGCTTTAAAGTTAATAATATCGATTATTGCAAAATATAGTAACTAAGAAAATTAATCCTTTATCACAAACCCTTGTAGCACAGCACATCTCCCCATGATCCTTTTTTATCCTGTGTAAGCGAGTATTGTACCCAGGGTGGATGCGTTCCTCCTCGTACTTTCCAGAACTCCCTCCTCTGTCTATGGAGTAGCTGTACTTTCACCACTTTACTTTCTTACTAAACTTGCTTTTGCTTTGCACTGTGAACGCACCTTGCTTTTTTTTTTTTTTTTTTTTTTTTGAGACAGAGTCTTGCTCTGTTGCCCAGGCTGGAGGGCAGTGGGGCGATGGATTCTCCCACCTCAGCCTCCTGAGTAGCTGGGGCTATAGACATGCACCACCACGCCTGGCTACTTTTTGTATTTTTAGTAGAGATGGGGTTTCACCATGTTGCCCAGGATGGTCTCGAACTCCTGGCCTCAAGTGATCCACCTGCCTCGGCCTCCCAAAGTTTGGGATTACAGGCATGAGCCACCACGCCCAGCCTTGCCCTGAATTCTTTCTTGCGAGAGATGCAAGAACCCTTTCTTGTGGTCTGGATTGGGACACCTCTCCTGTAGCAGTTACACAGCTCTGGTGACAGGTGGTCTCCAGGGTCCTGGGTGGCCTCTTCCCTCCCCGAAACTCACCATGTTCCCAGAACAAGAAGTTCCTTTAACAAAGCATTGACTGCTTTTGCTTTTTAGTATTGATCGCTTCACAGAGTGGTGCCTGCACTATTTGCAGTGGGCATACTGGCACCAGGCATTGGCTAAGCAGTTTAAATTCATTATCTCGTATTTCAGCCTTAAGAAGTAGGCAGTGGCTATTGTCTCCTTTTCTTTTTTTTTTTTTTTTTTTTTTTTTGAGACGGAGTCTCGCTCTTTCACCCAGGCTGGAGTGCTGTGGCGCTATCTCGGCTCACTGCAAGCTCCGCCTCCCAGGTTCACGCCATTCTCCTGCCTCGGCCTCCCAAGTAGCTGGGAATACAGGTGCCCACCACCGTGCCTGGCTAATTTTTTGTATTTTTAGTATAGATGGGGTTTCACCGTGTTAGCCTTGATGGCATCGATCTCCTGACCTCATGATCTGCCCGCCTGGGCCTCCCAAAGTGCTGGGATTACAAGTGTGAGCCACCACGCCTGGCCTATTGTCTCCTTTCTATAGACACTGAGTGTAAGTGAACGCCCCAGGATCCACAGCTGGGTAAGCTGTAGTCCAGCCTCCTAGAGTCCAGGCCCTCATGCCAGTACACTGCACAGTGCTGTCGCCAGCATCTGCCTGTTCAACATGGAAAGATTTAGTTTAAAAAAAAATCAAAAGATTTGTGAAAAAAATCATGAAGTGCTGTGATACTGAAAATGTGCTGGCACAGTGGCTTGGCCCTTCCTGGCTTTCTTATTCCTGCCGTCTAAGTTAAAAGCCCCTCAAGACTCCTTCTTCTCCTGCATGCCCAGTGTTAAGCCTGACAGCAGCAACACTGTTACTATTATTGGGGGCATCCTATGAGCTAAGGTACCCCACATAGGATCTTTTGCATCTTTACAACAACCATGCAAAATAGGTATAGTGTATCTCCACTTTAGTGATAAAGAAATCGAGCTGCAGAGAGGTTAAGTAGCTTGCCCAAGGCCACACAGCTAGTATAGCTAGAATCTGAACCCAGCTCTGTCTGGTTCCAAGATTTTCTGCCTTGCTTCCTCTTTTATAGAGGCACCTCTGAATTCAGACTCCACGGCTTCTGCTCCCACCCTCCCCCAGAAGTTAATGATCTATAAGGAAAGTTTCTGAAAGTTCCAGCAAAGGTTTAATGTTTAAAGAAAACCTGCCTCCCCCCAATCTTTTGAGATGCAAATAATCACTTTCAGTTTATTTGGGTTAAAGTTTTTTTTGTTTTTTTGTTTTTTGTGCGAGGGGAGTAGGGTGTTACATCTATATTGAGGCCTTAAAAGCCACCTGTCCTAAAGATACCCATGAGCACGAGCAAACCCTTAGAATGCTGTTGAATTGTGACATCTACATGTCGAGGGCATTCTTGTTCATCTGGATTCTGTTTGATTTAGCAGATATATGTTGAGCTCCTAGATATGTCAGAGACTGCAGAGACAAAATTTAGCACCACAGACCCTACTTTTGAGGAACTGGGGAGTTGGGGAGGGGCAGGCACACAAACTTTCTATATATGTGCTCCCAACCAGGTCAGCATAAGGTGGTGTAGGTTGCTCACAGAAAAGGCTAGATTGAGGGGTGTGTGTTGGGTGAGAAGGGGTACCACGGAGAACTGGGTCTTGGAGAATGAGCAGGAATTAGCCAGACAGAGGGGGAGGGGTGAGAGAAGACGTTTCAGGTAAAGAGATGAGCATAGATGCAGGCTCGGAGGTGTGAAACTGCCTGGTTTCAGTGTTACTAAGTGTAAAATTTAACCCAGGAAAGACAGGGGAAGGATGAGGTTGCAGAGCAGGGGAGGTTGGGTCTGGTGAGGAGCTTGGACCCCACCCTGTGACTGGCAGCCCCTCGGGTGTGGTCTTGACCAACACCTTAGCCCTTGAGCTGGGCACATAACCATCTTATTTATTTCCTTATGCGTCAGACACTTTCATTATCATCTTCTGGAGGGAGTTCTAGGAGGAAAACAAATACAATGTAAACAGTGATCACAAAGCCCCTTCCTCTGCTGAACAACTAGGGAAATGGACCATCCCAAGAAGCCCCTTTGACTTACTGTGAGTGAAAACACAAGCCTCATCCTTCCTCCCAACTTTCCAATGTGCTCTGAACGTTGGAAATACGGCGCCATGTGAGCTGTGGAAACCAGGTTTCACTCAGGATGAAGGGAAAAGTGAGGGAGATGGTCCTTCCAACTCACACCATTAGAGCAAAGTGGGGCAGAAATGGGGTGGGGGCACACTTCTACCATCCCTCGACTGTCCAGCCTAAAGGAGCTTGTCCAAATGGAAACCTGCATTTCCTGGTGGCTCCTGTCTTGCTCATGGGAACATGGTCCAAGGAGGCAACTGATCTGAGCAGCAACTGCTGAGGATCCCATTGCCAGCCCCAGGCCTGCCCTCATCACTTCCTCCAGCAGAGGAGCGAGGGCGCGTGCAGGGTCTACCATGTAGCTGCTTCCCCCCTCCCAAAACCCTCCCGCGGCTCCCCTGTACTCCCCACCGCGCTGCTGGGAAGGCTGATTCTGAGGCCTCACCTATGCAGATTCGGGTTCCTTAGGTTGGAGCAAGGCCCAGGAACCTGTTTCCTTCCAGGATTCCCAGGTGATGTTGAGGCCCGGTCAGTCTGGGGAAGCACAGGGCCTCGAGTTAAAACTCAAAAGCCTTTGCATGGCACATGGGTCACTCCAGCCTCATCTCTCATCCCAGCCCCGAGAGCCTGCCCTGCTTCCTCAACATATTGAGTTGCTTCTAGTTCCCTGACTGGTGGCACCGAGTCCTGTCTCCTTGCCTTTGCCCAGGCATTCCTTCAGCCTGAAGTACCTGCTTCACTCCACACACACACATCCTGCTGTGGACTGAACTGTGGCCCCCTCCAAATTCTTATGTTGATGCCCTAACCCCTCCGTGGGATAGTATTAGGAGGCGGGGCCTTTGGGAGGTGATTAGGGTTAGAGGAGGTCATGACGGTGAGGCCCCCAGGATGGGATTAGCATCCTGACAAAAAGAGACCCCAGAGAGCTCTCTCCCTGTGCACCCTCACCACCATGTGAGGATATAATGAGAAGGCAGCTGTCTGCAGGCCAGGAGGGGAGCCCTCACCAGCACTCCACCGAGCTGGCATGTGACCCCCGACATTTGCCTCCAGAACCGTGGAAATAATTTCCTGTGTTTTAAGCCACCCAGTCTATGGCGTTTTGTTATGGCAGCCCGAGCAGACTGACATCCCCATCCCAACTTGGCTGTCTCCTCCTAGACCTTCCACACTCAGCTCACATGTCACCTCCTCAGGGAAGCCTTCCCCCACTCCCTCCACAGCCCTCACCTGTCAGATCACCTGCTTCTATCAGAGCACTTGTCCACAGTTGTGCACATCTAAGCCTGTGTGTCTCCCACTTCACAGAGACTTCTTTCAAGCAGCACCGTGTCTGATCCTTCCTGTGTCCCTGGCCCCTAAGAGGTGCCCACCACAAAAAAGGTGTGGACCAAATGCCAGGTGATTAAATAAAAGAAAAAATCCCTATCAGATAGCGATGCCTGAGAGAGAGAGGGACCACAGCTTGCTAAGAGAATCAAGGTCCTCTCCGAAGGATTTGGTTCGTCCACTCAGTATGGCCAGTCCTGCCCCAGGCCCTGCGAGAAAGTCAGCCTTTGGCAGGGCCGGGAGCTGTGCCCAGGCTTCCTGACTGAGCCCTGCTTACGTCTGATGCCCAGGCCTCCTTGCCCGTGGCCCCCTTCCCTCTTTTCTCTTCCCCAAAATGCCATCCATCACCGACAGAAGCATTGGCCTTACACTTCAATTCTAAGTGAGCCTGGAAATTTGGAAATAAAATGCCTATCAGAAGAAGAAATGGATGGGGGTGGGGGAGAAGAGAAGGTAATGAGAGAAAAGTGCAAAAACAGGCTGGGAGAGAACACTAGGAGAGATGCTGTCAGAGGACAGTTGGGCACCTCCAGACTGCAGCCGCCGGTCTTCCTGTCACGCCTCTCTGCATGCTGCAGCACACACGGGCACACACACTCGCACACATCAGCTCTGGGCACTGCACCACCCTGAATCTACAGATGCCCAAAGGAGAAGAGACGTGTGGCTCTTACCTGGTCGGGGTCAGCCCACGCCACTCCCCCAGGCTGGCAGGCAGGAAGCCCACTGGGATGGGACCAGGACCCTGGCCAGGGATTTTAACTGCAGACTTCACTGTCTCTGCCCGCTCACTCTGCATCAACTCTTGACTCTGCCAGGCATCTGTTTTCATGCCTGACTCCAGTTGCAGCTTTTCATTTCATAATCCTAATCACAGGGAAATGACTGGGATTAGGGATTTTTTTTTTTTTTTCTGAGACAGAGTCTTGCTCTGTAGCCCAGAGCTGGAGTACAATGGCGTGATCTCGGCTCACTGCAACTTCCGCCTCCTGGGTTCAAGCAATTCTCCTGCCTCAGCTTCCTGAGTACCTAGGACTACAGGTGTGTACAACCACGCCTGGCTAATTTTTGTATTTTTAGTAGAGACGGGGTTTCACCGTGTTGGCCAGGCTGGTCTCGAACTCCTGAGCTCATGATCGGCCCACCTCGGCCTCTCAAAGTGCTGGAATTACAGGCGTGAGCCACTGTGTCCAGCCGGGAAATACTTTAATACTCTCCCTCCTAGTCTACCATGCTTGCTCTGCAGGGGGCCATCATCAGTATGAGGGAGGTCACCCGGCTTTAACCTGTCTGTCAACAGTCACTGTCAGCTTGGCCAAGTCAATTTTCTCAGCTACAAATGAAAAGAGACTCAGGGAGAAAGATCTTGGAGGATGACTAAGACCTGAAGTCATGTTTGTGACCATTTTCAATCTTGAGAAAAACAGAAAATGTCTATATTATATTAATGATTGGCTTGAGAGACTATGAAAACATATATTAGCATGATTCTCACCTCAATAGTTCAATAAAAAATTATGATCATTTCAATGGAAGCTAAAAAAAGTATTTGACAAAATTCAACACTGTACCTAGAAGTAGAAGCTTTCCTTAATATAATAAAAATATTATATCTCAAAGCCAACATTTAACAGCCAACATAGTTACAGCCTAGTGAAACTTCAGCACAGTCCCACCAAAGTTAGGAACAAAACTGGAATGCTTCGCATCACCATATTAATTTAACAATGGGATTCTGAAATGTATAATTATTAAAAGGGAGTTGCCAAAATCATTATACTTTGTAGATGATATTATTGTTTACGATGAAAAACCCAAGTAAATTGTACTCAAATTGGACACAAGATAAATGTTCAAATCTAGTTTACCAGGCCAGGTGTGGTGGCTCATACTTGTAATCCTGGCACTTTGGGAGGCCGAGGTGGGAGGATCACTTGAGGCCAGTAGTTTAAGACTAGCCTGGTCAATATAGTGAGACCCTGTTTCTACAAAAAAATAAAAAATGAAAAAAGTTCTAGTTTTCCTAAATACCAGCATTAATCAAATAGAAGACAGAACTGAAAGAACAAAAAACCTCAGCCAGAAAAATAATAGCCCATTTAGAAAAAACCTTCACACTAAAGACATTTACAAGCATGTTAATAGCAACATTGTTTATAATACAAAATAATTGAAAACAACTCAAATAGCCATTGATGGTAGAAAGGATAATTGTGGCATATTTGTAAAATGGAATATTACATAGCAATGAAAATATAGCTACAGGCCAGGTGTGGTGGCTCACATCTATAATCCCAGCACTTTGGGAGGCCGAGGTGGGTGGATCATGAGGTCAGGAGTTCGAGACCAGCCTGGCCAACATGGTGAAACCCCGTCTCTACTAAAAATACAAAAATTAGCTGGGCATGGTGGCGGGTGCCTGTAATCCCAGCTACTCGGGAGGCTGAGGCAGAATTGCTTGAGCCTGGAAGGCAGAGGTTGCCGTGAGCTGAGATCGTGCCACTGCCTGTCAGCCTGGGTGAAAGAGCAAGACTCTATCTCAAAAAAAAAAATTAAATAAATAAAATAAAATATAGCTACAGGGAAAATATCAGTGATTATCACTAACATGTTGAACAAGCAAAGCGAGTCAAAAAGAAACACAAAATTAAAAGATGCATTATTTTGGGACACATACATTTGGAGTGAAACTGCAATAAAAAGCAACAGAATTATTAACACAGACAGTAGTGCCCTACTGAAGGCGGGAAGATAAAAGGGGGATAGAAATTGGGTAGAAGGACATGGAGGGGTCCAAAGGCAAAGGCAATGCCTTCCTATGTTGGGTGATGACTGTGTGGGTGTTCATGTTATTCTTCTTAACATTGTGAGAGATATATATTGATAAATATATGTACAGGATAAATATCTTATATGTATACATAACAGATCATAATTTTTTAGAATGTGGAAATCACATGAAAAATCTTTACCATGTATGTTAGTCCATTCTCACACTGCTAATAAAGACATACCTGAGACTGGGTCATTTATAAAGAAAAGAGGCTTAATTGACTCACAGTTTCACATGGCTGGGAAGGCCTCAGGAAACTTATAATCATGGCAGAAGGGGAAGCAAACACATCCTTCTTCACATGGCAGCAGGAGAGAGAATGAGAACCCCTTATAAAACCATCAGATCACGTGAGAACTCATTCACTATCATGAGAACAGTATGGGGGAAACCACCCGCATGATTCAATTATCTCCATTTGTCCCATCTTTGACACATGGGGATTATTACAATTCAAGGTGAGACTTGGGTGGGGACACAGCCAAACCATATCACCATGTATATGAAAGAAAATCTGGGTAAATGGAGAAATATTTATTCAGTGCTCCTGGATATTTATTAGATATTACAAAGGTGAAATTTTCCCCCAAATTAATTAAAAAATTTAGTGCAATTTCAGTCAAGATCCCATAAATAGGCCAGGCCATGGTGGCTTATGCCTGTAATCCCAGCACTTTGGGAGGCCAAAGCAAGCAGATCACCTGAGGTCAGGAGTTTGACATCAGTCTGACCAACATGGCAAAACTCCATCTCTACTAAAAATACAAAAATTAGCCGGGTGTGCTGATGTGCACCTGTAATCCCAGCTACTCAGGAGGCTGAGGCCGGAGAATCGCTTGAACCCAGGGGGGCGGAGTTTGCAGCAAGCTGAGATCACTCCACTGCACTCCAACCTGGGCAACAGAGTGAGACTCCATCTCAAAAAAAAAAAAAATCCCGTAAATCGGCAAAAATATTTCATAACAGTTTTGCAAAAGAAATATGGAAGGGGACTTATTCTATAAAATATAAAATTGTATCATAAGGTTATAGTAATTAAAATAGAAACTAATACAAAAATAAACAACCAGAGTAATGTCACATAATAGAGAGTATAAAAACAGACCCTAACTTTTCTTCATCTGATAAAGGGTAGCTATTAAAAAGCCTATAGCTAACATGATATTCAGTGGTGAAATATTGGACACTGATATGGTTTGGCTGTGTCCCCACCCAAATCTCATCTTGAATTGTAGCTCTCATAATTCCCACGTGTCTTGGGAGGGACCTGGTGGGAGGTAATTGAATCACTGGGGTGGGTCTTTTCTCATGACAGTGAATGTCTCATGAGATCTGATGGTTTTATAAAGAGGAGTTCCCCTGCACACATTCTCTCTTATCTGCCAGTATGTAAGACATAGCTTTTGCCTTCCACCACGATTGTGAGGCCTCCCCAGTCACGTGGAACTGTGAGTCCATTAAACCTCTTTTTCTTTATAAGTTACCCAGTCTCAGGTATGTCTTTATCAGCAGCATGAAAACTGACTAATAGAGACACTTTCCCCAAGTTCAGGAACAGGGAAAGGATGTTCAGTGTGCCACTTCTACTCAGCGTTGTCACAGAAGTTCTAACCAGTGCAATAAAGCTAGAAAAAGTGGGGGAAAGTATAAAAAATGGAAGAAAAAAGTGTTATTATTTGCAGATTGCATGATTTTGGATGTAGGAAAATCCAAAAACATCTCCACACTCTCAAAATTAAGAACTAAATTGAGCAGGGATCTGGATACAAAGTCAGTATATAAAAAGAAGCCGAAAAATCAAGATGCTGGCAGGGCCATGCTTCCTCTGAAGGCCCCAGGGAAGGATCTGTTCCAGGGCTCCGTGCTAAGAGCTGGCTTTGCTTGGTTTGTGGAAGTGTGACTCCAGCCTTCACATGGCATTCTCTCTGTAGTGTCTGCGTTCAATTGCCCTCATTTTATAAGGACACCAGTAGTATTGGACTAGGGGCCCACCCCACTATATTCATCTTAATTTTTTGCATCTCTAATGATCCTATTTCCAAATAATGTCATTTTGAGACACTGAGGACTTCAACATGAATTTTGGAGGGACACAATTCAACCCATAACAGGATTAAATGCATTCCGATAAAAAATTACAACAGATTTGTTTTTGTTTTTGTTTTTGTTTTGAGACAGGTCTCACTTGGTCACCCAGGCTGGAGTGCCCTGGTGCAGTCATGGCTCACTATAGCCTCAACCGCGTGGCCTCAGTCTATCCTCCCACCTCAGCCACTTGAGTAGCTGGGACTACAGGCGCATGCCACCACACCCAGATAATTTTTTTGTATTTTTTGTAGACGTAGGGTTTATTCCATGTTGCCCAAGACTGGTCTTAAGCTCCTGGGCTCAAGCAATCCTCCCACCTCGGCCTCCTAAAGTGCTGGGATTACAGGTGTGAGCCACTGCACCTGGCCAAGGAGCGTCTTCTGAACCCAAGAGCTCCACGCTGTCCATCCTCGTGTGTGAAGACTCGTACTTTGTCACCTTGGGCTGCCATCCCTGCTGAGCTGCAGCCTAGACCCCAACCATATTCATTCAACAGGTATTTATAAAGTTCCTACTATGTGCTGTGTAACTGAGTATCTCTATTTGTTTGGGCACTTCAATTTTGACATGTTGGGAACTGAACGGGTCACCTTTCCCTTCTCTGAATCCTCTCCCAGTGAATGGTACCATCAACCACCCATGCCAGCAACTTGAGTGATTCCCTCTCCTTCAGCCTCCACAGTGACACCGCCCAAGTCCCAGCTCTTGGAGCCACCTCTCCACTGCCTCTACCTCAGTTCCGAGCCCAGGATCCTCCACCACAGAACAGAACCACCTACTACCTGGCCTCCCTGCCTTCAGGGTGCCCTGCCTCCTTCTCTTACAGCTGGCGAAATAACCTTTCTAAAACCCAAAGGTGATCGTGCCTTCCCAGCTTGTAGCCCTTGTGATCACTGAAATGTGGTTCACAGCTTTGGCTCAGGGCATTGAGCCCTTCTCAATCCACCTCCTCCCACATTCTGTATATACCTCACGCTTCCTTTTCATCCCCCACCCTGCTTGCAGTTCCATGAACACATGTGCAGCCCGTACCTGGATGGTTCCCTCCTTCCCCACCTGGGGGGCGCTTCGGATCACCCCCAGCCAGAGTGAAGTACCCATTTCTGATGTTCCAACAGCACTCACTGCCTGCAACTCCTGACGGGTGGGTTTCTTTGTCTCTTTCATGAGTCCATAAGCTCTTTTCATTGGTTACAGCCTTGAGCTTTTGGAATTGGGCCAACACTGCCTACACCACTTAGCCTGATTCACAAGGCAACGCTAAGAGTTGATTTTATCATCCCTATTTTATAGATGGGTAAACTGGGGCTTAGAGAGGCCAACTATTTTGCCCAAGGTCCCCCAGTTGTAAGTGGCGGTCCCAGGATTCAAAGGCTGGTCATGTGTCTCGGAAGGCTATCTCTAGCTAGACAGGGATCTTGTCAATGGGGTGATGTGACCAACCAGCTTCTATTTGAAGAGAGCCTGTTTGTTCATGTGGCCCATGTATTTTTTTTTTTTTTTTGAGACAGGGTCTAGCTCTGTCTCAAAAGTGCAGTGGTGCAATTCTCATGCCTCAGCCTCCTGAGTAGCTGGGATTACAGGTGCATGTCACTACCGCCCGGCTAATTTTTGTATTTTTAGTAGAGACGGGGTTTCACCACGTTGGCCAGGCTGGTCTTGAACTCCTGACCTCAAGTGATCCGCCCACCTTGGCCTCCCAAAATGCTGGGATTACAGGTGTGAGCCACTGTGCCTGGCCTCATGTATTCTTATTTCACCTGTCCCTTCTTTGTTGGTGAGACCTGAAATAGGCCCTCCATCAGCCCAAGTGTTTCCCTCCTTACCTTCAGGAACCAAAGGAATCCTAAGCTCAAGTAAGCTATGTCCCTCACCACTTTTCCTTACCCTACGGTCTCCAAGAGGTCCCAGATTGGCTGGGGACTAATTTGGTTGAGGGTCTAGCTCAGGTCTGGGTATGAACATGATCAAGTGGGATGAGGGTGATCAGCACAGTAGAAATGCACTTTGCTTGCTGAAGAAACTGTCAGAGGAGGTTTTCCACTCAGGACTAATGTGCTGAGATTTTGGGTTGTGGCACTTCTCCCCACATAGCACCCTCCATGTCCACAGGGACAGCAGTGAAAACACTGCCATCCGCCTCTGTCCCCGCGTTGTGAAGGGCAGATACCAGCATATGTTAGAACAGCACTAAATCACCTCCCAACAACCCCCAAGTCAGAGTTCACAGAGGAAGAAGCCAAGACCCAGGAGATCCGGGAATTCACCTCCAGTCACCAGGCTGGAGGGCGACCCTCCCCCACCATCCGACTCAGGCCTGGAAATCACATTTCCAGCTCTGCTATAACGGGTGAGCCTTCCAGAGAGTCCTGCACGCTGCTCCACCAGACCACTGCTCTCAGCTGGGCACCCCCAAAGAATGCTTCACTCTCAAATCAGAACCCACCTGCTAATTAATGTTCAAAGGGAAACAGAGCCAGTGCTGGAGGTGGTGACCACCAGCAGGGAGGACAGCTGCTTGCTGTGCCCTCTCACACTCTAGGGGCAGGCGGAAAGGAGGAAGGTCTGGCTTAGTCAACGGAGTTCCTAAGCTGGCCAACCCGTGCCATTCAGTGTTTGGGGAGAGGGGGGTCTCCTAAGTGGCAGAAGCTGCTTTAGGTGGAAGGAGAGGCAGGGCATCTTAGCTGAATGGAGGCAGCGCAATGGCACCAGAGAGCCCCAACTCTGCTTTTTTCAATCTTTTCTTTGTCCTTCCTCTGTGCTGGCTCAGGGAGGCCTCTTTGGAGATGGAGCCCAGTCCCATCTCTCTTGCTGTGGACAGCCCCTTGAACACTGCCTCAAACAAGTGGGAGGTCAGCTTCTGGCTGGGGGTGCTGTGTGTCAAGCTCTGAAGAGCAGTCAGGTCCTCTCTTCCTCTTGGGGACTTTGTCCCTGCCACAGTGGGGACAGACACCATGGAGGCTCACCAGCATCTGCAGGCCAGATGGCCTCCAACAAGCCCAGGCTGTGGGACATGAGCTTGGGGGAGCGCCTTCCGGAAGAGGCCCTGTCTGCAGTGTCGGGGGTGGGGGCTGTGCTTGTGTGTGTGCGGAAGCTGCCCTCTGGGCTTTTCTGCTGCAGACTGGCTCCCTCTTGGAAGCCCTGTGGCCCCAGGCTGTGCAGCCATGTCCGTGGGGACTCCTGCCTCCTCGCTCCCTCCTGCGTCCACCAGCCTGGGGGATTCTGCTGAAGACACAGATGAACCTCAGAAGCAGTCTCTATCCGAGCAGAATCTGCTCCATTTCTGTGGCCCACTGGAAAGTTTTTTCCTGGGTTAAATCAAGGTGTGTGGTGGGTGAAGGATGGAGGGAAAGACCCAAGTCTGAACAGTCCAGGCTGAGACTCCACCGTCTGGCTTCAGCCCTGGCTGGGCCACATCCAGCTGTGGGACCAAGTGCTGGTCATTCCACTTCCATGGAATTCTGTTTCCTCATCTGGACATGGTGGCTGGGACAAACATTTCCAAACCATGTTCCTCTTGTTCATAGCTTTCCTATGAAAAAGAGCATTCAGGTCCAATAAGTGTGGAGATAATGGAGCCACCTCACCCTCCTGTCAGAGACTTGGGACCAAAGGCATTTTAAAGGCTCTGGGAAGGCCTGAAGTAAAAACAAAACAAAAACTAAACTCAACCAGTTTACCTTTGTTTAACTCTGTCTTTCTCATAAGTAAATGACCACAGAAGCCTTTTCCCTCAAAATAGCAATTAGCATCCCAGGAAACACCCTTGGGACAGCCTAGACCAGATAACCTCTCAGGCTCTGTCTGCCACGTTACTCCACACTCTAGCTGCAGGGAGCTGAGGCAGCTGCTGGCCAGCGATTCCCAAGATCCTGGGGGAAGGGCCAGGCGGCGCCCAGAGAAGGCTCCCTCAGGGAATGGTGGCAGCTGATTGCAGCTTTCTTATTTTTATTTTTTGGAAACAATAGTGCTCTGAGGAGTTAGGGACCAAAAAGGGGGAGATTTAAAAAATCTGTTTCCACTCTGATTCTTTGTCAATTTAAGCTAACTCATGTCAAAACAGCTTGGTTTGCCCATCTGTGAAAAGGGAGAACCATGGAGATTTGGTGGGCACTCAAAGGTAACCCTCAGAAAGAAATTCCCACCCCAGGGTCCCTGGATGCCTAATGGGAAGAAGGGCAGAAGCGATTTCCAACATTTAAAGAAGTCTAATGGAAATTATATGTTTGCCATGAGAAATGTCTTTGCTTCTGACTGGCGTTGTATCAACTCAGTTTGATAACATTGGTTGTCATGGGGACAAGAATTATTATGCAATAAATATGGCTGGCTAATTAGACAAAATCTTTAAAAACATAGGGTTCAGGGAAGTGATAAAAGGGTCAGTTGGCAATGAAATGGTAAGGAGCTGTTGACTCAGGAAATCAGCTGCAAAACCAGTTTAAAAGTGTCATGGTTCCGGGCGCGGTGGCTCATGCCTGTAATCCCAGCACTTTGGGAGGCTGAGGCAGGCAGATCACGATGTCGGAAGATCAAGACCATCCTGGCTAACATGGTGAAACCCCATCTCTATTAAAAAAATACAAAAAAAATTAGCCAGGCGTGGTGGTGGGCGCGTGTGGTCCCAGCTACTTGGGAGGCTGAGGCAGAATGGCATGAACTCGGGAGGCAGAGCTTGCAGTGAGCCTAGATCGCACCACTGCACTCCAGCCTGGGAGACAGAGCAAGACTCCGTCTCAAAAAAAAAAAAAAAAAAAAAAAAAAAAAGGGGCATGGAGGGGTGAAGGGGCCGGAAGGAGGTGAGGGTCTGCTGAGGCAGCTGCTCTCCCAAGGAGCCCCTGGGGACGACGGGGGTTGCATGCAGAGTGGGTGTTTAATGTCTTAAGTGGCTGCAACATAGTGGTTCTTGTCACAGCATATTAGGGAAGGGTGTCCACGAGCTGAGACGGGGTGCTGGGTGCCACCTTTACTGTGCCGAGCAGAGCAGAGCCCTGGGGGGCCAGTGGGCTCAGGGATCCCCAATGTGTCTTCCACAAATTGCTTAGAAGCCTTCCCGAGTGACACACACTGAGGGTTTTTCAAGCTCTTCAGAGCTCTGGTTTTATATTGTATGTGTAACGCCCTGCCCCACTGGGCCCACAACCCTCATTCAGCAGCTGCATCTGAAAGGTTCATGGGTGTTCACTTTTCTCTCCAATATGCTGTTCACACAGAATCACCTCTCCAATCCATTTCTGTCCCTTAGACCTCTCCACCAATGCCCCATTCCACTGTGGTAGCAGCCGTGGGAGCTGGGCCCAGGAGACTTGTCTCTGTCTCCTAGGAGAGCAGCGGTGACGATTATGGCTGCTAGATCCTTACAAATCACCAAAAAGGTAGCCTCTTTCCTTTTCATTTCTTTCCCTCCCTTCCTCCCCCCTCCCTCCCTCCCTCCTTCCTTCCTTTCCTTTCCTTTCCTTCCTTTCCTTTCTCCCTCCCTCCCTCTCTTCCTTCATTCCTTCTTCCCATGTGTCCTTAGGGGACAGTAGCATGTATGAGTCTTTGATCCAATGCATTACTGAATCCTGGAGGATGTCACCCATGCTCACGGAGTATTGCCTTTGATCTGGCACTTTAGCTATGTCTTCAGCATACCATTCCAATGCTCATTCAGGTTGGCAGCTTCTAGGTGATGCATTATGCGCTACCATTAATGAATCCCATGGTCTTGGGTTCTCTCCCACTCCTCCTTTGCTGTGAAGTTGATCCTCTGGTCTAAGGTGATATATGGAATCTCACGCTAGCGGATCAAACACTCTCTGAGCCTTTGGATGGTGGTGCTAGTTGAGACTCTATGGTTAGGAAAGGGAAACCCATACCCTCCATATGTGCCTATTCCTGTAAGAACAAACTACTGGGCCTTCCAGGACGGAAAAGCCCCATTTTGCCAACTTGCCATCAAGTAGCTGGTTTTCTTGAGGAATGGGTGCCATATTGGGGACTCAGTGTTGGTCTCTGTTGCAGGTAGTTTGGGCCTTGAAGCAGCAGACAAATTATCTTGATTGAGACTCCATGCTGTTGGCCCATACAAGAAGAGCCTCCATCTCTGCCACTTTGTTCATGTTGCCATCATGCCAACACTGGCGAGCCTGGCTGGCTGAAGTTGGTGGGCTGAGTCACCCGACTGCCTGGCTGTTTAGTTGTCAATGGTGGATGCTCTTTGGTGGTTGTTAACATGTGATACAAAGATTTGCCCGCTCCCTTAGGTCCATTCATGTGCCTCTGCCCCAGCCTCCTTATCCCTGATCTGTTTTTTCTGACCATCTGGGCCAGGCCATTTTCCACTATATATTCTAACCTTAGATCACTTCTCTTTCCCACACTAAGTGGGTGACCAGGTGCACTACTCAAAGCTCTGATCATTAGGAAGCTTTTCCTTCACTACTGTCTTTCAAGACTACCCTTGTGAGGCTGCAGTGTAGCTACCATCTGATTTCAGCTTGCATCCGTATGTGGAGCTGACCCATCCATGAAACAAGCTCAGGCTTTCCCCTCCTCTTTCAACTGGTCTTATAGGATCCCCCGTACAGCCACAGGTGTGCTCTGAAAGGGGAGCTGTGGTACAATGTAGCAGATGACAGGGGGTCTGGGTTTTCTGCTCATGCAGCCTGCTTGTGTCCTCTGACCCCACTTGTGCTCATTTCTGGAGGTACCACATCCATCTTACAATGGATTGTTGCTGGGGCCATCTGACTTATTGGGCTTGATAGGACACAGTACTTTTTGGACAGTTCTAGCCACATTGTCCATGGTGACCATGGTCAGACACTCTTTCTCCTCTACCAGGGCTCGCTAGCAGGGTAGGAGTTGTTTTTCAAAGGTATGCAATTCTTCACTGAAGATGGCGGGGTCTTTCTCTAGAGCCTCAGCGGCTTGCATTCTGATACCCACTGGGGCTTGCCACAAACTCTGCACAATATCTTTTCCCACCACTGATACTGCCATAGAGTCTGTCAGATCATACAGCCTAAGCCACAGGATTGCTTGCTTGATACCCTGGGCTGGTTGCAGAGCCCTTTCCTGCTCTGGGACCCACTCAAAAATGGCAGTCTGTCATGTCACCTGATATGAGTTGTAGTAGTATCCCCAGGTGCAGAATATGCTGACTTAAGAAACTGAGGCTTCCAGGCACTCTGCTTTCTTCTTCCTTAGGAGGTACAAGGTGCGATAATTTGTCTTTTACTTTGGAGAAGATGTCTACGGCTACTGGACTTGATTACTGAACTCCTGAAAATATTACAGATGTAGCAGGCTCCTGAATCTACTCAGGATAATCTCCAACCCTCGGGGAAACACATATCTTACCAAGGTCTGCAGTGTGCTAGCCACTTCTTGCTCATCCAGCCCAATCAACATGGTGGCATTGTTGTAATGGATCAATGTGATGTTCTGTGGATGTCCAGCTGGTCCACACTTCTTTGGACTTAGCATGGCCTTGGAGCAAAACTGTTAATGTGTATTATCATTTCCATGAAAATGTGAACTGTTTCTGATTCTGACTGGAAGAGAAAAGAATGCCTGCACTAAATCAACAGCTGTATACCCATATACTTAAGGCAGTATAGATCTGGTCTAATGAAGATACATCTGGCAGCATGCAATTGGGATTATACTTGATTGAGCTTGTGATGGTCTACAATGACCCTCCCTAACCCATCCAGTTTCTTCAGGGGCCCAAGTGGTCAATTAAACAAGAGTGGAGAGAAGAGGCATAGGATGTGGCAATAGTCTATATTCCTCTGTCTCCCCACAATATGGTCTCCCTCCCTCCTTTCCTCTCCTTTCCTTCCCTTCCTCCATTGTCTCCCATAGAAATTCTGGAATTTTAACTTTGTTCAACATGGGCCATCACTTTTTCCAGCTTTCTAGAAGCCATGCTAGCAGCAAGTTTACACCAACACCTGGGATACTTATGCTAGGGAGTTAAATTCTGTATCTTAGAAAAACCCTTTCAAGTCAAAAATTGTCCTCTCTTCTACCTTATGTTCTGGTCCCCCTCTTCAAGTGCTCTCAGAATCTCCTCCAGCTCCTGTCAGTCCATGCTGACTACATCTTACAGTTCAGTATAGTCCCTATTCTCCCTTAGCAAGCCCAGCATGTCCCCAGCTGAGTCATAGAGGACTCTGAAAGGTGCATACATTGTCTTGCACAAGAAGGGCCAGTGTAATATTGGGAATGGAGAGTGCTAGCAAGGAATGGGGGAGGCATATGTATAGGTTCAGAATGTTCTGAGGGGTTCAGGAAGTAAAAGTCTTTGGGGGGGATCCAAGCAGATATTGCCATCTCATGTGTTAGGTTTTCCCAATTGGGTCCTTGACCTTACATATCAGACCTGCCTTGGTTGGGTGTTTTAACTGTCTGAAATTCTGCCACTCTATTAAGCCCTGGGCTTAGTCCTCACTTTCTCTTCCCTTCCACTGCAGATGAGAGATTCTCTGTATGCAACTAGTGGTCCTCGGGCTTCCACATCTGGCTTCCAGTTGCCTGGTACTTGCTCTCTGATGTTCATTATCCTTCTTGAGGCATCAGTGGCACTTAGCAATAGCCATCCACCCTCATTGCCCCATAGTTACTGTCTCCTCCCTATATCTCAAATGCCTGACACACTGCAAGTGCTTGCCTTACTGCAGTACACCATCCTCTCACTGGTGAAAGTTTTAACAACCGGAAGGAAGGGGAGGGGAGGGGAGGGAAAATAAGCGCTTAGGGAAAGAGGGTGGCTGCTTCAAGGGAGAGGCATCCTGTGAAAAGCAGCCAATAGGGAGTTGTTTGTTGTTACTGTTTAATTTTTTACAAAATGCTAGATTTGTCTTCCATGGAGGGACAGAGGACAAATTTCCAAAAAGCCGTAGTCAGTGCGACCCAGGCTTTTAGAGAAACCTATATTTATGCATTTGTGGGAGGGAGGGGGATGTTCTTTGATTTTCTTTAAAATGGTTATATTCAGACTCAAGCAGGCATAACTTTAGAAAGAAGCAGTAATTCGGCCGGGCGCAGTGGCTCACACCTGTAATCTCAGCACTTTGGGAGGCCGAGGTGGGCGGATCACGAGGTCAGGAGATTGAGACCATCCTGGCTTAACACGGTGAAACCCCATCTCTACTAAAAATACAAAAAAATTAGCCGGGCGTGGTGGCGGGCACCTGTAGTCCCAGCTACTTCGGAGGCTGAGGCAGGAGAATTGTGTGAACCTGGGAGGCAGAGCCTGCAGTGAGCCGAGACTCCGTTTCAAAAAAAAAAAAAAAAAAAAAAAAAAAAAAAGGGAGTAATTCACAAGGCACTTCCTAGTCTTGTCTGCCAAGCAGGAAAAAAAAAAAAAAAAAAATTCCCCCTTCCTTCTTTTTTCAAGGGAGAGAGTATGTGGGCTACGGAGCTAGTTAGATTTGGGTCCTCCTCCAGGTTCAGTAATTGTTGGTGTCCAGAGCCAGTTACTTTTCTCCTCTATACACGGGATGGGCACCACACGACATGCACTAATGTGAGATGTGTCTCCCCTGCAGCAGCCAGGAAGGGTCAGCTGTGATTACACTGACCCTGGGATAAAACAAAGTCCACAGAATGAAGAAGCACCTGCTATTGCAGTACTGGTGAGGGCAGCATTGGAATCAAGTTTTCAAACAACCTGACTTCACACAAGGATCAAAGTGAGGAGCCTGGCAAGTCCACCAGTGATGAAGCACCAGTTAGAGGCAGCAGTTGATCAAAAAAGCTGATAACCTCCTAAATTTACTCAGCAGCTCATCTACTGATAGACTCCTGAAGTTACCTTTCAGTTTAACAAATATTCCTTAGGCCCCAACTATTTACCAGGCATTAAAACATTTAGTCAATATGATTTTGTGTGACCTCCTGCTGACAGTGGAGCACCTTTGGAAAAAGGATGTCTCCTTTCCTCTGAACTGTGTTCCTATTAGGGTTGCAGGCTGGTTAAGACTAGGGCATTGCCACAGAAGGAAACCAGGCTATGTCCTCATGGACGGTCAATAGCTAGCAGCAGGCACACATCCAGCCCGGCAAGTCTTTTGACCACGGCTGCCTAGGGAGGGGCTAAAATTTCCTACGGTATCTATGAAAGTGTAGAAAAAAAGTTTAAATCCAACAGTCGACAGGAATAATATTTGAAGAACTGATGTTTCTAAATTATCTTGTGTATTTCCTTGCCAAAGGGATACAAAAGCCCTGATTAACTGAACTTTAAAAACTGTATTGGCCCATCTAGTCAGAAGACAGGCTTTGAGTAACCACAAATAAGCAAATTTGTTTACTTCAACCACACAACATAAAATATTGTGATATTTAGAATACATGATAATTTGAAATTTAGTAAAAGGGGAGAGGGTTTGGGAATTAGTATTAATATGCTTCTCCTTGGTTCTCTTCTGTTACCTGCCTGTTCTCTTGAGTTACTTGGTTTTCTCCTTAACCTAGAAACTGACCATAAGGAAGCAGAGTAGCATAGTACATGTATCGCCAAATATCATACCTTGACTTTGATTATTCACATAGGTAGAATGGAAGCCATAGGTGTGCTCTAGGTAGAGCAAGGCAGAATACTATTACTATCATTCCCATTCAGCTAAGCAATTAATATAAAATTTATTTAAATAAGGGGAAATTTTCATTTTATAAAGGTAAGCATTGGTTGAACTTTGGTGCTAATATGTTAATCAGTGACAAAGTGAGTGAATGATAAAATAGATTATAAGAACAGTTTTTGGCAATAGAAGATTCTGAAGAAACAACTCTTGACAGATCTGATACTTTTTAAAGGAAAAAAACAGAATAAGAGACTTTAATATCTGCTTGGGAAGGGGTGAAGAGTAATCTCTAACTTGAGATAGAAAATTCAGATTACCCTGAGGCAGTGATACCTAGTAAGAGGACGGTCTAGCTTTTCTGGCAGTGGTTTCAGATAAGTATGTAGTTTAGAAATAATTTTATCACCTTTCCCTTCTTGTCTCCATAAAACTAACGATAATAAAACCAACTTCAACTAAAAGTATTAAAGTAATGCCTAGCATATGATAGGATTAACACATACTCAATAAACACATATTAATTTTTAAGAATACAGGAACTCCACAATTCTTCTAAGGGAAAAGGTGGGACACTAGAAAAAGAAGTCAATCAAAAAGTATAAGCCAGGCATGGTGGTGCATGCCTGTACTCCCAGCTATTTGGGGATCACTTGTGCCCAGGAGTTTGAGGCCAGCCTGGGCAACATAGAAAAAGACCCCATCTCTTAAGAAATAAAGTATAAAATAGGTCATTATTCCCATAACCTTAAAAAATATCGACTAAAAGTTATCCATATAAAGATGCAGGTCACTAAAACTCTAAGGATTCTTCTGGATATGTCTAGGATGGATACAAGACAGAGTGGCTTCCTAGAACCACCGGGGATTGTGGACTGCTGCTCTAGTGAGGTCTTTGTCTCTTCAACAAACTGAGATGACTCATTAATCTACATATTTCTGAGATGCTACATATTTGGAAAAATATAAAATACTATAGGCATACAAATGTTGAGTATGTATTATCAAATTGTAAAAGTGGTGTTGAGTATCTAGTGATTCTTATATATTCATATCCTATCTTTGACTTTGGCCTGGAAACTCCATATTATCATATTCTGATTTAGCCTACACAGAAATATAGTAATAACAGAGTTTGTGGCACCAAAGTAAGATGAAAGGCTTTGATGCTTTAGTCAATAAATTATTTTTCCCTTTGCATTGTGGGTATATTCATCTTAGGGTCAGTTAATTTTGTAATCTTTCCTAGATATATATAAGGAATAATAATTAGTCCAGGAATTCTGCAGAAAAGTCCTATGTTCCCTCACAGGGCATGGGTATGCAGTGATAGCAGTGTCCACCTCTCCAAAATGTAATTGGACACATCATTTCACCTCATATTTGTAATATTTGAGATTCTTTGTGCGAGTAAAAGAAAGATTTGTTACAACAATCCCATTGCTTTAGAGTCACACCTCACATATTACCTGAAGATAAAAGCCATTTAAACTTCTTTTAACTTAGTAGGATAGTTTAAAAATTTCACCACTGTAGTCTGTTTGCCCTAACCCCATATGAAAATTAGTCCTAAGGGGAACTATGTTCAGGAATTCAAGAAACCAAGAGAGAAAAACAGTCACACAAACCATTCACCAGTGACAAAGGAGTCAGCAAACTGTTGGAAAACAGAGAGAAATTGTAATAATGAAAAAAGGACAGAGTTTAGTGACCAATCACTTATTTTCTTTAAAAACACATAACCACATTAACTTTTTGCTTTATACAACCATCTAGAAACTATAAAACAGTACCACATTGTGCATTTAACCTACTTATCAAGAAGGGAACTTCATAAGTCATAAGAATTCTACCCATATAGGAAGGAAAAAGGAGACAGCTAATAGCATAGTCACAGATACAACATGAGTCCAAGCAAGCATCAATTCTTCGACATCACCTTTTCCATTTACCAGAGTGGAGACTGAGAAAGAGAGTGAGGGAGAAAAAAGAGGGAAGGAAGCACCCACAGAGGACTAATCACAATCCATAGTTACTTTTGACAACTATAGCTCAGGGTTTCATAGAATAGTATCATTTGACCAACACAGTGTGGTGGAGGGAGAGGGGTGAAGGAAACACAAATAGAAGGAGAGAGTTTGAACAGAAAAATACAATTTTCCCCCTATTCCCCTCCTAAATACTCTTCATTGATACAAGCTTCTGTGCTAATCCAGAAAATGGCAAGAAATTAATCTTCACAACGTGATTAAGAGTTCTGTTCTTTTTGTAATTGAAATGTGAGTGGCTCACAATTTTACAATTCAAAATAACGTCATGAACAATGACCCTTTAGGGATTTTCCACAATCTTTCCCTCCAATTCCCACCATGCTGGTGTTGCTACAGGGCAATCAGGGAAGTGCAGGTAGGGACTTCAGAGATAATGATCAAGGGATAGTGAGATGGAAGCCTGGCTCTTTCTTAGAAGTCCACAACTTTCTAGAAGTACTGCAGTCTTTCCCTCTGATTTGTGGTGGCACAGAGGAAAGGGCATAGGAAGAACTAAGGTAATATGGTGGAAGTTTAGTCAAGTAACTGGTTTGAAGGTATACGAGACTGTGTACTTAGTAGATATACTGAATCCAAGGCAAACAATAGGTTATTTGATTGTCCTCCTTAGGTTGATGGCACCATACAAAAAACTGAGGGTGGCTTTGATTTGACGATAAAATAAACCAAAGGTTTGCTACAAGGAAACATACTTCAGTTGCAAAGTTGTATAATGATTCTCCTCACTTTAAGGGAAACTCTCATCTTGTTCTCACTTCCTCTTCCACCATAAATAAGCAAACATATTCTGGAAGGCTGTTTTCTAGGGGCAACTCAGTATCAGTTTTGATAATTCATACAAGAAAGGCATCATGAGCCATGCCAATCAACAGGCTCCTCTCTGTTCTCAGGCAAACTTCCTGTATGGACTACCTTAGGCTCTTCCAAACCTAATGAGATGTTTTTACTTTTTCATATTTGGAGAGTATGCTGGTTAGATCATTGGTTTGTAACACCAACCAGTGCAAATTTCTCATGCTATCATATAATCAACTCTGTCCCACATTACCATGTGCTCTAACATTGTATAGACTTAAAATACAATGCAGAAAGTTGAGAGTTTGTAGGATTTACTATCAAGACTGACTTCTGAAATGCAGAAACGTATGTGTTTGCATTTAGAAAACCTTTAACACTCCTTGTCTTAGCTAATGATCACAAGCAAGAAAAATTTAGATCACTCAGAAAAAGAATATGAACAAAGCTGATAAATTGGATTTATTCTTCTTTACCTAACTTTTGCAGAAGTTCTACCAAAGCTTCAATTGTCTTCACCTGGTCACTAGAGACCGTATCTGTAATGACACTGAATTCCTATTAGATTTGAGAAAAGTGTGGTGATTTTGTAGTTGAGAGAGCTACAAATTCAACTTTCTTTTTTTCTCTCAGAAGCTATCTCAATTTTAAAAACTCAAATGTTATACAGTAAGAGGTACTTGTTTTTTGAGAGGAAAATTTCATGTAAACCATTAAAAGAAAACAATAATGACCTGAAATCTGCTTACCAGATTTGTATCCCACATTTTAAAACAATGCCACAGATAGGGTTATTTTCTTAATTATTTTCCTTAGAATAAGAAATTTTTGTGGTCACTGCTTAGAAAACTGCATTTGGGAATAAATAATTATTTCCTGAATAATGCAAAGTAATGGGGAAAAGATGATAGGAAAATAAAGGCAGGTCTTTCCCAGCAATTTAATAACCACTAAGCGGACAGATGGAGGCATCACCTTCGCGTCATCAGGCTCACGTACTTTCCTAACTGCCTTGCTGCGGCTTACTGCCAACGTCCAACATCTTCTTGCTCTTCTCTGCTATCTCCAAAGTTATTTCACTTATCTTCAATGAATGTCTGTTAATCTGATACCTGCATGACTCAATACTACTTTACTTTTTTCTGTTCTTACCTTGCCGTAGTTCACCTATCCAGAAATGGATGATCTGCTTTCTCTAGTTACTGTGAATGTACTTTGGTCAAAGCATGGTGGAAAGATAATATACATCAACACGTTACTTCTGGTAAAGAGCTCAGTTAAAGTCACAGAACTCTCATGTTTAGAATATCAGGAAGTCAGGGATCCTAGGGGCTGGGGCCCATTTTCCTTCTTTAAACGGTTTTTATAAGTTACTACTGAGGTGAATGGTGTTCTCCCACACCTTTGCTTCTGACGGAAGTTAAGCAGCTTGCCTAAGGAGCCTAATGGTAGAGTGCTGAAAAAAAGTTGCACATGGGTTTTTGACTACTTTCCAATCTTACAAATGACCATCATAACCTAATGATTTAATCTTTGATTTCATTGTTTCTCTGTATGCTATGAAATCACCAATTACGCCACTGTAATGGTATAGGCAGCCTTAAATATAGGCACTCATTTGTGCATAGACAGTAAACCACTCTTGTCTTTTAATTTCTCTACACACATCAATGCTTTCTATACTACCATAAAATGAAAAATGAGTTTTATTCATTTATTTAGACTTCCTCTTCATTCCTTTGAGGACTATTTTAATTGATATTAAAAACTGAGTGATTCTCCAAAATAAAACTAGAATTTCTAAACCTAAAATCAAATGAAGTTTGTATTTGGTTAGGTTGCTGCTCCTTTAAAATGAGTCTGTGATTTTTTTTGTTTGTTTTTGAGATGGAGTCTTGCTCTGTTGCCCAGGCAGTGGCAGTGGAGTGCAGTGGCATGATCTAGTCTCACTGCAACCTCTGCTTCCCAGGTTTAAGCAATTCTCCTGCCTCAGTCTCCTGAGTAGCTGGGATTACAGGCATGCGCCACCACGCCCAGCTAATTTTTGTATTTTTAGTAGAGACGGGGTTTCACCATGTTGGTCAGGCTGGTCTCGAACTCCTGAGCTCGTGATCTGCCCACCTTGGCCTCCCAAAGTGCTGGGATTACAGACGTGAGCCACTGCGCCCAGCTGATGTTCATTTTTAAGAATTCTATTGAGAGTTTCAGTGTATGGGAGCCTCCAATCAAATTGTAAGGTGGACACAACATTCGCAACTGCTAGGGCATATAAAATTTAGGAGAGGAAAGTGCACATTGCCTTTTTTGAAAGAAAAAAATTAAATGTATGCTTTGTCTCCCAAGCTCTCTTGATGAGGAAAAGTCCTCTTTTCTCTTTACAGCTTTAAGAGGAACATAAAGCTGTGTACTTAAATACACATTTAAACTTCTGTCACATAGCAAGCTGAAAGTTACATAAGCCTTATTTTTGAATAGACTATGCCAATCCGACAAACACTTCAGAAAAGGATTACATCTATCATTGCATCATATGTGAAAGAATAAGACCGATTAGGGCCTAGAACTGTAACAGTTGAAGAAAGACTAAACTGGCCATAGGATACATTAATGTAAAAACACTGGGGAATTCAAACAGCAGAAGTCAACTGTAAGATTTTATGTGTGCCATCATAGAGATTCACTAATAAAGAATAAAGTTAATAATTCAAATGTCTCTGGATACACATTAGTACCACCAATTTTATTTATATAAGAAATGCCTGGTCCACTGGACTTTTCAATTTAACTCAGTAATAATTACTGCTGTTTCTTGACAGACCAGTGATATTTCCCCCATAGTTTTAAAGTACAAAAAACAGAATAGTTAGGGGAAAAAAATCTCAAGTATAAATAATGCAACCTTTAACCTACCAAGGGTCACTAAATTGTTAACACTGATTATTATAAATGATTCAATTTATTTAAACTAAAAAGCATTAATTAAACATTTCCTCTTCCATTTGGGCCAAGGGACATGCTTAACAAAACACAAAAAAGCAATAGAAGCACAAAGTTGTATGATTTTTTCAGAAAACAAAACAAAACAAAAAAACCTCGATTCAAAAAGGGAACACATTTTGGAAGCTAGTCAGAATAAAGATGGAAGAAACTACTTTAAAAAGAAACTATTTGTCAGTTAATTGATAAAAATTTTCTAGTAACAGTAACTTTTACTGGAGTTACGACAGGGATGGGTCAAGACTTGTAATACATGGTGGAAGTGCTGATGATAGGAGTGTATTAAAGGGCAGTAACCGAATGTTTTGACTAAGCGAATGGTAATAGCTGCCCTTCCACTTATTTGTTCCTTTGTTTATAATTAAGCTGAAAATTATAGGACTAAATTTACTTTCATGAATCTGCTGGTATTGACTTTGAAATTTTCATTTGGGTCTGGGGGTTATTAAAACACATTTTACCATGTCCTGGAATTTATATTAATTTTGTTAGATAATGAAATGCTAAATTTAATGCCAACCATATTCAATAAAGTAATATCTCTTATGGTTTTCAGGCTTATTTGGATGACTAAGGAACAAAGGGAAGAAATGAGACAAAGAAGTGACAATGGGCACTGTGGACAGATCATAATAGTCTATAATTTCTAAGCAGTGTACTTTTCATGTATGACCAAGTAAAGATCCCTAAAATTTTAAAACAGGTTTTCTATGGGATGGCATGAAATCCAATGTTCATCCTTTAAAACTGCTGGGAGAAATGGCTGCCAAGGTCTTTTGTATCAACATAATATGAATGAGGAAGTATAATTTGTTCCATGTGCTCAAAAATATAGTTTCCCCATGACAGACTTTTAATTTGATCAAATTCTGGCTAAAGTGGTTGAACCCAGAAGAAAAACTATCTAGTGAGGGCACACAGAGCCTCTGAAATAGCTCTGTCTTCTGATTCAGAGCTAGTAAAGGTCACGCTACAGGGACCATACATGTGGATGCATAATAAGGCATAGCTTCAGCTGTTAAGGTTGAAATATGGGCCAGTGTATTCCACATCTGTTCCTTAAAAAGTTAAAAAAATTATCAGAACCTCTTCCATGAAATTCAGCCGGTGGTGTGAAGTGTGGGATTCCTTGTTATGAGAGATATGCTCAGGACTCTAAAGCAGCAGCAACTTAAGAAGTTAGCAATGAAACTTTGGCTTAAAATAAAAACAAAGAAAAGAAAAGGTCAAACTGGTGCAAGTTGTCTCCTGAAAGAGGTATGTGGGACTGACCCTCATAAATGTCATCCAACGTAAGTTTCCCCTGCCTTCTTTTACTGTTATCACCTTCATTGCACAGGAGTTATATCATTCTGTATGGTTAAGTTTCATAAATAATGAGAAAACTATGTGTAACAAATACATCATATTTCCCACCCACCCAGCAACCCTTCCCAAAATAAGAAAAGTTACATCAAATTAAAAAGTAGCTTCATGAATGAAGGTACTGCTTTAAGTTGCACTTTTCCTGCAAGTGCGGCCAGTGCCTTTGCGCTGGGTATGAAGGAAAGAAAAAAATTCTCCACATAAACTGACAAAAAATTTAAAAACCAATGTCCGGTTTCAACCAGTCAAAACCGGGCTGAGCGGAAGCCGAGATATCTCAGTACCGTCCCATCAGAGGGTCCTTGCAATGCCTGTTCTTCATCCTGATAGGTATCTATGTCCTTGTGATTGTAAACAATCCATAAGATACTATGTTTTGTTTCTTAAAACATCCTCTGATTGGCAAATGAAGTAAATATTTGTTTTGAAAATAGAAAATTAAAATTAAACCAGAAGAAAAGAAAAGAAACACAGTGAGCTTGTTTGGAGTCCATAGGATCCGATCCGGAAGAGCTCGGAAAATGTGTTATGTGTTTTCTCCTGTTTTCGGCTGGAAAGGTACTAGAGGTTGCGTTGGTCGAGGAAAGGATTGTAGAGTAGGAAAACCAAAGATGTTAAGCTAGACTTCAGAAAATTCAAGTGTTAGCTTCATCATCTGTGTCTTCTATCAATACCTTAGTGTCACGAGCCTTGGATCTAGTGGTAACAAGGGGGACAAAAAGCACTTAGTCCATTACCCAAATATAAACACTTTCACAGTATTAGACACATTTCCAGTCTTACCATCATTAAACATACATCCTAAACAGGGACTATCTGCTGTACCAGACGGATTATTCTAGAGTTTCCTATTCAATTTCAGATACTATTGGAAAAACACTAAGAAACTAGATCACAACCAGAGGAAGGTAACAAGAACAATGGCAGGGTATGTGCAACGCAGAAGGTAGTGATCTGGGTTTGAGTACTGACTTTGATTTTTTTTTTTTTTTTTGAGACAGAGTCTCGCTCTGTCGCCAGGCTGGAGTGCAGTGGCATAATCTCAGCTCACTGCAACCTCCGTTTCCCAGGCTCAAGCAATTCTCCTGCCTCAGCCTCCTGAGTAGCTGGGATTACAGGCATGTGCCACCACGCTTGGCGAAGTTTTGTATTTTTAGTAGAGATGGGCTTTCACCATGTTGGCCAGGCTGGTCTCAAACTCCTGACCTCAGGTAATCTGCCCGCCTTGGCCTCCCAAAGTGTTAGGTTTACAGGTGTGAGTCACTGCACCTGGCCACCTGACTTTGATTTTATGATGCATCTATTTAACCCTTTGAGTGCCCGTTTCCATCTCTGTAAGGCAGGAATGGTAACACCGATTTCACTGAATACCACTTTCACCTCATGGAGACAGTATGCATATCAAGTGAGAACATGGATGAAAAAAGCATTAAACAAACTTAAGAAACTGGCTGGTTCCTGTAATCCCAGCTCCTTGGGAGGCTGACATAAGAGGATCGCCTTAGCCCGGCAGTTTGAGACCAGTCTGAGCATCACAGTGAGACCCTGTCTTAAAAAAAAAAAAAAAAAAAAAAAGCCAGGTATGATAGTGCAAACCTGTAGCCCCAGCTACTCAGGAAGCTGAGGAAGGAGGATCATTTCAGCCCAGGAGTTCAAGGCTGCAGTAAGGTATGATCACACCACTGCACTCCAGCCTAGGTGACAGACTGAGACCATGTCTCCAAAAAAAAACAACCAACCCCCAAAAAACAAATATAAGAAATTGTGATAAGGATGATGAGGATAAGATAAAACACCACTTGAGGCATACATGAGAAACCAAAAGAGTTAGCCAGCAGAAGAGAAGACCTAAGGAGAGGCATAACAGTTATTTCTCTTCAAAGAGTTGACAACATACAATGCAGAAGAGGGAGGAGACTCATTATAAGTTATGTGAGAGAGCCCAAATAGGATCAAATTGTTAAAGTTATAGTGAAATTACAGTGAAGCACATTTCAGCCCAACATAAACCATTTACCACTATAAATACCAACAATAAAATCAGGTGGCTGAGTGTGGTGGCTCTTGCCTGTAATCCCAGCACTTTGGGAGGCCAAGGAGGGAAGACTTCTTCAGGCTAGGAGTTTGAGACTAGCCTGGGCAACATAGTAAGACCCTGTCTCTATAAAAAATAAAAAATTAGCTGGGCAGAGGGGTGCAGGCGTGTAGTGCCAACTACTTGGGAGGCTGAGGTGGGAGGAGTGCTTGAACCCAGGAGGTTGAAGCTGCAGTGAGTCATGATCGTGCTGCTGCATTGAGCCAACCTGGGCAACGGAGCGAGATACTGTTTCAAAAAAACAAACAAACAAAAAAACCACACACATTAAGGATATGCTAAAGGTTGCATGAGTGATAAAGTCAGTACTGAAACTCAGATCTTATTTTGGATTCCCTGCTCTCTCCGCTGTACACCAACTGTTCCATTCCTAATGTCTTACTCTTGGTGCAATCTGGTTTCCCAGAGTTTCTCCGTTAAACACCTGAAATGGAACAGAATAATCTATTGCCAAAGAGCCCCTTCTTTAAGCAGAAATAGTATATGTTTAGATTGCCCTCTGCTGGTAACTAACAAGGATAATTAGACTTCAAAATCAGGAGCTCAATGAGGTCACCAATCACACTTAGCATTTTCTTCCAGCCCTTTGTGGCACTTATCTCACTGACCCACTCAGTGCTCCCCTGCCCCAGCTTCTTCAAACTCTGCTTCCTTGGGATCACAGCACCAACCATGCTTTGTTTTGATGCTCTTCCTATTACCTCCCTGACTATTCCTACCTCTTTTGTTTATTTTCTTTTTTTCTCTTGTCTGTGTTTGTTCCCTGGCTACTATGGTTGAGCCAGGGATTAAGACTCAGTTCCCTGCTCTCTGCTTTTCTCTGCCTTCTTCAGAGAACTTCCAAATCTCTATTTAAAGTTCAGCAGGTTCTACTCTACTCCTCTATATCCAATGAGTTACTGATACTACCTCCTGTTTCTTACTTCCTTCAAAACATCTCCTTATGTTCCTTCTGGTCCAACAGTAAGCATCCTGATCTGAATTTTCACTGCCCCATACATTGAAGTACTGCATAGCTTTTCATCTGGCTTTCTGGCCTTCAGTTTTTCCCTTGCCTAATATATCTTACACAGTGCTATTAAAACTTCCTAGGATACTACTTTCACAATGTCATTCTTCTACAGAAAAATTCTCTGTGACTCGTGGCTGGGTGCGGTGGCTCATGCCTGTAATGCCAGCACTTTGGGAGGCCAATGCGGGCGGATCACGAGGTCAGGAGATCGAGACCATCCTGGCTAACATGGTGAAACCCCATCTCTACCAAAAACACAAAAAATTAGCTGCGTGTGGTAGCGGACGCCTGTAGTCCCAGCTACTCGGGAGGCTGAGGCAGGAGAATGGCGTGAACCCAGGAGGTGCAGCTTGCAGTGAGTGGAGATTGCACCACTGCACTCCAGCCTGGGCAACAGAGCGAGACTCCATCTCAAAAAAAAAAAATTATCTGTGACTCATTCCTGCCTACAAGATCAAGTTTGCATTTTCAGCCTTTTACAATCATACTTCATCTATTCAGCAAAATTATTCTTACTATAATTCTAGTCACATGGTTTTTCTTTCTGCACTTCATTTCTACCTTTATGTTCTTTACTGTGTCTCTAGTCTATTCACTCCCTTATCCTTTAGAAAACCGTTCATCCTCAACCTAAGCCTCCTTCATTCCAATCTACTGTGCTATCTATTGTCTCTAAATTTCATATGCAGTCACCATATACTGTACATTTATGGTAACTTTTAGCAACATACGTAGTCAATGACTGATAAAAATATTGTTGTAGGTATTTAATAAGAAGATAAAAATAGTAATAGTTTATTCTTAGTAGGCTCTTTCTGTGAGGGAACTGGTCCAAGTTCTATGTAATAATGAATATAATCCACTTAACCTCCCTATAAGCAAGAACCATATTAATTTCAATTTACAGATGGGGGCAGAAAACAGAAATTAAGTCATTTGGTCAAGGCATAGATGGCAGGATTCCTAAAGTTTATAACATAAAAATTATTTGCATACACAACACACAGAAGAGTCAAGTATTAATAAATCACTCTCCAACAACCTTTTCCTCCAGACAGTGGATCTTTAGTGCCAAATTACTAGGTTATGCACTGATGACATTTACTCTATGTGCTCATTTAGACAGTCATAGGTTGTATCATATGGAATTGCTGCTTATTACTGTTTTTTTGTAGGTGAAAAATGGCTGAGTATTGGCAATTTCATTTGGTTCAACCTGATAGCTTTTTAGCTTACATGCTACCCAATGCTAAAACTCAAAGGAAATATGCCTCACAGAAGTAGAAGCCATACATACTGAGAAGCGAGGCGAGGCCGGCGCAGGGATATGCTCTGGTTGTACTTCCATGACCGATTCTTCTGGCGGTTTCGTACCCCATCATCCTGGTCCATCATCTGTTCTAGGAGAGTCTGATCATCTGCGTTCAGGGGGGCCACAGAGATGTCCCGCACAGCACGGAATTCACCACAGTTATTCAGATGTTCATTCTCCAGGCGGAAGAAGTTCCACACAAATCGCCTTAGCAAAATGGGGTAGATCAAAGTACTTATGAAATTGTAACATACTTCTGCTACCTGTAAACCTCCCAGTGTATCAAGTTTCCACTCATGGAAACAAAAACAAAGAATTAAGGGCTTGAATATTAAAATAGGGAAAGATGGTGTTGCGGGGAGGTGGTGGTGGGGGGGTAAGGGAAACAAGACTAGACTATGAAAAAGGGAGGGACTTATGCAATGCAGTTTTAGAGTGCTCATTCTTTCAACTTATTTGACAAATATTTACTGAATGTCTGCCATAAGGCAGTAAAGGCACAGAATGACTCAAAGCCTTTTTGCCCTTATGGGGTGTAATTTCTAGTGGTGGAGACAGACAATGAGCAAGTAAACAATCAATCGGCTAATGATAACTACTGTGAAGAAAATAAAGCAGGACAAGGGAATAGAGTATGCCATCATTAAGACTGGTTAGGGAAAGCTTCTTTGAAGACATGGCAGCTATTGAAAACCTGACTGATACAAAGAAGCAAGTCATGTAAAAATCCTGGAGGAAAGCATCCCAGGCAGAGGAAAATGGCAAGTATAAAAAGGCAAGTTGGAAACAACAGCAAGGTCAGTGGGGGCTAAGAATAAGTGAGGTTAAAATAGCAGGAGATAATGATGGAGGGGTGGAAGAGGGCCCACCCACAGAGGGCCTTATAACCCATAGTTTAAATTTTAGGTCTAATGGAGAACAATGAGAGAACAACAGGAGAATGAAGTGATTTGTTTGAAAAAGGTCCTGCTGAATGGTGAAGAGATCAAAGGGAGACAAGAACAGCTGAAGACAGACCAATTAGAAGGGCTGTTGCAGCAGTCCAGAAAAGAGATGATGGTGACTTAAAGGTGGTAATAACAGAAGTGATGAGAAGCAGACAGACAAAGGATTTATTTATAAAGATGGAGCTGACAGGACTTACTGACATGCGATGTGAGTCGTCTTAGGGTTTTTGGTCTAAGGGAAAGGTGACACCATTTACTAAGATCAGAGATGCAGGGCTGTTCCTGTTAGGTTAGAGCTAATCATTAGATATGGGAGAATTCAGTAGAGAGGTGGACGAGAGTCTGCAGTTCAAGGGAAAGTTTATGGCTGGAGATAGCATAAAGACAGTATTTCACATAATAGGTTTAGGAATAATACAACTAGAGGAGACAAGAGGGCAGAAGATTAAATCCTGGAACACTCTAACACTTAAAAGTTTGGGGGGAGGAGGAAGAACCAGTAAAGGAGTGGACAAGGAATAGCTAGTGAGACAGGAGACTGTAGTTTCTGAGAAGTCAAGTGAAGAAAGTGCTTTGCTGGGAAGTAAAGTAAGGTAAATAAGTACAGAGAACTGACAAGGGGATTTAGCAAAATGGGCAGTACGATCTAAAAGCACAGGCTCTGGGAGACTGTCTAGATTCAAATCATGGCTCTACCACTTGCTAGCTGTAATGACCTTGGATGAGTTACTTAACCTATGCTTCAGTGTCATCAGTAAAAGACATGATAACAGCACCTACTTCCTAAGATTGTTGTGAGGATTTAATAAAGGTAAAAGGCTTAGAACGCTGTCAGCTACATAGTAGGCACTACAATATTATTATTATAGATTATTAACAAAAGTGGTTTAGTTTGAGTATTGGGAATACATACTTGAATGAAAAAGAGAATGGGAGAGAAGTGAGAGTGGAGACAGCAAGTGCAGACGCCTCTTGAAGAGTTTTGCTATAAAGGACAGCAGAAAGATGGGCAGTAGTTGGAGAGAGAAAGCTGATCTAAAGATGGTTTTTTTGTTTGTTTTAAATGGGATAGAACATTTGATTTAGTTAGTAAGCAAATGATTTTAAAAAGAAAATCGTCATGAGGTATTTTTCTTTTTTTACTAGAATTTCTTTTAAAAAATTGATGAAGTAGCACACATGAAAGAGAAAGAAGTGGGTGGGGGAAGGTGGCAGCAGCGATGGGGAGTTCAGGTGCCAGGCCGAGGCATTCAGGAAGGTGAGGAAGGGAAGGAGCACTGGTCTGGAGAGAGCTCTGATGGCAGGTGGATTCCAGAGTCATGCTTTCTCTCTCAGGTTTATCTTCCGTTTCCAGCTTCTGTCTTATTTTAACAGGCAGTGTTTGTCGATCTTGACTTAGACGAATGTTATACACCTATCTGAAAATATCTTTATATCGTCTTATTTGTGAAAGATATCTACACTGGGCAGAGTCTAGGTAAGCAGTTATTTTCTTTCAGCACATTAAAGATTTCATTTTAATAATTTCTGACTTTCACTGTTGCTGTTGAAAGTTAGTCCTTCTTTCTCTTGGCTAATTTGCCTTTTTTTTTTAAGATAAGCATTTCAACAGAAGTATATCACACATAAAGTATGCAAATAAAAAATGTACAGCTTAATTATCATAAAGGGACTCACTGTGTAATTACCATCCAGAAATATGAAATACATTACCATACACTGAAAACCACCTTTAGGGTTCTTTCCTATGTTAACTTCCAGAGAGTTCATTGATTTACTCTTCATACTTAGTTCTACAATCCACCTGGAATTGATTTCACACACAGTATACAGTAGGAGCTGGGAACCATTTTTTTCCATATGGATATCCAGTTGACTCAATATCATTTATTAAAGGCCCTCTTTTTCCACTGTTATGTAGCCACCTTTGTCATAAATCAAGAAGTATCAAGGTATGCACGAGTGGATTTCTTTCTGTACTCCCTATTCTGTTCCAGTGGATTGTCTATCCTTTCACCAACACCATATACTGTCTTACTCACTGTAACTATATAATCAATTTTGATATCTGACAGTATAAGTCTTTTAACTTTGTTCTTTTCAGGATAGTCTTGGCCATTCTTGACCTTTCATATTCCCATATAAATTACAGAACTGGCTTGTCGATTTTCTCACGTCTACACAGCTTTAATTAAACCTATTCCTAGGTATATATCTGATATATTCTGATGCTATTCAAAATGATATGGTTTTTAAAATGTTCTTTTTCTAGTTGTTATGACTGTTTTTAAAAATGACTGATTTATATTATGTTGACCATGTATTCAGAACTGTGACATTAGATCTAATTATTTGTAAACTATTTTGAATTTTCTGTGTAACTGTCATCAGTGAATAATTATAGTTTTATTTTTTCCTTTCCAATTATGATAGTTCTTTTTCCTCATTGCGCTAGCTATACTTTGATGATATTAAATAAAAGTGGGAACAGCAGACACACTTGTCTCATTCCTGATTTCAAGGGAAAGTTTATAGTGTTTCACTGTTAAATATGTTCTTGATTGTGTTTTTGTAGAAAACATTTTTTTCATGAACAGGTATTGACTTTTATCAATGGCCTTTTCTACAAATATAGAGGTTCTTTTTCCCCCTTTATTCTGTTAATATAAGTGAGACAGGTTTCTTTCTTTTTTTTTTTTTGAGACAGGGTCTCCCTCTGTTGCCCAGGCTGCAGTACAGTGGTGCAATCTTGGCTCACTGCAACCTCTTCCTCCTGGGTTCAAGCAATTCTCCCAACTCAGCCTCCTGAGTAGCTGGGACTACAGGCATGCGCCACTACTCCCGGCTAATTTTTCTATTTTTAGTAGAGATGGGGTTTCACCATGTTGGCCAGGCTGGTCTTGAACTCCTGACCTCAAATGATCCACTCACCTCAGCCTCCCAAAGTGCTGGGATTACAGGTGTGAACCACCGTGCCTGGCCCTGATTGATTTTTGAATGTTAAATCTTACATTCCTAGAACGAACCTAACTTGTATTACCCTTTTTATATATTGTTGAATTCATATGCTAATATTTCATTCAGGATTTTTACAACTGTGTACATGAGACAGATTAGTTTTTATTAAAATGTCATTGTAGGCTTATATATCAAAGTTATGCTGGCTGCAGAGAACAAACTAGAAAGTGTTTCCTTTTATGCTCTTTTTTTTTCTGGAAGAGTTTTGTATAAAATTGGTTAATATTTCTTCCTCAAATATTTGAAAGAATTCCTGGGCCTGGCGTTTTCTTTGTGCAAAGTATTTTAACATGAATTTAATTTCTTTAATACAGATTTTCTATTTCTTCTTTATTGGTTTTGGCACACTGCTTTTTCAGTAATTTGTCCATTCATCTAAATTTTTAAATTTATTGATATAAAGTTGCTCATAAGATAGTCTTACTCTTTAAATAAATGTCTTTAGGTTTTTTGATATTCATAATTTGTACTTCCTTTTCTTTTTTGCTTTATCAGTCTTAAGTACTTTATCAACAGTATTTGGCATTTTAAGGAAATTAAGTTTGGCTTTATCATTAATAATTTTCTGTATTGTGTGTTTGTTTTCTGTTCCATTAATTTACGTTCTTTATATTTACTTCTACTTTCTTTTGGGATTTGCTGTTTTTTAAATCTTTCTTATTTCCTGAGCTATATACTTTTCTGATATATACATGTAAAGTTACACATTTCCTTGTAAGCATGGCCCTAGCTGCATTTTACATTTTTCTCTTTTATCACATTTTCAATTACATTCTGTTCAAAAAAAAATTTTTTTTTTTTTTTTTTTTGAGACGGAGTCTTGCTCTGTCACCCAGGCTGGAGTGCAGTGGCATGATCTTGACTCACTGCAACCTCTGCCTCCCAGGCTCAAGTGACCCTTACACCTCAGCCTCCTGAGTACCTGGGACTACAGGCGCGCACCACCATGCCCAGCTAATTTTTGTATTTTTTGTAGAGATGTGTTTTGCCATGTTGCCCAGGCCAGTGTCAAACCCCTGAGTTCAAGTGATCTGCCCACTTTGGCCTTCCAAAATGCTGGGATTACAGGCATAAACCATCATGCCTGGCTACTCAAAATATTTTAAAATTTGCATTACAATTTTGACCTGGGGTTATCAGACATGTACTGCTTAATTTCTAAACATTTGGGACTTTTGAGTTATCTTTTTGTGATTATAATCCCTGCAATTTGTTGAGACTTCCTTTATGGCACAGTGTAAGGTTAATTTTGGTAAATGTTCTACATGTATTTAAAAGAATATGTATTTAGTAGTTGGATGCAGTTCTCTACGTATGTCATTCAGGTTTAATTAATTAACTGACCCGTTATTTATCTATCACTGAAGGAAATATGTTAAAATCTGAAATTGTAAATTTACTTGTAGCAACGCCAGCTTTTGCTTTACAAAATTTTAAGGCATTTTATTAGGTGCATACAAATTTTAATTGGCAGTCACAAGTGAATTTCAAAGTCTACAGATTTGGCAAATTTCTATAGTGCAAAGGTAGTGTTAGTGCTCTGTTTATCTTGGGGCTCCTGTTTTCATTTAGATTTTGGATTATCTTGTCTGATTTTTTTTTAGAATATTTAAACACTTTTTTTTTTGAGACGGAGTTTTGCTCTTGTTGCCCAGGTTGGAGTGCAACAGTGCAGTCTTGGCTCACTGCAACCTCTGCCTCCTGGATTCAAGCGATTCTCCTGCCTCAGCCTCCCGAGTAGCTGGGATTACAGGTGCCCACCACCATGCCCAGCTAATTTTTGTATTTTTAGCAGAGACAGCGTTTCACCATGTTGGCCAGGTTGGTCTTGAACTCCTGACCTCAGGTGATCCACCGGCCTCGGCCTCCCAAAGTGTTGGGATTACAGGAGTGAGCCAGTGCACCTGGCCAGATTTAAACACATTTTATCTAGCATTTTTATTGTTTTCAGTGAGAAGGCTGGGCTGAATAACTCAGACTGCCAAATTGCAAAAAATGATTGATTTCTGTTTTAAGCCATTTTACCTCCCAATTTCCACTTATCCTTTCAATGGAACCCCGTTCTAAAGAAGCTTTTAAGTCATCATCAATGGTTATTTTAACTTTGTAAGAATTAACCTCTGGGCCGGGCACAGTAGCTCACGCCTGTAATCCCAGCACTTTGGGAGGCCGAGGTGGGTGGATCAACTGAGGTCAAGAGTTCGAGATCAGCCTGGCCAACATGGTTTTCCAATTCTAAGGCTGAGGAGAAATTTGAGAAAAGTTGGAAAATTAAAGGTTTTCAAGTACAAGTTATAATAAATTCTAATTTGTAAGTATTGGGTGTCTTTTAGGTTAAAAAGAATCTTTAATAAACTTTTCAGTAGTTTGCTTACCGGAAAACCTCAAGTGGGGCAAAGACAGTAGCAATGATGTCCCCAGAATGAGGCAACAAAGTTGTAGAGGTAATCGAGATTTGGATAGTCCAAGCAAAGCGCAGAATCACATCCTCTATTATGGCACAGTAGTAGTAGGCCTGAGAAATAATAAAGAAATTGAGTATGTTTTCTATCACATTTCTCATAAATAGGCATACCAATGAGCATATGTCCTACAAACAAGACTCACACATGTCCTACGAATAAGCACAGGCTCAAGAGGAAAGTTGTACTTTATTTTGCAGGGAAGTACACATTATATTTTAGAATGATTTCTACCAATTTAGTTTTTTCTTAAATGGTATAATATCCAGTATGAAGTATTACTGAATTTGAGTAATCATTAACAAATATATTTCACTGCCATACTGTATACCAGGCTTTCTTCTAGGGCCCAGAAATATAAGCTGGTTAAGATCCTTGATTGATTGAGATTACATTCTAACAGGTACAGTAGACTTAATAGCTAATATCAGAAAAGATTAGCAGATTTATTCACTGTGTTATTTGTACTTTTATTCTCCATTTGCCTTACCCTGTATTTGAAGAAAGTTTTGCCTTGCTTTTTGATGTGAATGAAATTAAGCTTGGATTTCACAACCGTGGTTGAATTTAAGAAATGTTCTATTTTTACATGGGGAAGACGGTGCTCAAGTAATACTTGCAGGTACTAGCACCCAGGATTTAGGAGTCCAGTCCAGTTTTAGCTACACAAAAGTCTTAAGTACACAAATTGCCAATAGAGCAGAACTATATAATTCATAGATTTGCTCATTATTAATCTCAAGGAAATCAGCTCTTTAAATATATGTATTTAATGAATGTGAAATTTTTGGGAAGGGGAACTACTATGTATTAAGCCATAATATTTATTTTACTTAAAAAATTTTTAAACAAAGTAATACTAGTCATTGTGAGAATGCTATTCTAAAAAAAAAAAAAGTCCCCTGGCCACCTTCTCTTTCCATCCCTAGAGACCGAACATTTTCAAAATTTGTAGCTACTTCTTCTACTTAGCCTCCATGTATTAAACTAATATGTGTAATAAGAATAATCCGGGGGAGGAGCCAAGATGGCCGAATAGGAACAGCTCCGGTCTACAGCTCCCAGCGTGAGCGACGCAGAAGACGGGTGATTTCTGCATTTCCATCTGAGGTACCGGGTTCATCTCACTAGGGAGTGCCAGACAGTGGGCGCAGGCCAGTGTGTGTGCGCACCGTGCGCGAGCCGAAGCAGGGCGAGGCATTGCCTCACCTGGGAAGCGCAAGGGGTCAGGGAGTTCCCTTTCCGAGTCAAAGAAAGGGGTGACGGACGCACCTGGAAAATCGGGTCACTCCCACCCGAATATTGCGCTTTTCAGACCGGCTTAAGAAACGGCGCACCACGAGACTATATCCCACACCTGGCTCAGAGGGTCCTACGCCCACGGAATCTCGCTGATTGCTAGCACAGCAGTCTGAGATCAAACGGCAAGGCGGCAACGAGGCTGGGGGAGGGGCGCCCGCCATTGCCCAGGCTTGCTTAGGCAAACAAAGCAGCTGGGAAGCTCGAACTGGGTGGAGCCCACCACAGCTCAAGGAGGCCTGCCTGCCTCTGTAGGCTCCACCTCTGGGGGCAGGGCACAGACAAACAAAAAGACAGCAGTAACCTCTGCAGACTTAAGTGTCCCTGTCTGACAGCTTTGAAGAGAGCAGTGGTTCTCCCAGCACGCAGCTGGAGATCTGAGAACGGGCAGACTGCCTCCTCAAGTGGGTCCCTGACCCCTGACCCCCGAGCAGCCTAACTGGGAGGCACCCCCCAGCAGGGGCACACTGACACCTCACACAGCAGGGTATTCCAACAGACCTGCAGCTGAGGGTCCTGTCTGTTAGAAGGAAAACTAACAACCAGAAAGGACATCTACACCGAAAACCCATCTGTACATCACCATCATCAAAGACCAAAAGTAGATAAAACCACAAAGATGGGGAAAAAACAGAACAGAAAAACTGGAAACTCTAAAACGCAGAGCGCCTCTCCTCCTCCAAAGGAACGCAGTTCCTCACCAGCAACAGAACAAAGCTGGATGGAGAATGATTTTGACGAGCTGAGAGAAGAAGGCTTCAGACGATCAAATTACTCTGAGCTACGGGAGGACATTCAAACCAAAGGCAAAGAAGTTGAAAACTTTGAAAAAAATTTAGAAGAATGTATAACTAGAATAACCAATACAGAGAAGTGCTTAAAGGAGCTGATGGAGCTGAAAACCAAGGCTCGAGAACTACGTGAAGAATGCAGAAGCCTCAGGAGCCGATGTGATCAACTGGAAGAAAGGGTATCAGCGATGGAAGATGAAATGAATGAAATGAAGCGAGAAGGGAAGTTTAGAGAAAAAAGAATAAAAAGAAATGAGCAAAGCCTCCAAGAAATATGGGACTATGTGAAAAGACCAAATCTACGTCTGATTGGTGTACCTGAAAGTGATGTGGAGAATGGAACCAAGTTGGAAAACACTCTGCAGGATATTATCCAGGAGAACTTCCCCAATCTAGCAAGGCAGGCCAACGTTCAGATTCAGGAAATACAGAGAACGCCACAAAGATACTCCTCGAGAAGAGCAACTCCAAGACACATAATTGTCAGATTCACCAAAGTTGAAATGAAGGAAAAAATGTTAAGGGCAGCCAGAGAGAAAGGTCGGGTTACCCTCAAAGGAAAGCCCATCAGACTAACAGCGGATCTCTCGGCAGAAACCCTACAAGCCAGAAGAGAGTGGGGGCCAATATTCAACATTCTTAAAGAAAAGAATTTTCAACCCAGAATTTCATATCCAGCCAAACTAAGCTTCATAAGTGAAGGAGAAATAAAATACTTTATAGACAAGCAAATGCTGAGAGATTTTGTCACCACCAGGCCTGCCCTAAAAGAGCTCCTGAAGGAAGCGCTAAACATGGAAAGGAACAACCGGTACCAGCCGCTGCAAAATCATGCCAAAATGTAAAGACCATCGAGACTAGGAAGAAACTGCATCAACTAATGAGCAAAATCACCAGCTAACATCATAATGACAGGATCAAATTCACACATAACAATATTAACTTTAAATGTAAATGGACTAAATTCTGCAATTAAAAGACACAGACTGGCAAGTTGGATAAAGAGTCAAGACCCATCAGTGTGCTGTATTCAGGAAACCCATCTCACGTGCAGAGACACACATAGGCTCAAAATAAAAGGATGGAGGAAGATCTACCAAGCCAATGGAAAACAAAAAAAGGCAGGGGTTGCAATCCTAGTCTCTGATAAAACAGACTTTAAACCAACAAAGATCAAAAGAGACAAAGAAGGCCATTACATAATGGTAAAGGGATCAATTCAACAAGAAGAGCTAACTATCCTAAATATTTATGCACCCAATACAGGAGCACCCAGATTCATAAAGCAAGTCCTCAGTGACCTACAAAGAGACTTAGACTCCCACACATTAATAATGGGAGACTTTAACACCCCACTGTCAACATTAGACAGATCAACGAGACAGAAAGTCAACAAGGATACCCAGGAATTGAACTCAGCTCTGCACCAAGCAGACCTAATAGACATCTACAGAACTCTCCACCCCAAATCAACAGAGTATACATTTTTTTCAGCACCACACCACACCTATTCCAAAATTGACCACATAGTTGGAAGTAAAGCTCTCCTCAGCAAATGTAAAAGAACAGAAATTATAACAAACTATCTCTCAGACCACAGTGCAATCAAACTAGAACTCAGGATTAAGAATCTCACTCAAAGCCGCTCAACTCCATGGAAACTGAACAACCTGCTCCTGAATGACTACTGGGTACATAACGAAATGAAGGCAGAAATAAAGATGTTCTTTGAAACCAACGAGAACAAAGACACCACATACCAGAATCTCTGGGACGCATTCAAAGCAGCGTGTAGAGGGAAATTTATAGCACTAAATGCCTACAAGAGAAAGCAGGAAAGATCCAAAATTGACACCCTAACATCACAATTAAAAGAACTAGAAAAGCAAGAGCAAACACATTCAAAAGCTAGCAGAAGGCAAGAAATAACTAAAATCAGAGCAGAACTGAAGGAAATAGAGACACAAAAAACCCTTCAAAAAATCAATGAATCCAGGAGCTGGTTTTTTGAAAGGATCAACAAAATTGATAGACCGCTAGCAAGACTAATAAAGAAAAAAAGAGAGAAGAATCAAATAGACACAATAAAAAATGATAAAGGGGATATCACCACCGATCCCACAGAAATACAAACTACCATCAGAGAATACTACAAACACCTCTACGCAAATAAACTAGAAAATCTAGAAGAAATGGATACATTCCTCGACACATACTCTCTCCCAAGACTAAACCAGGAAGAAGTTGAATCTCTGAATAGACCAATAACAGGCTCTGAAATTGTGGCAATAATCAATAGTTTACCAACCAAAAAGAGTCCAGGACCAGATGGATTCACAGCCGAATTCTACCAGAGGTACAAGGAGGAGCTGGTACCATTCCTTCTGAAACTATTCCAATCAATAGAAAAAGAGGGAATCCTCCCTAACTCATTTTATGAGGCCAGCATCATTCTGATACCAAAGCCGGGCAGAGACACAACCAAAAAAGAGAATTTTAGACCAATATCCTTGATGAACATTGATGCAAAAATCCTCAATAAAATACTGGCCAACCGAATCCAGCAGCACATCAAAAAGCTTATCCACCATGATCAAGTGGGCTTCATCCCTGGGATGCAAGGCTGGTTCAATATACGCAAATCAATAAATGTAATCCAGCATATAAACAGAGCCAAAGACAAAAACCACATGATTATCTCAATAGATGCAGAAAAAGCCTTTGACAAAATTCAACAACCCTTCATGCTAAAAACTCTCAATAAATTAGGTATTGATGGGACGTATTTCAAAATAATAAGAGCTATCTATGACAAACCCACAGCCAATATCATACTGAATGGGCAAAAACTGGAAGCATTCCCTTTGAAAACTGGCACAAGACAGGGATGCCCTCTCTCACCGCTCCTATTCAACATAGTGTTGGAAGTTCTGGCCAGGGCAATCAGGCAGGAGAAGGAAATAAAGGGTATTCAATTAGGAAAAGAGGAAGTCAAATTGTCCCTGTTTGCAGACGACATGATTGTTTATCTAGAAAACCCCATCGTCTCAGCCCAAAATCTCCTTAAGCTGATAAGCAACTTCAGCAAAGTCTCAGGATACAAAATCAATGTGCAAAAATCACAAGCATTCTTACACACCAACAACAGACAAACAGAGAGCCAAATCATGAGTGAACTCCCATTCACAATTGCTTCAAAGAGAATAAAATACCTAGGAATCCAACTTACAAGGGATGTGAAGGACATCTTCAAGGAGAACTACAAACCACTGCTCAAGGAAATAAAAGAGGACACAAACAAATGGAAGAACATTCCATGCTCATGGGTAGGAAGAATCAATATCGTGAAAATGGCCATACTGCCCAAGGTAATTTACAGATTCAATGCCATCCCCATCAAGCTACCAATGACTTTCTTCACAGAATTGGAAAAAACTACTTTAAAGTTCATATGGAACCAAAAAAGAGCCCGCATCGCCAAGTCAATCCTAAGCCAAAAGAACAAAGCTGGAGGCATCACACTACCTGACTTCAAACTATACTACAAGGCTACAGTAACCAAAACAGCATGGTACTGGTACCAAAACAGAGATATAGATCAATGGAACAGAACAGAGCCCTCAGAAATAATGCCACATATCTACAACTATCTGATCTTTGACAAACCTGAGAAAAACAAGCAATGGGGAAAGGATTCCCTATTTAATAAATGGTGCTGGGAAAACTGGCTAGCCATATGTAGAAAGCTGAAACTGGATCCCTTCCTTACACCTTATACAAAAATCAATTCAAGATGGATTAAAGATTTAAACGTTAGACCTAAAACCATAAAAACCCTAGAAGAAAACCTAGGCATTACCATTCAGGACATAGGCGTGGGCAAGGACTTCATGTCCAAAACACCAAAAGTAATGGCAACAAAAGCCAAAATTGACAAATGGGATCTAATTAAACTCAAGAGCTTCTGCACAGCAAAAGAAACTACCATCAGAGTGAACAGGCAACCTACAACATGGGAGAAAATTTTCGCAACCTACTCATCTGACAAAGGGCTAATATCCAGAATCTACAATGAACTCAAACAAATTTACAAGAAAAAAACAAACAACCCCATCAAAAAGTGGGCGAAGGACATGAACAGACACTTCTCAAAAGAAGACATTTATGCAGCCAAAAAACACATGAAGAAATGCTCATCATCACTGGCCATCAGAGAAATGCAAATCAAAACCACTATGAGATATCATCTCACACCAGTTAGAATGGCAATCATTAAAAACTCAGGAAACAACAGGTGCTGGAGAGGATGTGGAGAAATAGGAACACTTTTACACTGTTGGTGGGACTGTAAACTAGTTCAACCATTGTGGAAGTCAGTGTGGCGATTCCTCAGGGATCTAGAACTAGAAATACCATTTGACCCAGCCATCCCATTACTGGGTATATACCCAAAGGATTATAAATCATGCTGCTCTAAAGACACATGCACACGTATGTTTATTGCGGCACTATTCACAATAGCAAAGACTTGGAACCAACCCAAATGTCCAACAATGATAGACTGGATTAAGAAAATGTGGCACATATACACCATGGAATACTATGCAGCCATAAAAAATGATGAGTTCATGTCCTTTGTAGGGACATGGATGAAATTGGAAACCATCATTCTCAGTAAACTATCGCAAGAACAAAAAACCAAACACCGCATATTCTCACTCATAGGTGGGAATGGAACAATGAGATCACATGGACACAGGAAGGGGAATATCACACTCTGGGGACTGTGGTGGGGTCGGGGGAGGGGGGAGGGATAGCATTGGGAGATATACCTAATGCTAGATGACACGTTAGTGGGTGCAGCGCACCAGCATGGCACATGTATACATATGTAACTAACCTGCACAATGTGCACATGTACCCTAAAACTTAGAGTATAATAAAAAAAAAAAAATTAAAAAAAAAAAATAAACTAATATGTGTATAGTGTTATATCTTGATTACTCAATTTTAGATATTATTCACTGACTGATGATTATGATAAATTTAATGAGGATTATTATGAGGATTTTAACACATTCACATGGCTCACTGTTCCCTCTCCTTCCTCGCAATATAGTGATAATGCAATTTTTGGGTAAATCCACATTCACTTTATTATTAGGCTTAACTGAAGAACTGCAATTTCATGTGCCTTTCAGAGTCAGTCTTAAGCTATTCACCATGACCAATGTGGAAACTGGTGTCACCAAAAATGTGGAAGTCTTTCAGGAGGAATACACTTATCTTTGAGGTCAAGAGACACAGAAAAATTAAGTGTGAATATAAAGATGACAAAAATTGTTCCTGGACCTGGGATGTGGTGCTTAATATTATGCATTCCTAAGAACTGATTTTAAGAACTGTTAATCCCTAAGAACTGATTTTAAGGTTCATATACCTGTGTTCTAAATTTTTAATGAAGCTCCACTGGATTCCACACTTTTCAAGCTGGATGAATTTTATTCCAACTATCTGCCTTTTGTTTTAGTTTTTTGTTTTTGTTTTTTTTTTTAAGACAGGGTCTTGCTCCATCGCCCAGGCTGGAGTACAGTGGCATGAACATAGCCCACTGCAGTCTTGAACTCCAGGGCTCAAGTGATCCTCCTGCCTCAGCATCCCGAGTAGCTGGGGCTACAGGCGTGTGCCACCATATCCAGTTATTTTTATTTCATTTTATTTTAGTAGAGTCAGTGTCTCACACTATGATGCCTAGGCTGGTCTGGAACTCAAGCAATTCTTCTGTCCTGGCCTCCCAAAGTGCTGGGATTACAGGTGTGAGCCACCACGTCTGGCCAGTATTTTTTAAAATTAAAGGAATGTGGTGATCCAGCAGAACATCTTTCTTATAAGTTTGCAAATTATAATGTAGGAAAGTATTTATTTTGTTTTTTAGAGTCATGAAAATATGTAACAGCAAAGAAACTAAGTGAAAAATTATATTCACTAATTTTATTACCTAGAAATCACTATGTTAGAACTATGTAAAAGCGGGAATGGATCAACATTTATATAAAGATACAAACAATTTATCTAAGCAATTATCATAATAAGAAACAAATGTTTTGGGAGGCCGAGGCAGGCGGATCATGAGGTCAGGAGACTGAGACCATCCTGGCTAACACGGTGAAACCCCGTCTCTACTAAAACTACAAAAAATTAACCGGACGTGGTGGCGGGCGCCTGTAGTCCTAGCTACTTGGGAGGCTGAGGTAGGAGAATGGTGTGAACCTGGGAGGTGGAGCTGGCAGTGAGCCGAGATCGTGCCACTGCACTCTAGCCTGGGTGACAGAGCAAGACTCTGTCTCAAAAAAAAAAAAAAAGAAACAAATGTTTTATAGCTCTCAGAGGGCAAGAACAATGTAAACAGAAATAAAACACACATATTTGGTGAGCACAAAAGGGCCATTTTTAACTGAGCTCCTATCTACTCTCTGATTATTAATTTTCTTTTCAAATTAGATTTATAAAAATATGTCTAATATCTTGGTCATATATTCTAATTTCTCACATTGGGGGTATTGCTATAGTTTAGGTAAAAAAGATCACTGTCAACAACTCTCCCCTTTTCCCCTTTATTTGTTCATCTGAAGTTACTCTACATATCATTCTTTGAATTCACCATTCCTCACACCTGAAAATGGCCTTCCCTACTTACCAATTGAATATTACACATCCATACACTTTTCCAAATACAATTTTAAGGTTCTAGTGACATGCTGATAGAGTAGAAAATGTTAGTGACCTAATCTACACTTCCCTCTCCATCACAGAATTTTAGACTGGGAAAAGATCAAGAGATAATCTAGTTTAACATACTTACCTCATAAACAAGAATCCACTATAGTCTGGTTGCAGACAATTATATAGCTAGTTAGTGAAAGAGCTGGGATTAGAATTTACATTCACATTCAGGATTACCAGTTCATTGTTTAATTTCTTTCAAGGTCTAATCATGGTATTTATCCTTTACTAAAATATCTGAGTACAGATATTTTTGATTTTTTGACTTTTTAATTCAGCCCCTCTTGTCTTTTTATTAATACATAGAAAAAATCCTAAAATAATTCCTAAAGAATTATTCCTAAAGAATTATCTATGTTTTCTGATTGAAATGGCACTTGATTTTAACAAATATTAGATGAAATAAATGAAAGGAGAAGTCTTCTTGATGCAATCAAGCAGAGTCAGCCACTCCTTCTCCTTTGTCTTTTCATGACACTTTTCATTTAGTCAAGTATTTATTCATTCATCCCAGAAACATTAAGTCTACTATAGACCAGTAATTATGCTTGGAAGTGAAGAATATGGACACCTAAGCACATTATTATAATACAGTGTGATAACTGCTATAATGGTAGTTTATATAGGGTAAAAAAAGATTAAGATGAATAGCTGACTATGCTAGGAAAAATAAAGAAAGGCTTCTTGGAGAAAGTAACACTTAAACTGACTTTTAAAGAGGAGGAACAGGTGTTTACAAAGCAGACGAGAGAGAGTGTTTCAGACTGAGGGCATTCCATGTTCAAAAACAAATCATAAACTACAGTAAGTTATTTATTCTTCCATTCCAGTCTTTATCGCATTGTATTGCAATTTGTTTACTTATCTGAACATAGTTTATGGCTTTCCTTGAGAATGAGAATTTTACTTTGTTTTGATTTCCTATAGTACCTAGCATATAGTAAACATCTAATATATTTTTGCTGACCGAATGAATTAGTATTTTTGTTAATTATTTTTCTAATTATATTAGAGTAATATAATTAGAGGTTGGGTCTGTACTGCAACAGGATTAGCTAGTGGTATACCTAAGTTTGTTCTTTTAAACAAACACACTCTTTATACATACTTTTTGGGGGTATACAATCTCTTCCCGGAGGAAAGTGTTCTCTCCAGCATTCTTATCGAAGAGACCCCAGTCCATCTTGAGATCCCAGATGAGGGTATAGCAGGAACTGATGATATAAAAGACAATCCACAGGTAAAAGAACACCATAGTGTCCGAGTGACCTCGTTCTGAAGAAAGAAGAGGGAAAGAGAAAAGAGAAAATTACTACATTTAAGTAAAATTTTTCATTAATAACACTAATTAAAACAGATTCTTAAAATAGCTCCATAAGAAAGCAAAGCTTTAAACAGATCGTAGGAAGATCACTGTCTAACAAAGGTTAAATAATAAATATGATTTCCCTGAGGTCCAAAGCAATCATCAAACATTTATTGAATACATAACACTTACACAAATGTATAAAAGTTTTGGAGGCTCTATGCTGAATACATAAAAATCTGTATAATTGCAATGAAGGCGTCGAATGTTACAAAAGATGCAATTTTAACTTTTGCCATCAGGTGGCAGCCTAGTGCAAAATATGAAAAAGATTCCTGAAACACTACTAACAAGGAATGTGCATTTGCTTCAAGAAATTCTTGGATTGTTTTTACTTTAGAACATTTCCTTCATACACTTAGATGTTGTCCATACTTATCATGATGGCAACCAGATAATCCTAAGTCTAGATAAAATGCCCGAAAACAACAGAGTGATAAGGATTTTACCCTTAAGGATATGTATGAAAGCAAATTTCTCTCAAGTCACAAAGCAAAGTATGATATTTTAGCTTTTCTTAGAGGGTGTTTATTGATACAAAGGCCTAATTTGCTGGGAACACTATAAAGTAACCTTTGGCTTTATGCTGAAAATACTTATTATAAGGCACACTAAATGAGAATAATGATTCACAAATATAGTTATACAATTTAATCATTTCTGCTTCATATACTATCTAATGAAATTCTTCTTTGGTAAGCTCTAGAGTCCATTGTGAAATGTCTCTAGGTGTGCTATAGGTATATAACTACTAATATGGTTCTGCATCACCAGGAAAAAAAGGCGTACAAATCTAATTCAAAAAAGTTTAAATTTTGGTCAGTTTCTCAAAGATATAGAAAGTGAAGGATATATCATGCATCGTTCATAATTTTTTTCTGTTAAAATAAGCAAGTGTTCATTAACCACTTTTAGGTTATATTAATGTGTTAATAAGTACAGTATGATTTAAAGGCACCCCTTAGAAGTTTATAATCTAGAGAGTGAAACATTCATTCATTATAAATTGATAAATTTGAGCTCAAAATGAAGTATAAACAAAGGGCTATGAGAGCACCAAGGCAAATGGGAATGTTTCCAACAGTAGGAAGTAAGAGAAAGCAGCATTTGAGTTAGTTCTAGAAGGATAAATAAATAGTATTGCAAAAGTCAGGCAGATAAGGTGAGGTCATTCGAGGCTGAAGGAAGATACTGAGAAGGCAGATAATGAGAAGGTGGGGGGAAGTACAGGTGTGTTTGAGAAGCTACAAGTTACCTACATCTAGTGTAGGTGACATATAGAAGATGTGAGAGAAATGGTATGATTTAAAATGAGGCTGAAAAAGACTCATCTGGGTCTGACTGTGGAACGCCTTCGTGGGCTTTAGGATCAGATCTGTATTTTAGAAAAACAACTGGTTGGCAAATTACTTGCAATCAATTAGTTAAAAAAAAAATAGTTGCCTTGGAGCTTCAGTGTTGTGTGAACATCAGTTCTCATCAGCTTATGAGAGGCCAATTGTTAAATTTTCAGAAACTCTGGAAGCTGGTTGTCAAACTCAGTCATTATTAAAAATTAACTTACATAACTTTATAAATAGCTATATTAAAACAAAGGTAACACATACTCAAAATTCATTACTTTTTAATTTTATTAATTTTTGCTTTTATTCTCGAGGTTGGATGTATTTATTGTACTTGCATGATGGAAATACTGTATAATGCTGTGCTACTGTACATCTTTTCCTCACTCCACATTCAGTGTTATCATCTTAGTAGCTTGAAATTGGCTATAGTGGAAGTATTTACACCGTGGAAATCAGCAAACACTAGGAATCAATGCTCCTTATCCCCACTCCCACCCAAGAGCTGGTTTCTTGAACATATACTAGCACATCACTGTTTAGCTGCTTCTCTTAGAAAGGCAGTGGTAGGGAAAGAAATTGGTATTTCTTTAAATGGTCCACATGTGATTCTCATGAATAGCCCAGCTCTGATATAATCACATTTTCACATTTAAACTATTTCCACAAAAATTTTTCTTCATTAAAAACAAATTGAGCTGAATATTTATACTACAACATTATGTCATAAATTATCAACTTAAAATGCCTAAAAAATTATTTACTTACTATCTAGGTATAGTTCGTGTGTTCTGACATGTATTTATTTCATTCTATGTGCAGATATAGGGTCTAGCTGAGAAGTGTCATTCAATAATTCACATCATGGCTACATTAAAAAAGATACTACAATTCATCTACTAAGGTTCACAAAGAATAAAGCAAATTTGGCAACTTAGTAAAATTCACTCCTCATATTTTCAAAACAAGATCCACACAGAGATAAAAAGGCAAGGAACTTATTTATATTTACAACACTTAAAAAAACTGAATGTAAGGTATGTGCCAGGTATTTTACAAATATTGTCTCATTTAATTTTCCTAATAATAAGCTATTGTTTTGTCTGCTAGTAAAAGGACATGAGAATAGAGTAATAGATACATTTAGTAGGAGATAACAAAATGAGTATTTCTCAAGTGAGTATAGGTGATATGGAGTCTTATTACAGAAAGCTGATTTTCTTTCTTTCTTTACTAATTACTGAAGAAATAATCAAGTGTAAATTATTACATAAAAGGAGATTGTGAAGAGGAGTAAAAATGTTACATGAAAAAGGAATTAATAATGAAACTAAAAGCAATGTGCTAATTTTCTGGTATTTCTCCTAGATTTTAAATGTAAATCTTATCCTTAGAGTGTAATTCTTACAGTGGTACAATGGATCTGGTGTTTCTCTCTTGCAAGCCCATGTTATTTCTTTTTTTTTTTTTTAGTCACATCCTGCTCATTTTGACAAACGCAGAGTCATGTACCCATCACTACAATCAAGTTACAGACCATCTCCATAACTCCAAAGAATTCCCACACACTCCATTGTAGCCCCACGGACAACCACCAGTCTGTGTTCTCTTCTGGTAGTTTTGCCTTTTTGAGACAGTCACATAAAATGGAACCACTTAGTATATAGCATTTTGAGTTTGGTTGTTTTCACTTAACATAATATATTAAAGATTTATCCATGTTGTTGCATGTATCAGTGGCTTATTTCTTTTTCTTGCTAAATAGTATTACTTTGTAAGGATGTATACAAATTGTTTATCCATTTACTTGCTGATGAACATACAGACTGTTTTCAGTTTTTGACAATTCCAAAAAAGTCACTTTACAAATATTCATACACAAGACTTTATGTAATATGTTTTCATTTCCCTTGGATAGGAGTGAGACTGTTGGGTTGTATGGTAAGTGGATGTTTAACTTTATGAAAATCTTTCAAACTGTTTTAAAGAGTTATTGTACCATTTTGCATTTTCACCAGCAATGTAAGAGAAATTTAGTTCCTCCTCTTCTTCAACAGTATTTGATACTGTCATTAAAAAAAATTTAGCTACTCTAATAGACATTTTGTAGTATCTAGTTGTGATATTAATCTTTACTCCTCTGATGACTAGTGATGTCAGGCATCTTTTTATGTGTTTAATTGTCATATGTGTATCTTTTCTGGTGATGGATTTGGTAAAATATTTGGCCAAAAATTTTGAGGGGGAATTTCTTGTCTTATTATTATTGCATTGTCTGAAATTTTAAAATTTATTCTGTATTCCAGTTCTCTTTCTGATAGGTTTCCTGCAAATATTTTCTGTTAATGTGTGGCTTGTCTTTTCATTTTCCAAACAACATTTTTGAATGTATTTATTCACAACTTTAAAATTTTGATTAAGACAATTTTGATTAAAAACCATTTAAAAGTATCTTTCTTTTCTGAATCACACTCTAATTTTTTATATTAGAAGTCCATATCATTTCTATGCAATTTCTATGAAACATACATGAGGACTTACTGCCTTTTAAATAAATATTCTTACAGAATATTTCAGAGTAAGTAATATTTTATCTGATGAACTTCTTCAAACAATGATTAGCACACACTTGGTCTACAAATGCTACATTTTGGTCTCATTTTAATTACTACCATTATTTGATCTTTCCCATCTCTCAAGTGAAGAATGCCTCTCTCCCTGAAATCATCTGCCTTCATTGGTATTCAGGAGATGTCCTGGAAAGATATTATCACTTTAGGCAAGCAATTACATCTTATTCTCTCTTGGCTAACCCTGGTAGCACACTTTAGTGATATTCAGAATCACAGAAAATCAAGTCATTGCTATTCTACTCTAAGCTTCTATCCAGTATATGCCTGCCACATTCGCAGCATAATTCATATTGGACATATTTATGGCAATGGTATCCATGAATTTAAAACAAATAAAAATAAAAATAAATTTCTTACAGTTTTGTACCCATAGCCATTGTGTGAATGATTAAAAAAGAAAAAAGGAAAAGGACTAAAATACTAAAGGGACAATGTGGGAATGATTTTTTAAAAAGAGAGAAGGAAAAGTACTAAAGAGAGAAATCAGAAAAATTACATATGGAAATCAACTTGAATCATGTTTCAGGGTGGATATTTCAAAAATGAAAAATGTGGCACCACGTGAAAAGAGAACTGGTTTGAAATAAAATAAGAAAACACAACAGACTGGACCTAGTTTTCAAAGCCCAAACCTATAAAGGTAAACTGAATTATGACTGAGTTTAGGATCTAGCAAATCCTGGATCTATTTCTATTACCAAAAAAAAGAAAAATCAAACCTTTGAATTGTCAGATTAATACTGTCCTCCAAAAAATGAACAAATATAGATATTCCCCGATCTTTAGTGTGTTTTAGTTACATGTGAGATCACATATATTAATCCCTCAGGTGATTATCATCTTTATCCTTAGGGCAGACAAGACAGACATTATTATTCCCATTTTATAGTTAAGGAAACTGAAGTTGAGGGAGATAGTTAATAAATGGAAAGATAACTAGATTTAAAGTTAGGAGACCTGGGTTTGAATATAGACTGCCTCTTCCAAGCTTTGTGGTTACAGAAAATTCACATTCTTAAAATGATTGAGACAAAAAAGGAACTCATAGGGCCTAAGGCTAAATGGGGGAACCAGAATGAGGAATCCTCATCTAAGGAACATTTTGTACTAGACAGCATTGCTTCTCTAAGTCCATCTCAACTTTAAAACGAAAAAAGTAGTTTCATAAAACCATGAAGTAACATTACAAAATTTCTAACATAGTGTGGGAAAATAGAATTTAAAAGTTATTACACATATTATTGCTTATTTCATACTGTATATAAAATTATGTTTATGGGAAAAAAACAGAAGTGGTTATCTCAGATGAGGGAAGTAAGATTAAGGAAGAAAGTGGGCTGAGGAAAATAATTGTTATTAGGGTGGTTATACAAATGATTTAAGTAAGACTTTAATTTTGCTATATTTTTTGTTTGTTTTTGTTTTGAGATGGAGTTTCACTCTTGTTGCCCACACTGGAGTGCAATGGTGCAATCTAGGCTCACCGCAACCTCCACCTCCTGGTTCAAGCGATTCTCCTGCCTCAGCTTCCTGAGTAGCTGGGACTGCAGGCATGCGCCACCACGCCCGGCTAATTTTGTATTTTTAGTAGAGACAGGGTTTCTCCATGTTGGCCAGGCTGGTCTCAAACTCCCAACCTCAGGTGATCTGCCTGCCTCGGCCTATCAAAGTGCTGGGATTACAGGTGTGAGCCACCACACCCGGCCACTATATTGTTTTTATAATAAAAATAGTACATAGGAATTCCTTTACTAATTCAAGAACTGTTTACTACTGAGTATATACTATAACCTGCATTATTTATTGTATAACTAGAATACTAAAGACTAACTCCAAAAAAACATCTGCTTGCTTGTATATTCAGCAAACAAATACTGAATGTCTACTGGGTAACCTAACTAGGTACATTCTAGGGAATGAGAATATACTGAAGAACTACTAAGGGCCAAGTCTAAAAGAGGAGAGAGAATTTAGTCAAAAACACAATGTATAGGTACAGTTCTGGAACTGTGCATAGAAAAGGAATCAATAAGCCAGGAGGGGAAATAGCCAGGAAAATCTTCCTGAAGGAGGTACTACTTGAGCTGAATCATGAAAGGACTTGAGTTAAACAAGTTTATGGGGCAGAGAGAACCATTTCAAGCAGAATAGAAACCATTCATTCAATAAAGAGTACCTGCACATGCCAGATATTATTCTAGGTACCAGGTACACAACAGTGAATCTTATTTACTAATGGTCAGACAAATTTCCTGCCTCAGTAAAGCCTCCTATTTCGTAGGGGTAGACAATGATCAGATATATAAGTAAAGATGATGATTTCACACAGTGAAAAATACCATGAAGAAAACAGAACAGGATGATAAGACAAAATTCCTTCAGACAGTATTCAGGCAGAAACAGCGTTCAGGCAGAGAAGGTTTCTTAAGTTGGGACTTGGGTACTGACAAGGAACCAGCCACATTTTCATGTGAAGGTGGAGAAAGAGTATATGTAATAATAAAATTTCTAGTAACCATATTCAAAAAGGTGGAAACAGGTAAAATTAATAATATATTTTATGTAATCTATACCTAAAATGTTATCACTTTTACATTTAATATATAGTCAAAATAAAATTGATATCCTTCACAGTTTTTTGTTTCAAACTAAGTCTTCAAGATCCAGTTTGTATGTTATACTTACGGCACATTTCGATTTAGATTAGGCACACTTCAAATGCTCAACAGACTGATGTAGCTGGTAGTTAAATTATGCAACAGTGCAGCTCTAGGTATCTTTGGGGAGATGAGTTTGAGGTGTAAAGATTGAAAGCAGTGTATTAATATGGCTGTGGCAACAGCCCAGTGAGAAACAATGAGGACTAGAATTGAGTATAAGTTTAAGGAACAGAGAGGTAAGGCAAAAATTAAGAAATACTTGGGAACTAAAATTGGCAGGACTTGGTAAATTTTGAAGGTGAGATGAAGGATACAGTCAAAAATAACTCCTAGTTTTTAACCTGGGTGAGTGGCATGGTGCCATAAACTAGGTTAGAGAACATGGGGCTTGAAGCATGCTTAGGAAAAAAAATGAGTTTATTTTTTGACGTGTTGACTTTAAGGTACTTACGAAACATCGAGGTGGAGGAAGCCCAGAAAACAACTGGAAAAAACTAAAAAGCTTCAGATACAGACTGGGGAGTCACACAGACAGTGGTTGCAACCATCAAAATAATTTAGAAGCTCTTTCTATGAAAAGGACAGGCTACAATGAGAGATAAGTCTTCCATCTATAAGGGGAATCACACTGTGTTTGACTACACTTGGTTGAGTTTATTTCCAGTTTTTTTTTTTAATACCAAAGACTCAAAGAGATGAGAACTCTCTGAAATGTTACAGAGCTTCTCTTTATCTCTTAAAAAATTTAAATTCTAATTCTATGTTTGTTTACATTTCAAGGTTTCTAAATATGTGTTAATTACTATAGAGTTATTGTGGTTATAGGAATGGAGACAGTAAGAATAAGAATAGATAGATTACTGTTTTGAGATGCAGGATAGAGAAAAGGAAAAAAGACTAGACCAGATGGCTTAATGAGGTAAGGGAAATCTTTTTAGAGTAGGGGACTCTTAAGCATGTACATAGGCTAGAAGGAAGGAGCCAGTAATGACAAACAGTTTGAAGATTTGGGAAAAACAAGGGACAACTGCCAGAGCTAGATCCTGGGACAAGGGGAAATGAGAGCAGTGCACAGGAGGAAGGACACCTTGTTACTTTAGACTGGGGAAAATACAGTAAAAAGGGGTTTAGATTAAATAAGCATGTAGGGAGAAGGTAGCTGAAGGAAAATGATTCCTGATAGCCTCAATTTTCTTAAGCTAGTAGGAGACAAGGTGGTCTGTAAGAATAAAGAGGAAAAGGCTGAGTTAGGAGCTGAGAAAAGCAATGAAAGTTATAGTAAAACCGTCCCCCCTCCCCCCACTTTTTTTTTTTTTTTGAGACACAGTCTCACTCTGTCGCCAGGCTGGAGAGCAGTGGCATGATCTCGGCTCATTGCAACCTCTACCTCCTGGGTTAAGTGATTCTTCTGCCTCAGCCTCCCAAATAGCTGGGACTACAGGCACACACCACCACACCCGGCTAATTTTTGTATTTTTAGTAGAGACGAGGTTTCACCATGTTGGCCAGGCTGGTCTCGATCTCCTGACCTCATAATCTGCCCTCCTGGGCCTCCCAAAGTGCTGGGATTACAGGTGTGAGCCACTGTGCCCAGCTGTAAAAACCCCTTTTCAAGTTAACATTTTTGAGATAAAAAATTTAATAATATGTTAACAAAGGACAAAATACATTAAAGTTTAGAAAAAAGTTAATCTCTCCTTCCTATGACATTCTTTTCACAAAACATTTTGCTTGTGCTTATACTGTCTTTCATTCTGTATATACACAATTTTTTTCTTTCCTGTAATATTGTATTCTATCTAGCATTGTGAAAAGAATTTAACTTTAGAGTAGAGCAAATTGAATATATATTTGTCTTTTCCATTAAATTGTAATGTCTTTCACAGAAAGATCTCACATCAGCATTTTTCTAGGGCCCATGTACCATGCTGGACATAGTAGGGGCTTAATTAATATTTGCCAAACTGAATTGAGGCTATGTTTCACTCATTTTTGTATTTTCTGCACAATGCTTTACCTTCCAACAAATACTTGGGAAAGGCAACATAGTCTCTGGGCAGCCTACACATATAATGTGTCCCTGAAAACACCTATTAAGTTTGTAGCTCCTAGGCCCTCCAGGCAAAATGAAATGGACAGCTGTGGCAAACAGAAAACTTTAAAACCAGATTCTAAGGCTTTGACAAAGGCAGGAGGTCAGTCACACCTCCACATTCCCTTATCTCATTATCAGCCGCCAAGACTTTCTTTCCTATAATTAAACAGAAACCAGTCCCTAAAAACAATGTGTGCAAGATTTCTTCCCCAACCTCAACAGACCATCTGACACTGTGGCCAAACTCCCCTCCCTTATCGTGCTTTTGCCACGATAGGTGACTAGCCTTACAAAGCATTCCTTTTTGATAAATGACTGCTGATCACAGACTCGTTCTGGCTGGTCCACAGAGACTGAGCACAAGATGCCTCTGTGCTCTGCTCTGTGTTTCACCTTTTGACACAAAGAGCCGAATTTCACTTCACTTTAATGTTAACTGCCTACTCCGAAGTGAACATGGGACATATGTAACATATATGTTTACTCACCACACATTTGGTTTCCCTCATAAATATTCATAAATTCTCCTATAACCTGCTAAATATGTATGCGGAGCTAACCCCACTGGGGATAAATTCCAACCTCTCCCCTTTGTAACTGAAGCCTATGTATTTGGTTTTGGCTGGAAGCTTAGTTTCCTGACCTGCAGATTGTAATCCTTTACAGGAAATAAAGCTTTCCTTTTGCTTCCTCTGCCAATCTCATGGTCTTTTGTTAATAAGTTGAATGTGAAAAAGTTAAGCAACAGACTTATATGAGGATAAGTTCCTGAGAGCTAAAAATAGATAAAGCAAAACCCCTATTAAACTTTCCTTGCCTTTTAGATACAACCTTTAACGGCATTGTTCTAACATTTTGTAGACATCATTTTTTTCCTTTACAACAAAACACAGCTGCTTTTAATTCAATGAGTGTCACAATGATGTTTAAAAGTTGCTGCTTTCTGCATGCCTAATGATTCCTATAGCTGTTTTAACTGTATTACACTTATGAGACATTAAAAAAATTGTGTGTAATATCACCACAGATAATTCCCACTGATTTCAAGAAAAACGAACAAAATACAACAAAATACAAAAAAAAAAAAAAAAAAACCACATGAATGCACTATTATTTGTGCCACAGAAGGTAAGGCTGCCAAAGCTCTCAGTTAGCAGCTAGCAATACCATGCAAAAGCAGGAAATGTTCTCAATCCAAAGGATAATTAAGAGGTAGGGTGTGTGTGTGTGTGTGTGTGTGTGTGTGTGTGTGTGTGTGTCTATAGTCTAATAACAAAATACCCAAACTGTCCAGTTTTCAATTAAAAAAATCACTAGTCATACAAAGAACAAGGAAGATCTCAAACTTAATGAAAAGACAATCAAAGATGTCAAAACTGAGATGATAGAGATGTTGGAATTACTGGACAAAGATCTCACAGCAGCTATGATAAAAATGCCTTAGCAAAGAAACAGTCTCACCAAAGATACAGGAAACACAAAGAAGAACCAAATAGAAATATTAGAAGCCAAAAATACAATAACTGAAATAAAACTCACTGTTAACAGAATAATAGAAGGGACAGAGGAAAGAACTGGCAACTGAAAGATAGAATAGAAATTTCCTAACCTGAACAAGAAAGAAAATAGGTTGAATTTAAAAAATGAAAAGAAGCCAGGCGCAGTGGCAGTGGCTCATGCCTATAATCCCAGTAATTTGGGAGGCCGAGGCGGGTGGAAAACTTGAGGTCAGGAGTTCAAGACCAGCTTGGCTAACGTGGCGAATACCCGTCTCTCCTAAAAATACAAAAATTAACTGGGCTTGGTGTGCGCCTGTAATTCCAGCTACTTGGGAGGCTGAGGCATGAGAAGTGCTTGAACCCAACGGGTGGAGGCTGCAGTAAGCTGAGATTGCACCATTGCAATCTGTGGGGGATACATTCCAAAACCCCCAGTTGGTGCCTGAAACCATGGATAGTACTGCTATGATAAAGTTTAATCTATAAATTAAGCACAGCAAGAGACTAGCAATAATAATAAAGCAGAACAATCATAATATACTGTAATAAGTTATGTGGAAGGCTGGACGTGGTGGCTCACGCCTGTAATCCCAACATTTTGGGAGGCCGAAGTGAGAGGATTGCTTCAGTCCAGGAGTTGGAGACCTCACCTTTACAAAAAATAAACAAAATTAAACCAGTGTGGTGGCGCACACCTGTAGTCCTAGCTACTCAGGAGGCTGAGGTGAGAGGGCTGCATGAGCCCAAGAGGTCAAGGCTGCAGTGAGCTGAGATTACACCATTGCACTCCTGCCTGGGTGACAGAGTGAGACCCTGTCTCAAAAAACAAAACGAAAACCATAAGAGTTATGTGACTGTGGTCTCTTTCTCTCTCAAAATAGCATAAAGTTTTCAGACTGTGGTTGACCACCGATAAGTAAAACTGCAGAAAGTGAAGGTATGGATAGGGTCGGGGGAATACTGTGCAAAAAAGGCAACAGGGGGGATCCTTGTGGTGATGGAAATGTTCTGTATCTTGACTGTATGAATGTCAATATTCTGGCTGTGATATTATACTATGTTTGTAAAGTGTTACCACTGGGGAAACTATGCAAAGGGTATATGGGATCTCTCTGCATTACTTCTTGCCATGCATGTGATTCTACAATTATCTCAAAACAAAATGTTTAATTAAAAAAAAACCACAGAACTTGACTGTTCCTCAAAACCTTCACTGAGTTAACCACTTCCTCTTTGAAACCACCTTATACCCTATACAATACTGATAATATAGTATTATTGCACTTCCATGTTCTATTGTAATTAGTCTATTTCCCTTACCAAACCGTGAGCTCCAAGAGGAGGTTTTAAAGGCAAGATATGTTTTGTTCATCTATGTATGCCTAGCATCTAGTAGTGCCTGATACATTGAAGATGTTTTGTAAATGTTTGTTGAATAAAACTGGATGTGACTGATGTAATCAAGAAAGTAATTTCATTATTAAACTATTTATATTCAATTTATTATCCATATAGATCCTTATTTACTGGCTCCTCAATAACAAAGTTACCTCTTCAGTGATTATAAAAGCATCAATGACACCATTTAGGACTTCCTTTCTTGACAGAGTTTAGCAACTTTTCTTCTGCTGTATCAGATACCCCTTCCCAGATCAGATCATCAGAACCTCTTCCAATATCTTTCTTATGTATGTGTGTCTAGGCTTATTTTTAAAAATCCCTTTCTGTTACACATTTGATCAACAGCCTTGGAAACATTCTTGTAGTAGGTTATTGCTGTAAGGAAAAGTTAAGACTTTGGAATAAGCAAAAATAATTACTATGCACTAAAATGGAAAATTATGCATTGTTTACACCATACCTTTCTAGGTTATGTTTCTATGGAGTTTGTGCCTTTTCTGGTCTTGGAGTTATTTTATAATTCTGTATAAATTGTGGATAAATGCCAATAATTCTGTCTATAGGCACACAAATAAATTCTGTCTGACGGAGGTCCAACAGATTCCATCTTACCCTCTACTCCTCCACCACACCCCACCTCCAGTAGAAAAAGCAAATTTTGTGTCCATTTGTAAATGGATATCAGCATTCCTTTACTCCACAGTAAAGGTTTGTTAACTAACCATCATGTGGAAAATATATTGTCTCTCCTTTGAACCAGTAGTGACAACTGGCTGGTTTCCTCTTTAATTCATGAGTTAAATAGAAGTTTGGTGTTTTTACATTAAAAAATATCTATTTCTGCTTTTCCCCACTCCTTTTGTTCTATAACCAAATAACAATTCTGGAGCAGATAAACTATGTGTTTCTGCCTTCTCTCCTGGAAAAGACACAATTTCATTTATTTAACTAAATGAAATGCTAACAACTATAACCACTTTAAAAGAAATATAAGGATACTATAATCCTTTTTTTTTTTTTTTTTAAAGACACAGGGTCTCAATCTGTTGCCCACGCAGGAGTACATTGGTACAATAATAACTCACTGTAACTTTGAACTCCTGGGCTCAAGTGATCCTCCTGCCTCAGCCTCCCAAGTAGCTAGAAATACAGGTGTGTACCACGACACTTGCCTAATTAAAAAATAATTTTTTAGAGATGAGGTCTCACTATGTTGCCCAAGCTAGTCTCGAACTCCAGGCCTTAAGTGATCCTCCCAACTTGGCATCCCAAAATGCTGAGATTACAGGTGTCAGTTACCATGCCTGGCCAGGATTCTATACATTTTACACAGTGTCTCAAGTGCTCATTTTATGAAAGCTTCAGGTAGTACATACATATGGGCAGAAACTTTTTTCTTAATTGAACTGAAAAAAGTGATAAACATAAGCTAAAATTATAGTCATTTAAAAATGGAAATAAGATTGGAGTACATCTTTAAGCAGCTATAATACAGAATATAGTAATCAGAATTGAATATAAAATAAATGCAGATCACAAAGATGTATTCTAGAAATGTGAGAAATAACAATATGTATTCCATATTATGGTTAGTTAACAAACCTAAAAAGGGAGTGAGAAGAAATATAATAGGAGATAGGCACAGAGAGAAGGAAAGCCAAAATCTCTTCCACGTTTTCTTCATACAGCCTGCCAATATTCTACACCAGTAAAACATATCAGATCTAAAAAATCCATCTGAAACAATTCTAAATATCAGAGTAAAACAGTCCAAAACTGTGATGCCTTTTTATATAAACCTTCATTTCATTTTTCTTTTAAATAAAATATTTTTAGAAGTAGAGTAAAACCTGTATTATCTCAAATGCTACCAAAAAATCAAAGTCAGTACTTCTGAAACACCTACTCACATATTTACTGTGGAATCTACTTCACCAACTGCAGTATCAATCCACTTTGAGATATAATTAAAAATAAAAAATTTCAATAGTCTCTAATGACTTTCAGCAGAATAAAAGCTGATGGGAGAAACAAAATCTTTTTGTTGGTGGGGAACTCCTGGGTCCCCTTTCTTGATGTGCTTTGTGGGTGTGCGCACGCATGTACCTGTATTGAGACTTCCACTGAAGTATAACTAACACTTGACTGTCTCTGCTCTGCTTTCTCATTCCTCTCTATGAAAACTTACACATATGTCCTTAAAACCTCCTTATGAAGTGAGTACCATTATCATCAGGCAACATGCCCAAGATTCATTGATCCAAAGCCCACACTCTCACCCAGTATGCTTTATTGCCTATGTACCATTCATCACTTGACTGCTAAGATTTTACAAATAGTTCAGTAGGAGGAAGTAGTATTCAAATCTACTTTTATTTGTCTCTATATTTGCTCAACACCACATCTGTTTACAACATCTGTTGTTTGCATGCACTTAATGTGTCCTCAGTGAATCACCTTTAGCAGAAGACATGGTAAAAATGCAAATTTTGGATCGCCCTAATCCTACTCAATTAGACTGAAGGTAAAACCCAAGATAATGCATTTTAAAGCAAGCATCCAAAGTAATTCAGATACACACCAAAATTTGAGGATCACAACATTATAGCACGCTGCCTTGTAGGAAATAACTTTTTAGAGTTAAAAAAAGGAATGAATCTAGAGTCAAAATTCTGGTTTTGCTACTTACTGTCATGTGACCTTGCGCAAGCAAAATGAGAATAACACCTGTTTCCTTTCTTTCGGAGTTGGTATCAGGTTCAAAATGACATAATGTCTGCCAACACATGACATATTTGCAAATAGCTCTATCAGACTAATAGAATGTAAAGAGCTAAAGGGGCCTTAGAAAGTCTAGGCCAACAACTTAAAAATTTTTTTTACCTTTAATCGTGATTCTAGTCATTGGTCTAAGATACAGAGTGACATATTATACGCACATGTGTGTATAGTATTTTGCTATACTTAGGAAGTATTCTTATATTCTTTCTTAAAAAATTAACAAACATCTCCTTGGCACCTACAGAGCTGACCACATGGCTTTTCTCCTTTGGTTTAGTGATATGGTAACATTTAATTTTTAAGGATTCCTAACACTGAATTATTTTTTGCATTACTAAAATATCTTAGTCATGGTATATTATTCTTTTAATATACTGCTCAGTTCTAGCTGCAAACATTTTATTAAGACTTTTTATAATGTTGGTGGGAATGTAAACTAGTATAGTCACTATGGAGAGCAGTATGGAGGTTCCTCAGAAAGCTGCATATAGGAACTACCACGTGATCTAGCAATTCCACTACTTGGCATTTCAGTCCAAAGAAAAAGAAATCAGTATAACAAAGAGACATCTGCAGTCCCATGTTTACTGCAGCACTATTCACAATAGCCAAGATAAAAAAATCAACATAAGTGTCCAACCACAGATAAATGGATAAAGAAAATGTGGTGTATATACACAATGGCATACTATTCAGCCATAAAAAAGAATGAAATCCTGTAATTCCCAGCAAAACAGATGGAACTGGAGTACATTACATTATGTGAAATAAGCCAGGCACAGAAAGTTAAACACCACATGGTCTCACTCATATGTAGAAGCTAAAAATGTTAATCTCATAGAAGTACAAAGTCCAACAGAGGTTACAAGAAGCTGGGAAGCATAGGGGAGAGAAGGATAGGGAGAGATTTGTTAAAGGATTCAAAATTACATCTAGATAGGAGCAATAAGTTCTAGTGTTCTATACCACAGTAGGATGACTACAGTTAACAATAATATACAGTTTCAAATAGCTAGAAGGATAGTGAGTGTTACCAACACAAATGATAAATGTTTGAGATGGATATCCTAATTACTTTGATCTGATCACATATACAGAACATCACTATGTACCCTATAAATATGTATAATTATCTTGTATCAATTTTTTTAAAGAATTTTTGTATGTATATTAATAAGTAACATTAGACTACAGCTTTATTGAGTGTGATATTTTTCAGAATTATGCTAGTTTTGTAAAGAGAAATAAGATGCTTTCCTTCTACGTTTCCAAACGGTTTAAATGGCACAAACCATTCCTTGAAGGTTTGAAAGGTTTTACAAAGTTTCACTTGTGAAAAAACTGTGGTCTGACACTTCAAAGACAACTTTCCCTATTCCTGCAATAGTTCTTAGTCCATAATTTAGAGTGTCTGCCTTCTTGCATTTATCTTGTTAATTTCTAATTTCCTAAAAATAAATGGTCCATTTTATCTAGACATTTACTCATAATTATTTTAAATTCTTCCACATCTATAATGAAAATCCCTTCCCTAATATTTTGCATGTGAGTTTTTTCACGCTTTCATCACAGATGGTGGAGAGGATATCAATACCAATTAACACCAGTTATAGTGTATTTACACAACTTAATCTTTATAATAAACTTATGAGGTGGGAATTATTCTCTCAATTTTACTAATTTTAAATCAAAGAAATCTAGTCACTTTCTCAGGGTAACATAATTAGTAAGTGGCTAAATTAACCTAGTCCTAACTCCAAAGCCCACATTCTAGTTCTCAATGTGAAAACGTGCCTTTCACTAAGATGGTGCTTTTAAAATTCTTACTGGAAGAAGGGTTGATTAAATTGAGAAGAGCTAAGTATTTTGCTCTTTAGGTAAGAAATACTACTTTCTGCAATAGAAAGTTTAATGACAGATTTAAAAATTAATTTCAAATATCAACTTTTTCAGTTGAGAAAGGAAACAGAATTAGTCTAATATTCATAAGTGAGAAGACTATATAACAGATCTTAGAGTTTCTGCCTAATTTTCTTCAGTGATTCAGTCTTTTCTATACCAGCTATGAAATGTGTTGTGTAGACTTCAACATTCTACTTTGGGAGATATTTACTTCGTTTGAGAAGATTCCTGGTAAGGATAAAATAGTTACAAGTAGTACAATTCTACCTTTAAAAGAAAGATGTTCTGGGGTATTATTCAGAAGCAACTAAAAAGTATTTAGAGAGAGGCCTGAGGAGCCCACAGGAGAGGAACAAGTAGAAATACAAATGCTACTTATCAATGAGATATTTAGGTAGATGTTTTATTTTCCTTCCTATTAAGTGGCATCATTTTTTTTTTTTTTTACTATGTGAAGAAAATATTGTGTGTAGTGTACGAAAAGTTTCTTCACTCTGAATATTTTCATGAAAACCGTATCTTATACCTATCCAAAGTATCAATGAAATTAAGTATTAGCCAGGCACCGTGGCTCACACCTGTAATCCCAACACTTTGGGAGCCCGAGGCAGGCAGGTCACCTGAGGTAAGGTCAGGAGTTTGAGACCAGCATGGCCAACATGGTCAAACCCCATCTCTACTAATAATACAAAAATTAGCTGGGTGTGGTGGTGGGCGTGTGTAATCCCAGCTACTCAGGAGGCTGAGGCAGGAGAATTGCTTGAACCTGGGAGGCAGAGGTTGCAGTGAGCTGAGATCGTGCCACTGCACTCCAGGATGGGTGACACAGCCAGATTCCATCTCAAAAAAAAAATAAATAAATAAACAAAAACAAAAACAAACAAACAAGAAATTCAACATTAGCCCACTGGTCTTTCGTTCATTACATTCTAAAAAGCATGCTCACAACATTCCTTATTTATTAACAATATAAATTGAGAAAATTGCTAGCCAGCTTTAACAAATTACCCTAACTACCCTTGACATTTTTTTTTTTTTTTTGAGATGAAGTCTCACTCTGTAGCCCAGGCTAGAGCGCAGTGGCGTGATCTCAGCTCACTGCAACCTCCGCCTCCTGGGTTCAAGCGATTCTCCTGCCTTGGCCTCCCGAGTAGCTGGAATTACAGGTGCATGCCACTCCACCTGGCTAATTTTTTATAATTTTTAGTAGAGACAGGGTTTTGCCATGTTGGCTAGGCTGGTCTTGAACTCCCAACCTCAGGTAATCTGCCTGCCTTGGCCTCCCAAAGTGCTAGGATTACAGGCGTGAGCCACCGTGCCCAGCCCCCTTGATATTTCTTAAGACCTAAAAAAGGATACAACACTAAGCAAATTAATCATGTCAAATGATTCTGCCATCACTTGAAACAACATTAATATGTTAGTTTTGTTTCCCTCCAATTCAAGAATGACTTTCGATTTTCTGGCAGAGAGAAATTATTTTCGTATTTTGGCCGAGTCCACATTGCTCTTAATTTAAGTGTGTCAGCAGGCTCAGGTCAGCTTTGGAAGACTGAGTTTGAGACTAGCCTGGGCAACAGTAGTGAGACCCTGTATCTAAAAACAATAATAAAAATTAGCTGGGCATGGTAGCACGACCCTGTAGTCCCAGCTACTCAGGAGGCTGAGGTGGGAGGATCCCATGAGCCTAGGAGTTTGAGGCTACAGTGAGATATGACCAAGCTACTCACTGCACTCCAGCCTGGGTGACAGAGCAAGACCATCTGTGAAAACAGACACACACACACACAGTCATTATTCTTCATCTACTATTTGCAGGTCCACTGTGTGACTTTTAACAAGCCACTGTATAATATTTCATATACTATGCAGTTACTGTAAGTAAGCTATTCTCCTATTGCTGAACATTTGTTAGATTATTTCAGTTTTTTACTATATAATGTTACAAAGATACATTCATTTTTGCCCAATTCTCTATTTAGGAAAAAGTTGTGGAAAGGTACTTACTAGGTCAAAAGGTATGAATGATTTTAAGATTCGAGAGAATTCCCAAATTGCTTACAAATTTATACTCTACCAACAGAATGAGTTTTCATCTCTCCGTACCCTTGCCAGTGATAGGCATCATCACTTCTTTGATTAAATATTATTTTAATTTATATTTCTGTTTTTATTACCAAAGTGGAAAATTTTTCATGTTTATTAGTTATGTTTATTCTACAAAATTAACTGTTTTAAGTCCTTTGCCACTTTAGACAAATCAGTTTAAATTGTTTTCTGTATCACAGTAGATTAGATTACATTTTAAAACTCTTCTCTCCCTTTCAGCCCATCCCTGTTTCCATGGCAGAAGTATACTTTCTTGCCCCATTAATGTAGGGTTTGGTGACTTGCTTTGGCCTAGCAGTTGCAATGGCCTTTGGAGGATAGCAGATATGAAGCAAGCAGAGGCTTAAAATTTGTGTAATAGGTCTTGTTTCTGTCAGTGCCATGTGAAGTTTCCCCTGGCTAAGTGGCTGCTCTTTCAATTGAAGCGCCAGAATGAACACACATGAAATAGACCCAAACCCAACCTGCAGTGAGGAGCCAAACCCTGCCAGAATAGCAGCCTGAAGGCTATCCAGCCGAGCCCAGCCTAGTCCAGTCAATTCCCAGCTGACCTACAGATGCATAAGCAAGAATGGATTAAAGCTGTTTTTAAGCTACTGAGTTTTGGGTTGGTTTATTATGCTGTTAATAGTCGATGAGTACACTTACTGTATTATATTATAAAACTCTAAGGGAAAGAGAGTCACATACAATTTATTATGTTCCTTAGAGTACCATATACTTAGCAGGAACTCAAGGTCTGTAAGTACATTTGCCTGCTCATTTTTTTCTCTTTCTTTTCTTTTTGCTGTAAATACCTAGATATGACATTTTCTGATGTTTATACTTTTCACCATAGCTTTCTCATGTAAAATTATGTATAATATAAAGTATGTAAATTAAAATGAAAATTAAAAATTCAACTTTCAAGCAATTGGTCTTCAAATTTCTCTTCAATTAGACAAACTCCTGTATAAAAAATTTTCAACCATTTCTTTTTTTCTTAGACGGAGTCTTGCCCTGTCGCCCAGGCTGGAGTGCAATGGTGTAATCTCGGCTCACTGCAACCTCCGCCTCCCAGGTTCAAATGATTCTCCTGCCTCAGCCTCCCGAGTAGCTGGGATTACAGGCGCCTGCCACCACACTCAACTCATTTTTGTATTTTTAGTAGAGATGGGGTTTCACCATGATGGCCAGGCTGGTCTCGAACTCCTGACCTGGTGATCCACCTGCCTCAGCCTCCCAAAGTGCTGGGATTACAGGTGTGAGCTACTGTGCCCGGTCAACTATTTCTTTTAAACACCACAGATCCTCTCTCAATTTCTAAGCAATAAAATAGTAGAGACTTTTTAAACTTTAAACTTTTGTACACGAGTGTTACAAATGCAACATAATTTATGTAGAAATGCCAATTACATCTATCAGTTTTAAGAGCAATTAAGAAAACAAAGGTGACTAGAGATAAGACTACCAAAATGGTATTGGGTGTAAGCATATGTGTTCTTTTTTTTTTTTTTAAAGACTTTTCTTTAAGTAACAAAGAAGATGCAAAGGAAATTTATTCAAAGCTATAATTAATATTTTAAAAGCAATTTAAGATGGGATATAATTATAAAACCATTTAAAAATAACAATGCCAAGTAGATAAAAACCACTCAAGAAATATTTGTTGAATTAAAGTAAAATTAATAATCAGGAAAAAAGTCTCATATTTGGCTTTACGGCATCGTCAGTTCTTAAGCAAATATTGCCAAGATAAATTCCCAAATAATTTGCTTATTTTCTGCATTATTAGTTAGGCTAGGAAATTACAGCAGAAATATATCAATTTTGAAAGAGTTAAAAATTTGAGCTACTTTAATAGTAAGCCAAGAATGAGAGCATTTATCCAAATCAGTTTTTAAAAATGTGTGTATATCTTTTTTTTTTTAAAGTTAATGAAACAAAAATTTCCCTAGAGAATGAAAAACAATTAGTGTTTCTATTATAGCATAAGAAGACTAAAATGTGGACATTTTGGCATAACAGTCTATTACTCAGGGTAGACAGAGGGTAATAAACTGGTCATACCCCAGGGAGGAAGCACTTCAGGACTATGTGTGCTCACTCAAACAATGATAGGCGCTGAAGGCCCTGAGCTCCTACTGAGGAATCCTCATTAGGGCGCACAGCAGCCCTTAGAGAACGTTAAACAAGAAGGGATCTAGAAAGATCTGGGCATTGGAAAACAACCACACAGACATAAATGAACTCTTAATTGTGCCGAGAATACCTCTTTGTTCCAAGTATTTTATAAAGTCTAGTAGCAAATGCTTTTTAGCAAACACTAACAAAAAGTCTAAAGTAAAATACAAAATCAAAGAGTAACAAAGAGCTAACTAAATCACTAAAAATTTACAAATATTTTAGAATGTTAGAAACTGTAAATGAAAAATAGAAAATCTAATGAAATGCTTTCCCTCAACAACCACTTAGAAAGAACAACATAATGGCCTTTTCTATTATTGTACCTCCCACAGGCTTTTCTTTGCCAAAGCCAAGAAACCTCAAGGACACACAAAAACCATTTAAAACACGTTTGTGCCTCCTCCAATCCCAATTCCAACAAAACACTTGTAGGAATTGCCTTCAAATTTAGCCATGTAATGAAATGTGAATTCTTAAAATATGGAGACTGGCTACTAGCTAAATTCCTTTGTTTCTAAAATCAATGATAGAAAAAATATACTGAAATATTTCAAACGTGTTTTCCTTTTTAATATAAGTGAGTGCTAGCTCACTTATATTATCATCCTTAATTTCCCTCAAATGGGCTGCCTAAACCTCCAACCTCCTCCCTTACTTTCCAAAAAATGATTCTAGACACACGGTTTACTCTTACATCTCAATTTTTACAAATCATGCAGCAAAACATGAGACACTCTGAAACAATCTTGAAAATGCCCCTAATATAATGCTGTTGCTATGGTAACTCTTGCAGGCTAGTTCTTTGAAAAGACTCAGATCTCTGAATCCAAACAAGGTTACCTCACTGTCTTTTACTCCTTGCCCCTCTAAAATTTATCCTTTGTAACAGTACACATACATTTCATAGAAAAGTATCTACCCAATTAATCATATTGAATCTTTTCTTTTGGCTTAATGATTATTTCTAAAGTCCATGTTTTCTAGTGCCTTTTCTCTTGGAATATTATCCAAGAAAATAACAGAAATCAAATTCCACTTATTTGATGTTTTTATTTTTCCCATTTCCCATGTTCTTTAACAAATTCTACTTCTGATCAATATTCAATGTCAAATTTTCTGTCAATGGTTCCTCTGAGTTGTCTTTTCAATCTTTTTCCCTCGATTTTAAGCTTTTTGGTTAAAAATTTTAGTGATATGAATATTTAACATGTAGCAACTATGAGTTTTTTTTTATTTACCAATATGATTAAGATATATAACCAATGGTCCATCTAAAAAGTGTTTTTGTTTCTGGTTTTTAAAAAACTTTGACAGTGAGTACTGAATAGTGTTCGGTGAGTAAGTAGCTATGTTACTTGGGCAAAAAGCCAAACACATTTCTAATCGATACTTGCCCTGTGCAAGTCCCCTGGCCAAGACAATCATTAAGGGTTTCTCTTTAAAAGGCTGTAAAGGAAGACACACATATAGCAGCTCTAGTCAGCAAAGAAAATATTTCATTTTATCATAAATTCCCTTTACGTAGCATGTTAAGAGTCTAAGGGGATTTCATGTGCACTCTATTATTTACTCCTTAAAACAAACCTGTGAAACAAACAGAATAGGTACCATTATCTCCACTTTAAAGATGTCGCTTTGTCTGGAAAAAAAAAAAATCCCTAGGCTGAAGAATAGAACTGAGAACTACTACACCTCCACCACTCACAAATTACATGTCCTTGAGCAAGGCACATAACAGGGTAACTAGAATCCTCCTTAACTTAATATAAACAATAGGATACAGCTTAGATGTTACCTCCAGAAGTCTTCCTCCCATTCTGAGGCCTAGGAGACTGAGTTAGAGACCTGTGCTGGGGGTTCTTTCGGTACCCTGCTTATCTCTTTATACTCTATTTTTATGCCTTTAAAAAAAAACTGTGGTAAAAACAAACAAAATTTACCATTTTAAGCCATGTCTAAAACAGTACACTTAACAATACTATTAAGAACCAATTAATGCCTTTTTACTTTGTCTATTCCCCCACTAGATTATAAATTATTAAGGGCAAGAATTGTGTTGTGCTTTGTTGCTATTTTTTTTAGTGCTTAGCACGGCATGTTACATAAAATATTCTTAGTAAGTACTTGCTGAATGTATGCCTGCTCTGCCTCCCTGTCTACCTATCTACCTGGTCATGCATCTAACTCAGAACTAGAATGAAGGAACGAGGTGCTTACACATGGACATATATACATATATATATATTTCAATTTTTTCCTCTCTGTTTTAAGCTTTTTAGTTAAAAATTTTAGTGATATGAATATTTAACATGTAACTATAAGGTTTTTTTTATTTTAGCAATATGATTAAGATATATAACCAACGGTCCATCTAAAAAATATTTTTGTTTCTGGTTTTTAAAAAACTTTTACTGTGGGCAAAAAATTTTGTCCAGTTTATATATATATATATATATATATACACACACACACACACACACACACACACACACACAAATATGTTAACCTGAAGTCAAAATTTTTTCCACTTGTCTGACTGATTTCCCAATTAGGGTATGAAGAGGATCAGAGTATGCCACCCCAAATATGTAACTTTGGCATAAGGATTATTTTGAGCTGAAGGTAACTAAGAAACCCTCAGATGAAGGGAAATATATCTGCCCTCCCTCTTTTTGTCTAAAAGCAGGGCATAAATTCCTTTTGTAAATGTAATATAAATTTCCATTTCTAAAGGTGACGCTGTCACTCCCATACTAGGAAGAGGAGGGCAACACTTCTTTTTTTTTTTTTTTTTTTTTGAGACAGAGTCTCGCTCTGTCGCCCAGGCCGGACTGCGGACTGCAGTGGCGCAATCTCGGCTCACTGCAAGCTCCGCTTCCCGGGTTCACGCCATTCTCCTGCCTCAGCCTCCCGAGTAGCTGGGACTACAGGCGCCCGCCACCGCTCCCGGCTAATTTTTTGTATTTTTAGTAGAGACGGGGTTTCACCTTGTTAGCCAGGATGGTCTCGATCTCCTGACCTCATGATCCACCCGCCTCGGCCTCCCAAAGTGCTGGGATTACAGGCGTGAGCCACCGCGCCCGGCCGAGGGCAACACTTCTTTACCAGAGATGACGCTTATCAATGGAGAAGACACCAACTTTGGTATGCATAACAAACCTTACTAAATAATCCTTTTCTTTCATTAGAATCTCCATATATTTACCTTTTCACAATTTACCATCCAGAAGCCCAATCCCCTACTTTTGTCTAAACTTACTTTTTCACAATTTATCATTCTTTGTAAAAATGGTATATAAGCCCCCCTCCAACCCCTAGTCTAAACACTTCTTTTGGGTCTTCCTTTCTATGAAGACCTCTGTGTACATAACAAACCGTTTCTTTTATTAATCTATCTGTTGTCAATTTCATTTGCAGGCCCCAATTACTTAAGAGGGTAGAGGAGTAAGTTTTTCCTCACCTACAGGTATATTGCAGATATTTTCCATAGCTCAGATGAGTGTAATCTGAAGTTCCAGATTTTTTGCAAAAGCACATTTAAAGAATATGATAAAATTATTTCATCATAAAATATTGCACTGGTAAATGTGTACTGAAATTAACAATATTTTTATTTTCCTAACAATTATTTGCATATGTTGCATTAGACAAAGAGCTTCTAAAATTAATAATCATACGATGGTCTACTGTCTAGGTTAGAAAGTTAATGACTCCAATGGCTGGTTATCAAATCCTTTTTCATTCAGTTCATGTTCAATTATTTGCTTTATTTATTTTCAACTCTTTGCTTTCAACCAAGAAAATTTCATTACTAAAAATATTTATTGATGACAGATCACTATACAATTTTTTGAACAAATAACTCAGAATTGGGTAAATAACCCATAAATAACTCACTGAACTCATAAAACTGTGGGATACTGCAACAACGAAACTCCTATTCTCATCTGCATAGCCACAAGATTTCTGAGTTTACTTATATAAAAACTGAAAAAGGAAATAGTAATAACATAAATTTATCTCATTAAGAAATGTTTATCTGCAACAATTACTTATAAAAATTAAATGTGTAATACATTTGTAATGTTGCTTTGATCAACTGTAGGTAATAATCAGGGTAATAGTAATTACAACCCAGAACAGAAAACAAATTAATCTCTTAGTGACAGAAATAATTTAATTTCAATTTACATGTTTATGTAGCAGACAAGTCATTAAAACAAAAATATATTACATTAAAATAAAGATACATTATAGTTCAACAGCAAAGAGATGGAAATTTTCTGACTATTGCACAATAGAAATATTTAGCAGTTTTATTTTAAAATGTGAACATTTAAAATACACTGAAACGGTATCTTTTGTAATTATTTAAACTTAAGATGAAAAATTTCAGTTGTAAACTTAAAAATGTCCGAAAGGTAATACGGTTTATAAAATTCTTTCAAGAAGTATGTCAGTAAGAAATGTCTTAAGCCCACAATACTATCTAAACTGTTACTTTTTTAGTTTAGATTTGTTTTAGATTTGTTTTAGATTTGGACTGTTCACAGATTTGAGGAATTTGGATTTTCAGCTTTTTACTGAATGCTATCAGTATACAGTTGACCCTTGAACAATATGGGTTTGAACTTCATAGGTCCGCTTAACATATGAATTTTCTTCTGCCTCTGCTACCCATGAAATAGCAAGACCAACCCCTCCTCTTCCTCCTCCTCCTCAGCCTACACAATGTGAAGATGACATAGATGACCTTCATGATAATCCACTTCCACTTAATGAACAGGAAAGATATTTTCTCTTCCTTATGATGTTCTTAATAAGATTTTATTTTCTCTAGCTTACTTGATTATAAGAGTACAGTATATATAATACACATGACATACCAAATATGTGTTAATAGACCATTTACTTTATCAGTACGGCTTCCAGGCAATGGTAACTATTAGTAGTGCTTTTGGGAGTTAAAAGTTATCTGTGGATTTTCAACTGTGTGAGAGGTTGGTGCCCCTAATCTCCAAGCTGTTCAGGCGTCAACTGCAGTTAAAGGTATATTATGTTCTAAAATATTCGACCAAAAAACAGTACTCATTTTTACCTGGGATGGAAGAAAAGTAAAGGGTTCTTTATAACTTAGTAAATGGAGTCATAAATACCATGTATTAAATCAGTTGCCCAATTTATAAATTCTCTAGTAACAACCTCCTGAATTATGATATATGCCTGGACTTAACAACAGCATTCCACAGTATGAGTTAAAATTATGGGAACTTTGGGGATGTGTTTCCTTCACTGACATACTTAAATTATATCATTTAACAAGAATGCCTACATGGTGGTAAAATTATTGGCTACATTTATCAATCCTACTCCAACCACAGAATCTACTGCAAAAAGTGGAATTATATTATAAATATCATCTGCTGCATCAAATCTCAAGGTTTATTGAAGCAATGTTCTGATCTTTTATGACCGTTAGACACACTTTAGATTGACAGCAATTTTGTAGCACTGGCCAAAGCTCCTAAAATATAGTCTCTCAATTAAGAAAAAAAAATCACTGAAAAAAAATTTTGCAAAGTATTTAAAAATAACTATTAATTTCAATTAGTAACATCTCTTTACAACCTACAGATGAAAAAGTGCAGCATCTAAGGTGTTGGTTGATGTTGACTTAAAAAGACAAAGATGGAACGCATTTTACTAAAAGGAAGTGAGATTGTTGACTGACAGTTCTTGGAAAAAGGTTAAAAATTCAAAAGGAGTGGCTGCATGTGGCTCAGAACTTAAAAGCCTTTTCTCTTCTCAACAGAAGAGCAGTCTCAAGTAATAATACGTTGCCATGGAGATGAGAAACTAGAGGAATCAGAGAACTCAATTTGCAGTTAAATGGGCTGGAAACAATTCTTACTACTTGGTGAAGGAAAGCGATTAAAAATATACTTGATTGCCACAGGGAATTTTTTTTCACCAAGACATTTCCCAACCTCATTAATGAACAAGGAAGTCTAAAAACAAATGGAAACCCAAGATATCCATAGATTGAACCCATTAAACATAATTCAGAATTTTAAACATTATCACAAATTATTATTCTGGGTGACTGTGCTTCTTTTCAATGGTACTTTATCAGTAGATACTGGAATGAGACTAAAACTGCATTCAAGAACAAACTGATATAACTGAAGGAACTGAAATTTCAGTGGAAAAAAAAGAGCATGACAAATGGAAAAGTAGCCAGAGTAAGAAATAGAGTCAGGTAGTAAAAATCCAGGTTTAAAAAAATCTCTTCAGAGTCAATCACAGAATACCTTTGTGAGTGCTGTAAAGGGCTGCAAACGTCACCATGAAGAAAGTTGTGGAGTATTTGCCAGCATTAACTAAATGAGGAAAGGCCCTTTTTGTGTCTCGATATCGGCGCAGGCACTGGATGAAGCGAAGCCAAGCAGGAATGCACTGAACAATGGCCCGCACACCATATGTATATTTGTGGCAAATTCCTGATTCTGTGAAGATTTCAAAGAAGAAAAATTACCATTGAAAAAAAGTAACTTGTTCACATCATTTAGCCATATAGTGTAGCTAATACCAAGTCTAAAAAAGCAAAAAACCTTCAGAATCACTTTCTTCTTTGCAACTATTATATTCTCAAGATTTTCTTTTTTTTTTTTGAGACTGAGTCTCGCTCTGTGGTCCAGGCTGGAGTGCAGTGGCACAATCTCAGCTCACTGCAACCTCTGCCTCCCGGTTCCAGGGATTCTCTCATCTCAGCCTTTTGAGTAGCTGGGATTACAGGTGCATACCACCACACCCAGCTAATTTTGTATTTTTAGTAGACATGGGGTTTCACCATGTTGCCCAGGCTGTTCTCAAACTTCTGACCTCAAGTTATCTGCCCACCTCAGCCTCCTACACTGCTAGGATTACAGGTGTGAGCCACTGCGCCCAGTCTATTCTCAAGCTTTTTAGTGATAGATAAGTCAAGGAGAGAAGGTAAAATATGTTGTGGGGGAACTAGTGGGGAAATTTGCTCTCTCAGATTTATGGATATCTGTCCAGGAATCACTTTCTTTGGAGTGTGATAAAACTGTAAGAAAATTAGAAGATGAGTATACTAATAGAAGGAGGAAAAAACGGGTTGGCTCTGTAATTTGAAACATCTGGAAAACCTACAAGTATCACCAGTGATTCTAGACAATTTTGTGAATTCCAAACCACCACAACACAAGACACCCAAGAGCACATTCTCTTGTACACCCACCTCCCCTCTTTTTTTAAACCAAGAACAAACTGTGTGTTTAAATAAGAATGGAGTTGGTAAATCAACTTTTCCTTGAATTCTGAAATTCAGAATTGAGTGTGATCAACCTACAACAGAACTGTGATCCACTGGCAATCAATAAGAATGTGTCAGCATCGGCTTCATCAACTTTCGTTAGTCACATGTTACATATTCTATCTCAATGAGATCTTTGTCATGAAGGCAAAATTCCTTAATAACTTGAACTGCTGGCATAAACTAAGGGGGGGGTGCGAAAACGGCCAGAAGAAAAATAACATCCCAAGTAAGAATTAAAAAGCAATCTGTAGTTACTCTCAAAGCACTTGATCTATTTCTAAATAATTAGTATTTCTGATCACTGGTATATATGTTACATTATACAGCAATAGTGAGACAACAAATTGCTGGCATGAAAGCACTTGCAATATAACTACCAATGTGCTAGAAGAAAGTTTTAGAATTCTTTAAGTGTAAGTTGTAAATATCTTGGCAAATGGACAGACGAAATCCTAATGCATAATTTAAAAGCCAAATTATATCAGATAAGGAGACTGCTAACAGAATGCCAAGTACATTAAATTAAGTTTATAATATTATTGGGTAAGTTTTCATCATGACCTTAACTTTCTCATTTATCCTTCCCAATATATCTTGGTTTACACCAGCGATTTAGTAGTATAGATGCAAATTCATACCCTACCTTCTGAATTATTTGGCAACAGGCCCTTACTTTCATCCCATTTGAGCTCCAAACTGTAGAAGCAGATCATATATTCCAGGTCCATCAGTATCACTGACAGGCTGTTCAGCTGATCCGCCAGCCAGAAATCAGCAAAGCCTACCTTATGGAAGGGGGCTGTAAATACTCGAAACTGAAAGAAAAAAAAAATCAGAAAACACAGAAACAAGAAAAGTCGTATTAAATGTCTCCATTTCATGTCTGACCATTCAGCATGATTACTTTAGTTGATAAAATGGAAACCAAAGAACCAATCATAAATACAGAGACCTGGCAACAGTGGCTAGGTTGAGAATTAGCAGTGAAAGGAATGAGCTGAATGGATAACTAAGAAAGGAAGTAAAGGAGGAAAAAAAGCAGGAATAACTATAGTTAGAAAACAGCATGGATGCTGCTAATTCTTTGCAAAAATCCAAATATTGTTAAGGGATCAGGGAGATGCCACTACCCCCTGATTTTTCATCTAAAAATATACACGTTTATGTAAACAAATCTTTCCATATTCATACTGACTTTTCAAGTATTTGAGCCTAAAGATTTTGATCTCACATTTTTATACCTAAATTGTTCACAATTATTACATACATGTCAGCCATTAACTAAAGTTGTACTTTAAAAATTTATTACAGGGCTGGGTGTGGTGACTCACACCTGTAATCCCAGCACTTTGGGAGGCCAAGGTGGGTGGATCATGAGGTCAGGAGTTCGAGACCAGCCTGGCCAACATGGTGAAACCATCTCTATTAAAATACAAAAAATTAGCCGGGCATGGTAGTGGCCACCTGTAGTCCCAGCTACTTGGGAGGCTGAGACAAGAGAATTGCTTGAACCTGGGAGGCAGAGGTTGCACTGAGCCGAGATCATGCCACTGCACTCCAGCCTGGGGACAGAGCAAGGCTCCATCTCAAAAAAAAAAAAAATTATTACAATATGTACATTTCTAAGTCAAACACTTGTGACTTCTGCTTTAATTCTATGAACGTTCCTACTCCTTGATATTTGTATTCTTTTTTTGTCTAGAGTGGAGGTGTAATTATATGGTATTTCTGAACTGAAATACAGATAAATGATTCAAAAACTCACAGTTAAGGAGAATAATGTTTCTTTGATCATAAAGAACTGATTAGTAATTCTTGTCTATATTTTCCAGATAGCATATGACAAATGTTTATAATTCATCTAAAAAAGATGAGAACAGATTAAAGACTGTACTGTTTTGGATTTGGAGAGAAATATTTTAATTTTTAAATGCAGTTAAAAATTATAATGTATTCATATTTGTACTTTCTGTTGAAATGCACGCCTGAAGAATTGTTTAGCTTTTGTGTTTATTCTTGATGAAAAGCTTTGTTCTTGTTTTTAAGTTTGCACTCAAATCTTAAGAAATAAATTCACCCCTTTACCATTATGTAATGCCCTTGTCTCTTTTGATCTTTGTTGGTCTGAAGTCTGTTTTATCAGAGACTAGGATTGCAACCCCTGTTTTTTTTGTGTTTTTTTTTGCTTTACATTTGCTTGGTAAATCTTCTTCCAGCCCTTTATTTTGAGCCTATGTGTGTCTTTGCATGTGAGATGGGTCTCTTGAAAACAGCACACCAATGGGTCTTGACTCTTTATCCAATTTGCCAGTCTATGTCTTTTAATTAGGGCATTTAGCCTGTTCACATTTAAGGTTAATATTGTTATGTGTGAATTTGATGCTGTCATTATGACACTACCTAGTTATTTTGCCCATTAATTGATGCAGTTTCTTCATAATTGTCGATGGTCTTTACATTTTGGTATGTTTTTGCAGTGGCTGGTACCAGTTGTTTCTTTCCATGTTTAGTGCTTCCAATAACAGACAAACAGAGAGCCAAATCATGAGTGAACTCCCATTCACAATTGCTACAAAGAGAATAAAATACCTAGGAATACAACTTACAAGGGATGTGAAGGACCTCTTCAAAGAGAACTACGAACCACTGCTCAAGGAAATAAGAGAGGATACAAACAAATGGGAAAACACTCATGCTCATGGATAGGAAGAATCAATATTGTGAAAATGCCATACTGCCCAAAGTAATTTATAGATTCAATGCTATCCCTATCAAACTGCCATTGATTTTCTTCACAGAATTGTAAAAAACTACTTCAAACTTCGTATGGAACCAAAAAAGAGCCCACATAGCCAAGACAATCCTAAGCAAAAAGAACAAAGCTGGAGGCATCATGCTACCTGACTTCAAACTATACTACAAGGCTACAGTAACCAAAACAGCATGTATTGGAACAGAACAGAGGCCTCAGAAATAACACCACACCGTCCACAACCATTTGATCTTTGATGAACCTGACAAAAACAGGCAATGGGGAAAGGATTCCCTATTTAATAAATGGTGTTGGAAAAACTGGGTAGCCTATGCAGAAAGCTGAAACTGGATCCCTTCCTTACACCTTACACAAAAATTAACTCAAGATGGATTAAAGATTTAAACATAAGACCTAAAACCATAAAAACTCTAGAAGAAAATCTAGGCAATACCATTCAAGACATAGGCATGAGCAAAGACTTCATGACTGAAACACCAAAAGCAATGGCAACAAAAGCCAAAATTGACAAATGGGATCTAATTAAATTAAAGAGCTTCTGCACAGCAAAAGAAGCTATCAGCAGAGTGAACAGGCAACCTATAGAATGGGAGAAAACTTTTGCAATCTATCCATCTGATGAAGGGCTAATATCCAGAATCTACAAAGAACTTAAACAAATTTACAAGAAAAAAAAACCATCAAAAAGTGGGTGAAGGATATGAACAGACATTTCTCAAAAGAAGACATTTATGCAGCCAACACACTTATGAAAGAATGCTCATCATTACTGGTCATTAGTGAAATGCAAATCAAACCACAATGAGATACCATCTCACACCAGTTAGAATGGCAATCATTAAAAACTCAGGAAACAACAGATGCTGGAGAGGATGTGGAGAAACACTAATGCTTTTACACTGTTGGTGGGAGTATAAATTAGTTCAACCATTGTGGAATACAGTGTGGCGATTCCTCAAGGATCTAGAACCAGAAATACCATTTGAACCAGCAATCCCATTACTGGGTATACACCCAAAGGATTATAAATCATGCTACTATAAAGACACATGCACATGTATGTTTACTGTGGCACTGTTCACAATAGCAAAGATTTGGAACCAACCCAAACGCCCAACAATGATAGACTGGATAAAGAAAATATGGCACATATACACCATGGAATACTATGCAGCCATAAAAAAGGATGAGTTCATGTCCTTTGCAGGGACATGGATGAAGCTGGAAAGCATCATTCTCAGCAAACTAACACACAAACACAAAACCAAACACCGCATGTTCTCACTCATAAGTGGGAGTTTAGCAAAGAGAACATATGGACATGGGGAGGGGAACATCACACACTGGGGCATGTTGGGGGGTGGGGGGCAGGGGGAGGGATAACATTAGGAGAAATACCTAATGTAGATGATGGGTTGATGGGTGCTGCAAACCACCATGGCACATGTATACCTATGTAACAAACCTGCATGTTCTGCACATGTACCCCAGAACTTAAAGTATATATAAAAAAAAGAAATTCACCCATGTTATCAAAAAAAAAAAAAAAAAAAGAAAAAGAAAAGAAAATAGAAAGCAAAGAGGTGGGAAGAGTTGAATTTGAAAGCACAGAGCAGCAAAAGATAGAAGCACTGAGAGGCTCTAAAGTTAGGAAGTTTTGCTGGAGAGGCAAGTGCTATAATTTCTAGACTGTTCTCCATCTTAGCTAACTGAATACAAAACTCTTCTTTGCTTACAGAGGATAAGTAGGAAAGGATGGTACTCCATCTGAGGCATGCCTCATTATCTAACCAAAGCCACTTTCTTTTCACTAATGACATGGTAATGACTGTGTACATCTTGAAATTATACCACAAAAATCAGCCCTCTTCCCACTGTTCTGAACACATGATAAATGTATTAAATGTATTGGGCAGTAACTCATGCAGTGTATTTTCCTCAAGGCTTTATGCAAGCATTAACTCATCTTCATAACAATTCCATGAGCTAGGAACTATTCATATCCCCATTTTACAGAAGACCGACACAGACTCTTCCTAACATATTCTGTGGAAGCCTGTTTATCACTACAAAGGGAAATCTTGGCATTGCAGAGAAGGGAAGTAGGTACCAATGCAATTACCAGAAATAGGCTCAAATTGTGCAGATTGTCTTGATAAGCGCTGTGTGAAGTGAAGATGGGATGAAGGAAGCCTTAATCCTCATCCTAAAGGACCCCTTTCTATCTTATACAGTAGGAAATGTGACTCCTGAAAGAAGAAATTCTGAGTAAGTAGAAGTTTTGAGAAAATGAATCTAATCTCTAGCTCTGATTATCTAGTTATATTCATTTCATAGACATATTCTACTTGGGAATCTGTAACTCTCTTCTCAGACTTGGCTGGATCTGTCTTCTGTTTCTCTAAATATTTATTTTTATTATGTCAGGGAGATAAATGGTCACATTATGACTCAATCCTGGATGTCAACTACCTATGACGGGTACTTTCTTGGAGCTTTGGAAGCTAGACCAGGTGTCTGTGGGACATCATACAGGCTTTGAGACATTATTTTCTGGTGCTGATATACTTTCATTCCATGGCTCAGTCTCTTAACCACTCTCATAATCTTTCCATGAGTCCAACAAACCAGAGAGACAATCTATACCATTTGCAACCATAAGCGCCCGATAAAGCAAACTTTTTGTGAGGAAGAGGGGGACTGTAGGATGGTAGTCATCTATGCACGAAGAAGCTCTGGCACCAGTTTCTGTAATATTTTAAGAAACTCTAGTGTGCAGAATGGACTTAAAGGATTCAAAGTGACAGAAATATAGAATAATTTAGGATATAACACCAAAAGATCAGGAAGTCTAAATCCATCTCTAATCATGAACTATTATGAAACTGGTAGCCTAGGACAAATTTCTTTATAACTGACATGAGACAGACTATCATTACTCTCATACTCTGCCAACCCCATCCTCAAAACCTGGCTAATTCAGAAAATCTCCATAAGAGCAGAAGAGGGAGATAATGCATTAAATAAGGAAAAAAGGGATGGTGGGATGGGACTGAAAAAGGATAGGACTGACATGAAAATTTAAAAAAAAAACTGGGAAGAAGGGAAAATTTACAAAAAGAGAAAATGAAAAAAGGAAGAAAGAAGGGAGTAGTAAATGTTATATAATACAACCAATGAAGGGAAGAATATAATTACAGTCATTCATGTATTTAACAAAGACTTATCAAGTATTTATTAAATGTCAGGCACTGCGGCTTACAGGCCTTAATGATCCACAGTCTAGTTGGGCAAATAAATACATAAAGGTATAATTATAGCACCATATTATAGAGATACACACAAAATACCCTGGAAATACAGAGAAAAGAAGAAGTCACTCTGTCAGAGGCCGGGTGAGAGGGAGAGCATAAACATCATACTCAACTCACTGACATTTACACACAGTCAAATTCATTCTAGATTTATCTGATATCGCCTTCTGGGAGAGAATTCTGTAACTCACTCCTCCTTCTCTTCTTAATCTGGATAAGGCCTTTCAACTTCTCCACTTCTACCCTGTGATTTTGATTAAAGTGACAATTCCTAGAGTAACAGTATTATGAAAGCCAGAGACAATTCTGGATAGCTGATATTTTACCACCTACACAAAAAAGCCACTAAATTATTACAAAGAACATGTTAACATCCTCTTTTAAGTTAATACTGATAAATAGCTAAGAAGATGAAGTTTTAATTTCTACTTTTCATGGAGTGCAGTGGTACAATTTCAGCTCATTGCAACCTCAACCTGCTGGACTCAAGCGATCCTCCTCCCTCAGCCTCCCAAGTAACTGGGGCTACAGATGCGTGCCACCATGCCCCACTAATTTTTCATTTTTTGTAGAGAAAGGGTTTTGCCACGTTGCCCAGGCTGGTCTCGAACTCCTGGGCTTAAGCGATCCTCCCACCTCCGCCTCTCAAAGTGCTAGGATTACAGGCATGAGCTACTGTGCCTGGCCTCAAATTTGATTTTTATATTCTACTAGTTTGATCCACTAGATCAAAGTTAAACATCTAACATAAGTGACTAATAGGGCTAAGTGTTAAATGTTAGTGTTTAAGAGTACAGATTATAAACGACTGCCTGGGTTCATAACTCATCTTCATCACTTCACTGGCTATGTGACCTTAGGCAAGTTAATTAACTTCTCTGAATGTAGGTTTCTTCATTTATAAAATAGGGATTAATAGCAGCTCCAACTTGTGGGTTATTTTTAAAATTAAAATACATAAAGTAGTTACTAAATGACAACACCTCTCTATTCTTATAATAGAAATGTGTAAAATTTTTACTATAGAACTAAAGAGACTGTTGGTAAAAACTGATGTCTAAATTATGTAACAAAGGACTATAATTTAAAATTTTTAATTAGCTTACTTTTAATATAGTGAGTTAAAATTTATATTTTTGTTTAGAAAATCTGAGGCACTGTTTATGCTACCTAATTAGATTTCTGATTGAGGTAAATATAGATTTAAGGAGAGAAAGTATAACCTAATGGATGTAAATAATCTATACTAATTTGACATACAATATTCATATCAAAATAAATCAATTTCTTATAAATTTTTTTAGCTTTGTTTTTAGGAGCATAGCATATATCAATTCCATAGATTCCAATATAAATATGGATATAAATGGCACCCAGTGCCTACCATTATGACCTATGTGCTTTTCTCACTAAAAATTAAAGAAAAGGATGGGTGTGGTGGCTCACACTTGTAATCCCAGCACTTTGGGAGGCAAGGCAGGCAGATGACTTGAGCCCAGGAATTCGAGACCAGCTGGGCAACATGGCAAAACCCCATCTCTACCAAAAATACAAAAAATTGGCCAGGCACGTTGGCACACACCTGTGGTCCTAACTACTGGAGAGGTTGAGGTGGGAGGATCACTTGAACCTGGGAGGTGGAGGTTGCAGTGAGCTGAGATCACGCCACTGCACTTCAGCCTGGGCAATAGAGCCAGACCCTGTCTCAAAAAAAAAAAAAATTAAAGAAAAAAAGAAAGAAATGTACTTTTACTTTAGGATGAAGCTTTTAAAAAGCGGTATCAGAAAAACATAACTAGAGTGAACACATTCTTGTTAATTCACTAGGAATCAGTCTAAGGGTAAGTTTTCCCAGTGAGATTTAAATTAAAATAAGTCAGCAGGTCAATTAATACTAAAATTATCTACAAATGATAACACTGTTCTGTTTATAACAGTTACTACAAAAACAACAAACCACAAATATAGAAGGAAATTATTCCTTCTATATTTCAGTGTATCTGATAGTACATTTTATTATTCTATTACTGCTTATACCATTGTCAACCTATTCCATCAACAAGTCCTCATTTATTAGCAAAAACACAGCAGATGCACAAATAAATATCTACTCAATGGGCAATCATTCTGCTAATAGGAGTAACTAGTCATGCATGAATCACAGCTTGCTATTTAAACAAAGGATACACTGGGGAAATGCCCACTTAGCACACAATGTACACAACTATATTATCCTGTTACTGTAATTACGTAATCATAGTAAAACCTGAGTTTTCTGAATCTTCCAAAGTCTCATTTAAAAATAATTTTATGGCCAGGCACAGTGGCTCATGCCTGTAATCCCAGCACTTTGGGAGGCCAAGGCGGGAGGAACACTTGAAGCCAGGAGGTTTGAGACAAGCCTGGGCAACAAAGGAGACCCCCTTTTTTTTTTTTTTTTTTTTTTTTGAGAAGGAGTCTCACTCTGTCGTCCAGGCTGGAGTGCAGCAGCACCATCTTGGCTCACTGCAACTTCCACTTCCTGGGTTCAAGCGATTCTCCTGCCTCAGCCTCCTGAGTAGCTGGGATTACAGGCACGTGCCACCTCACTCGGCTAATTTTTATATTTTTGGTAGAGATGGGGTTTTGCCATGTTAGCCAGGCTGGTCTTGAACTCCGGACTTCAGGTGATCCACCCACCTCGGCCTCCCAAAGTGCTGGGACGACAGGCGTGAGCCACTGCACCTGGTTCTACAGTTTTTCTTAATAGAAAGCCATATTTTATGTCTTCAGATTAAAAAAAAATTGTTATGTTTGGCTAAGAACAAAAAAACCTTTGCTAACATAAGGGGCATACAAAAGAAAAACAATAGGAACTGCAGTTTTCAAGGACGTATACTTATAAAGTGAAAAAGAGGTGAGAAAATAGAGCAATTCTGAAAGTTTTTATAGAGATTGGTCAATTTAATCACTAATCTTTATTGTTAGCTGTAATTCATAACCTAAGAAATAATCATATGAAAGTTTTCTCAATTGATTTACTTTCTTTGTTTCTTTCTTTGTTTTTTCCTTTAGAGATAGGGTCTCAGTCTGTTGCCCAGGCTGGGAGTGTAGCGGCACTAACATGGTTCACTGCAGCTTTGACGTTCCTGGCTCAAGCAATCCTCTCACCTGAGCGTCACAAGTATCTGGGACTACAGGTGTGCACCATCACACCCAGCTAATTTTTTAATTTTTGTAAACAGGGTTTACACCATGTTGCCCAGGCTGGTCTGAAACTCCTGGGCTCAAGGGATCCACTCACCTCAGCCTCCCGAATACTGGGATTATAGGCATGAGCGACTGTACCTGGCCTCAAATGATTTTCAAAAAGAGCTGGCTCAATTTACAAGTAAACAGAAGTCCCCTTCCGGAGTTATCTTTACAGAAGAAAGCTTTACAGTTTTGCAGGAAATTTTATTTCACTGCTGAGGCTAAATGATTTTGAGATCATTAAGAGACAGGTAAAGTGGAAGAAAAAAAGAACTTATTATAAACAAGAATCAAAGTCAATTTTTCTTTTTCTTTTTTTTGAGATGGAGTTTTGCTCTTGTTGCCCAGGCTGGAATGCAATGGCACAATCGCGGCTCACTGCAACTTCCACCTCTGGGGTTCTAGCGATTCTCCTGCCTCAGCCTCCCTAGTAGCTAGGATTACAGGCATGGGCCACCACCCCCAGCTAATTTTGTATTTTTAGTAGAGACGGGGTTTCACCATGTTGGTCAGGCTGGTCTCAAACTCCTGACCTCAGATGATCCACCCGCCTTGGCTTCCTAAAGTGCTAGGATTACAGGCGTGAGCCACCGCGCCCAGCCCAAAGTCAATTTTTCAAATTAAACTTGATAATCTGGTAAGATATTCCTACTGCTTTTAGAGAACAAATCTTTCCTAAAATAAAATGTTCGGTTGATACTCACATCAACTTAACAGGAAAATAATTCTTTTACCACATTTTTTTGGGGGAAGGAAACTTACAAAGTTCTACATCTTATCACAGCTAGTTAAACGAAGTAAAAAATGTTTATAATTTACAAAATCATCTCAATATTTGGCCACCTGATACTCGATCTCAGGAGGAAAATATACGTGAGTACTTTTTCCCAGGGCCTCCACTCACATAAACTATAATGTGAACCACGGCCTCTGCAGTTGTACAACCTAGCAGCCTTGGTTTTATCTTAGAGGAAGTCAATAACCAATATGCCACTCTAAAAGTGGTACACAAGTTTCTGGACTTACCAGCAGTTTAAGCAGCCAAAACCGGGATTTATAGTAGAAAGTTTTGGTGGGGTTGATAAGGAAGAAAACCATAAATCCATAAAGGGCAAGTGGATACACATATGTGGGGATGACACTAATTGGAGCAAAGAAGCATGCCAGAAGGCTCAGGCACCACAATATCCCGAGGAATCCAGCAATCTAGTAAAGGATGGGGAAGACAGAAAGATAGAGAAAAATTGTTATTTTTACTTTTACCATTACTTAAAATATCTTTAATAAAACAAAAGTAAGAAACATGATTAGTTATTAAGCTAATAATCCTCTTCAAGTAGAGGATGGATTTAAGTACCCACTAAACCAGATAGCTATATAGCTAATGCAAACTATATTCATGAGGTGTTATGTCTTGCTTTGATTACCTCAAAGAGATGTTGATGAGACAAATTGCTTCTCGGATTAAGTTCAAAGATGAGTACATGGTTTACTCCAGCCTGTCTCCAACCATACGTGTTGATGCCCAGTAGAAAAAGGAATTCAATCAGAAGAAAGCCACCCCGATAGATTCTTATCAAGGGCCATATACTTCTATCTGTTTCAAGTTTAAATACAGCTGAAAGAATATTAAGATATTGGTCAGTTATAAAATTCATAACTTCCCTTGAATTAATAATCTTTTGTCTTCATTCTCAATGATATAGCCCTGGCATAGAAATTTTTCATAAATAAAACCTAAACCTAGATTATCTATCATCTATCTATCTATCTATCTACCTATTTATTTTTTTGAGACAGTCTCACCCTGTTGCCAGGCTGGAGTGCAATGGCGTGATCTCGGCTCACTGCAACCTCCGACTCCCTGGTTCAAGCGATTCTCCTGCCTCAGTCTCCCGAGTAACTGGGATTACAGGCACGCACCACCACGCCCAGCTAATTGTTGTATTTTTAGTACAGACAGGGTTTCACCATGTTGGCCAGGATTGTCTTCATCTCCTGACCTCGTGATCCACCCACCTTGGCCTCCCAAAGTGTTGGGATTACAGGCATGAACCACCCCGCCTGGCCAAACCTAGATTATTTTAAGAGCCTTAAAAAGTCGCCTGTGGGTTCTTTCTCGTCTTCATTTTACTCTGCAGAATGTCACTAGAATAATTTCCCAAAACTTGACTTTCAGCATGTCATCCCATTGTTCTATTAGTTTTTTAGATTACAAAGAATCATGGTGAAGTGGCTTAGAATCATGTGATCAGTTCTGTCATTTGGGGATCCGGCATGACAAAACCTCTCTTTGGCTTCATTTACTCCATTATTAAACTGGATATAGTAATATCTACCTCACAGAGTTGCCATGAAAATGAGAAGGAACAGTACACATGAAAGTAGTGTGAAAATTTAAATGTCATATAAATGACAACAGTTAATATTTACGGAATGCTTACTATGTGCTAAGCACTGTTCTCAGTATTTTTACATAGAATAATTGGTAATTCATTTAACCATCACAATGGCTCTTTGAGTTAAAAACCATTATCTCCATTTGATTAGGAAACTAGAGCACAGAGAGGTTGTCATTTGCTTAGTTACTGACCTAAGCTAGAATTTGAACCCAGTTTTGCTCCAAAGTTCATACTCTTAAGCACTACATTCTATTGCCCATTATGTCCACACAAATGTTCAATATCATTATTCTATGGCTCGCCAGTAATTATAATGTTCAAATACTTTAGATACCTTAGCCTCACAATTCAAATTCTTCATAATCTAATCACCAACTCACTTTTCCCAAACTTATCTCGCAGCACCCCTAAAATATTAACTCTTGACTCGTGATGAATTTTATTATCCTTTTAATAAGTTTGTTTTTCACATTTACTTATGTTGTTCCCTCTACTTAAAATGGCCTTGTTCTTTCTCTCCACTAATTCAAATTCTACTTACTATTTAAGAGACAGATCCTGGATCCTTACCTGTTCATAAATTCACTGAATCAACATATTTCGTTTTAAGCCCACTGTATGAGAAACACTTCCATTTGGTCTAATGATTTTCCAAATAACTATAAAATTTATTGACAGTACTGCTCATTTGGAATTTAATTACATACAAACTTTTGTTTTTTTTTTTTGAGATGGAGTCTTGCTCTGTCGCTCAGACTGGAGTGCAGTGGTGTCATCTTGGCTCACTGCAACCTCTGCCTCCCGCGTTCAAGCGATTCTCCTGCCTCAGCCTCCTGAGTGGCTGGGATTACAGATGCGTGACGCCACACCCAGCTAATTTTTTGTATTTTTAGTAGAGACGGGGTTTCATCATGTTGGCCAGGCTGGTCTGGAACTCCTGACCTCAGGTGATCTGCCCTCCTCGGCCTCCCAAAGTGCTGGGATTACAGGAGTGAGCCACCATGCCCAGCCTATATACTAATTTATATACTTAAATAACCATTTATTGTTTACCTTTGTATTCTCTGTAGTATATAGAAGATTTAATAATTTTAAAATAACACGGTAGAGAAAGCCTTTGCTTTGGAATCAAGTACTACAGACCAGATTTCAAATCCTAGCGATGCCAAATTATTTATTTTTTTTTAAAGTCTCTGTTTCTTTGTTGATCAATGGGGATAATATCTATTCTCATAAGTTTATTAAGAAGATTAAATGTGAACAACATATATCAAATGCCTAGAATAACGTTTGGCTCATTATGAGTATTCAGTATATATTAGTTTCTTTTTCCTTTTACTTGAGGAAACTTTATTCCTTCATTTGACAAGTATTGATTAGGTGCCTATTACACCTGACACCATTCTAAGAGCTAGCAATTCAGTGATGAACAACGGACAAAATACCTATCTTCAGGAAATTTCTGTTCTGCATAAAGTCAGATAAGGGGTTTGAAGGAAAACTACAGTAAGGAGATAAAGAATGATGTTAGGTGTTATTTTAGGTAGGGCGGTCAGGGAAGACTCTCAGGAGATGACACTTAAGGAGATGACCTTAAGGAAATAGAGAACAAAGCATTGGGATGTTTGGGGGAAGACGGCTCCTTGTAGAGAGGGAAAGTACAAAGGGCCTTAAGATAGATTGCTCTAGGAAGAAAGCCAAGTTACTATGATTGGAACAAACAAAGGTATAGTGGTAAAGAACTGGTCAGCAGTAGATCAGACAGAGCTCTTCAGTACTTTGTCAAGACTTAAGCTTTTACTCTGATGTACAAGCCTGTAGAAGGTTTTGTACATACACGGCATGACCTCATGAATTATTTTAAAGGGCTACTCTAGCTGTTAAGTGAACAGACTACAAGGGAACAAGTACAAAGGCAAGATTAGTTAGGAAGTTATAAATGGAAAATGATATATAGTTTTACATCCTGATTCCTAAGCAAAGACCACAGATGCATTACAACAGTCAGGAAACAAAAATAACACAAATCCCAAAGAATCCACAATAAAACTACTAGAATTAGTAAATTCATCACAGTTGTAGAGTACAAGATCAACACACAAAATTCACTTGTGTTTGCATACATCGGCAATGAGCAATCTGAAAATGAAATTAAGAAAATAATTCTAACTACAATAGCATTCAAAAGAATAAAACATCTAGAAATAACTTTTACCAAGTAAGTGAAAGACCTGTATACTACAAACTCAAAACACTGCTGAAAGAAATTAAAGTAGAAAAGAATCCTGTGTTCATGGATTTAAAGATTTAATATTGTTAAGACGGCAATACTACCCAAAGCAATCTACAGATTTAATGCAATCCCTATCAAAATTCCAATGGCTTTTTTTCAGAACTGAAAAAGTCAATCCTTAAATTCATATGGAATTCCAAGAGGTCCCAAATAGCTAAAACAATAATGAAAAAAGAACAAAGTTAGGGACTCATACTTTGTCATTTTAAAACTTACTACAAAGCTATAGTAATCAAAACATTGTGGCACTGGTATGAAAACAGACATATAGATGAATGGAATAGCACTGAGAATCCAGAGATAAACCTATACATCGATGGCTGATTGATTTTCAACATGAGTGCCAACACCATTCAGTGGAAAAGAATATTCTCTTCAACAGCTTAGTCCTGTGACAACTGGATATTCACATGCAAAAAAGTGAAGTTGGTCCCTTGTCTCACAGCATACACAAAGATTAATTCAAAACTCATTGATGACTTCAATATAGGAATTCAAACCATAAAACTCCAAAGAAAACATAATGATAAATCTTCATGACCTTGAATTTGGCAATAGATTCTTAGGTATCACAACAAAAGTACATGAAACAAAAGGAAAAACAGATAAATGAGACTTCATCAAAATTTAAAACATCAGTAGACATTATCAAGAAAGTAAAAAAAAAAAGGGAGGAATATTTGCAAATCATTTATCTAATATAAGGGTCTAGTATCTAGAACACATGAAGAACTCTTACAACTTAACAATGGAACAATGAACAACCCAATTAAAATAGGGCTAAGAACCTGGATAGACATTTGTCCAAAATATATATATAAATGGCCAATGAGCACATGAAAAGATGCTTAATATAATTAGTCATTAGGGAAATGCAAATTAAAACCACAATGAGATACCACTTCACGCCCATTTGTATGGATATAATGAAGAAAACAAAAACATAGAAAACAAGTGTTGGCAAGGATGTGCAGAAAACAGAATCCTCATAAACTGCTAGTAGGAATGGAAAATGGTAAAGCCTCTGTGAAAAACAGTTTGGTGGCTCCTCAGAAAATTAAACAGGTACTAAACAAATCCATGTTTATGCATGTTCCTAACAGTACCATTCACAATAGCCAAAAGATAGAAATAACCCAAATGTCCATCAATGAATGAATGGATAAACAAATTGTGATACATACACAAAATGGAATATTACTCAGCCATAAAAAGAATGAAGTACTGATACATGCTACAACATGGATGAACCTTGAAAACATTACGCCAACTAAAAGAAGCCAAACACAAAATACCACATATTGTATGACACCATTTATGGACATACCCAGAATAGGAACATTCATAGAGACAGAAGGCAGATTAGTGGTTGCCAGCAGCTGAGGAGAGGGAATGGAGAGTGGGGTTTCCTTTTGGGCTGATGAAAATGTCTGGGAACTAGATAGACGTGGTGGTTGTACAACACTGTGAATGTACTTGAATGCCACTGAGTTATTAACTTTAAAATGAAATTTATTTTATGTTATGTGAACTTCACCTCAATTAAAAAAAACAGAAAAGGAAAAAAGTAATAAATATATCTTAAGATGTCATTACTAATTTCTATGTTAGGTATGTGTGTATGTGTGTGTATATATATATAATTTTTTTTTTTTTGAGACAGAGTCTTGCTCTGTTGCCCAGGCTGGAGTGCAATGGCATGATCCTGGCTCACTGCACCCTCCCCCTCCTGGGTCCAAGTGATTCTCCTGCCTCAGCCTCCCAAGTACCTGGGATTACAGGCACACACCACCACACCCAGGGAATTTTTTTGTAATTTTAGTAGAGACGGGGTTTTGCCATGTTGCCTAGGCTGGTCTCGAACTCCTGAGCTCAGGCAATCCACCCGCCTTGGCCTCCCAAAGTGCTAGGATTACAGGCATGAGCCACCGCGCCCGGCCTAGGCATATATTTTGAACTGTTTTAGTAGTGGTGGTGATAGATTTGCTCTAATATATCAAAATTTTCTAATTCTGTCTAGTTAATATCTGTGGCCATACATAAAAGAAAGCGAAATAGCCTGCTTAGGGTTCAAATATTCATGACCCTAGCAACAGTAGTATTCTGTCCTACATAGGAAGAAAATTGCCATGAACAGAAAATGTAATCCATATTTATAAAATCTAAACACATATTTACCTAAGTTCTACTTGATAACATAGGAACTAGAAAATCTCTAAGGCTTTCAGTAAATATGATCTGAATAAAATATCCTTGAACTCCACAATTTGTTAGAAAAGTCAGCGAAAACCAAAACAGCAGCAACAACAACAAAAACCCCAAGGACCTCTGTAAAACAATAAATGCTAAAGATATATTCTTCTGAATGAAAATACTATATTTAAGCTAATGAACTTATTTACTTTCAAAATGGTTCAAAAAACAGGGACCAGGCATGGTGGCTCCTGTAATCCCAGTGTTTTGGGAGGCCAAAGTGGGAGGATCACTGGAGGCAAAGAGTTCAAGACCAGCCTAGGCGATATAGTGAGACTCTGTCTCTACAAAAAAGTTAAAAAATTAGCCAGGCATGGTGCTACTCCATACTTGTATTCCTGGCTACTCAAGAGTCTGAGGCAGGAGGATCGCCTGAGCCCAGGAGGTCTAGGCTGTAGTGAGCTAGGATGGGGCCACTGTACTCCAGCCTGGGCAACAGAGAGAGACCCTGTCTCTGAAGGAAAAAAAAAGTTTCAAAAAGCAAAAGGCAATTTTAACTGTTAATAGTCAAGTTATTCATCAAAGATCCAAAACTTTCAATTGCACATAAATCTAAAACCTAAGGGCATATATAAGCAATACAATGAAACCTCCTTCATTTGGCATGATCTCCCTGAAGCAAACTTTTGTAGATTTACTGGGATTAAACCACAATACTCTTGCTAGACAAGATCATCATAAAAAATTCCAGGGAATCAAAAAACAAATTAGTATCATTTTTAAGAATAAGTATATCATCTCTCTGATCCATGAGTCCCAAAAATAAAAGATATATAAGGTCCCATCACAAACTTCCCATGGCTTCATGAATTTTTAACTTAAAAATCAGCTAACAATCATTAAGCATTTATTTTGGGGTAAGCAATATACTCAATGTTTTTCATGCATAATTTCATTAGTTCTCACAGCAACACTATAAATTGGTTTTTCTCAGCAGATACATGAAGAAACTAAGGCTTACTCAAAATAGGTTCCTTGCCCAGGATCACAAGGATGTAATAACCCTACAATCTGGCTCCAAAGCCTGCACACTTAACAATGGGGCTAGGTTGTGTTAGTAAGCAAATATGTACCTGTTTAAAAAAAAAAAAAAAACCCAAACAGAAGTTTGTTCTAAAACTTACAAAATTACAGTCCTCTCTGTATTAAGTTGCCAACTCACTTTTCTTTAAAGGAACATTAAAAAAATTTTAACAAGTAATGTATGTGTATAGGAAAAGAACCACAAATATTATAAAGAATATGAGAAGCCTCGTCTCACTCCAGATCTTCTGAAGAAAACCATGCTAACAATTTGTCTATTATCTTTCAAGAATTTCTTGATGCATAGAGAAACACATACTATTTTTTAAAAAACAAATCACCAATTACAACTGGGAGCATGCTATATATGCTATTCCAGGCCTTTTTTTTTTTTCACTTATATCCTGGAGTGGAGATTTTCCAGTATCAGTGCACAAAGATCTCACTCATTTTCTAATGTAAACTTTTTGAATTTAAGTGTTACATACATATAGAAAAATGGATAAATCATAAGTATACAACATGATGAAAAATGAAGTGAATCAGCACCCAGAACACAGCATATTACAAGCATCCTAGAAGTTCCGGCTCATATTCTTTCCAATTGCTATCCATTCCCCAAGGGTAAACTCCTGATTTTTGCCTGTTTTTTGAACTCCATGTAAATGGAATCATGTAATATGTATTCTTTGTGTCTGGCTTGTTTTGTTTAACATTTGTGAGAGCCATCATGTTCTTGTATGTAGCTACAGTTTGTTATTCTCATTACTTACAGTTATGTGAGCCTATTGCTCCTAGGCTATAAACCTGTCCACCATGTTACTGTACAGAATACTGTAGGCAATTGTAACACAATGGTAGTATTTGTCTCTAAACATCTCTAAACATAGAAAAGACACAGTAAAAATACATTATAAAAGATAAAAAATGGTACACCTGTATAGGGTACTTACAATGAATGGAGCTATAGGACTGGAAGTTGCTCTGGGTGAGTCAGTGAGTGAGTGGTGAGTAAATGTGAAGACCTAGGACATTACACTATTGCGGACTTTATACACATTGTACACTTAGGCTACACTGAATTTATAAAAAAATTTTTTTCTTTCTTCAATAATAAATTAACCTTAGCTCACTGTAACTTTTTAACTTTATAAACTTAAAAAATTTTTAAACCTTTTTAACTCTTTTGTAATAATACCTAGCCTAAAACATGGACATACTGTATAACAATATAGACGTATTTTTTCTTTATATCCTTATTCTATAAACTTTTTTCTATTTTTACATTTTTTAATTTTTATTTTTACTTTTTAAACCTTCTTAAAAACTAAGGCATTAACACACATATTAGCCTAGGCCTACACATGATCAGAATCACCAATATCACTGTCTTCCACCTCCACATCTTCTCCCACTGGAAGGTCTTCGGGGCAATAACACACAGGGAGCTGTCATCTCCTATTCTATTAATGCCTTCTTCTGGAACACCTCCCGAAGGACCTGCCTGAGGCTGTTTTACAATTAACTCTTTTATTAATAAGTAGGAGGAGTTCACTCTAAAATAATAAATAGTATAGCATATACATAAATCAGTAAGTCATTTATTATCATGATCAAGTATTATGTACATGAATTTTAAGTGCTAAACTTTTATATGGCTGGCAGTGCAATATGTTTGTTTATACCAACACTGCCACAAGCATCTAAATAATGTGTTATGCTATGATGGCTATGCCGTCCATTATGCAACAGCAATTTTTCAGTTCCATTATAATCTTATGGGACTGCCTTCATATCTGCAGTCTGCTGCTGACCAAGACATTGTTACATGGTACATGACTGGATACTATTACAAACAATATTACTTAAGTGTTCTCATACATGTCTTTTGGTGGACATATGTAAGCATTTCTATTAGAACTGGGTCATAGGTTAGTACAGGGGTTTCCAATCTCCAGGCCATGGACCAGTACTGGTCCGTGCTCTGTCAGGAACCAGGCCACACAGCAGGAGGTGAGCGGCTGGTGAGAGAGCATTACTTCCTGAGCTCCGCCTCCTGTCAGATCAACGGCATTAGATTCTCAGAGGAGAACGAACCCTATTGTGAGCTGCGCATGGGAGGGATCTCTAGGTTGCGCGCTCCTTATGAGAATCTAACTAATGCCTGATGATCGGAGGTGGAAGGGTTTCACCTTGAAACCATCCCCTCTCCTACCCGCCAGCCCAGTGAAAAAATTGTCTTCCACAAAACTGATTCCTGTTGCCAAAAAGTTCTCCAAAGTGCTGTGTCCATTTTCACTCCCACCATTACCTCATTCATCTTAATATCTCCATGGTATTCCACTGTACAGAGGTAATATAATTTAAAGAGCTATCAATTTATGAATATTTGAGTGGTTTCTAGGATTTTTCTACTATAAACAAAATGGCAATGACTATCCTCCTAGCATACATGTCTTTGCAACCATGTACAAGTATGTTTGTAGGATAAATTTCTAGAAACAAAACGGCTTAATCAACATAATTTTGCCTAAAATTTTTACACACACTGCCAAATTATCCTCCAAAGAGATAGCAACAATGAGTACTCTTACCACTAGTGTACCAGAGCCTATTTCACACCTTATACCCACTGTAAATGGCCAAACCAGTAAGTGAAATATGGTATACTGTTATTGTACCAAATTAAGTTATATATGTTAGTAGGAACCTGCAAAAGAAACAAGTTTGAAAAAAAAATCTAAACAGTCAACTTTTCATCTTAATGAAATTAATTATCTGAAACACGTGATTTTCAGAGAAATTATTAAATACTAGGTCATGTCCCCTTGAAAAACCACAGCAATTATGCACATTTTTTAATGTGAATGTTTGAAAAAAAGAATCGTGCTTGTACATGCATACTACGACTGTGTTTCTCTTTGACTCTCAACACTGTTATCTTTTAAGCACCCGCTGGAAGATAAATAAGGATAGACAGCTGGCTTTAACTATATTTACCCTCCCCCTACAACATACACAAAGATCAAACAAAGAAGGGTTCTGAAGTGAGAAAACATAATGCGTAACACTAAATGCATACACAGCACACATAAAAAACAAATCAGAATGTCTTACAAAAACATAGTCTGTATATACTAAACAAAAAAACCCTCAAATTGTAGCAATTAATTCACATAAAAAGAATGGAAAAATGTATTTTTTATGTCTTTTTTTAATGATGATAATACCACCATGCTCATCTTGAAAATTAAACAAAAAAATTGCACCCACTAATGACTAAGGCATTTTCTATAGAAAGAACAACCCCCACCATATATACCTTATATTGACATAGCACTTTGCAACTACAAACATGTTTTACTTACACTTCTTATCTGATCCCTATGAGCTGGCCTCAAGCTATCTTTTCACCCTTATCATCTAATATTCTCCTTCACCTTTGGCCAATTTATCACTTCTCTCCTTCATAACTCACTCCCTCCTTCTACACTCCATCCCCACCCCAGGCCAACTAAATCTCTTTGCTCAACTGTCTCCTTCTCTCGAAATGGCTTTGATTCCACCAATGTCTAGCATAAACGTTATTTCTTCCATGAAGTATTCCCTGATGCTCTCATTTAAAAGTAATCAGTTGTCTCTTTGAACCGCTTAGAAAATTTAACACCTTCTATCTTGCAGTATATTGCTTTAATATATGCCTTAATCTCCCTGGCATAATACATTTCATAAGGAAAGGGATTCTCTTATTTATCTTAAGACTTGTAGGCATCAAGCATAACCCTTAGACACATAAAATTTACTTGCTGAATGAATGAATGAACCCTAAACAACCCTGCAAATTTAAGGTGTTAAGCTCATTTAACAGATGAGGAAACTGTTTGAGAGAAGTTAAATGATGTCCTTAAAGCCAAAACAACTAACAGTGGAGCTGAAACTGAAACCCATGCAGGCCTTTTGTTCTCTCCACTACAGCTAGCTTGATAACATAGATCTGAGTTTTTAAATTGTATTATTTTCATGTATTCTATGTAAGTAAACTGTATTCACCTAAGGAAATAGAACCAGATTAAAATATGATTATAAATTATAGCAACACTACATCATAAACTCAGGATTGACCATAACTATTAGAGTTGATTTTTAGTAACTGGTAGGAAGAAGAACTCTAACAATACAAATGAAAACACACTGTTAATAGGTAAAATTCATATGTTCTCTAAAAGCCATTACAATGTAGGTTATCATTTCATAATATACAATTGATAGTCTTAAGCAGAATGTTTATGAGGAATAATTAGTTCAGTAAATTATCTCTCGAACATCTACTATAAACTTGACAATGTGTTGGGAACTTAAAATGCAACAATACATAGTCCCTGCAATCAAGAATAGTTAAGTATGACAGTGACATAAAGCTTCCTTATTTGGGCATTATTATGATTACTAAAAGTCTGAAATGGAATATTATGGATATTCAAATAATGACATCTATTTTTAAATCATACAGGTTGATGCAAAAGTAATTGCAGTTTTGCCATTAAAAGTAATGGCAACTTTTGCACCAGCCTAATATTTCTTTGCAGACTTCACTGAACAAAATTTAGCCCTTTATTAATGATTCAGTTATTATTATGAGCACAATTACATAGACCCTTAGGTATACCAAGGTTATCTGTCCTTAAAAGTCCTTGACTATAAGAAGCTTTGAGATTTGTGTCTGTTTTTCTGCTGTTTGTGCATGTGTTTTCTAAATATCATTTAATTTCATCTTTCTCCTTCTCTTCCAGCCAAACTTCCCCAATACTTTTCAAGCCCCTACTATGGTCTAAGCAGTGTTCTACGTGCTAGAGATACAAGAGAGACAAATGCCCAGGCATCAAGAAAATTTATATTCCAGTGGAAAAAGAGATCACAAGAAATATAAATATATAATATATAATGTCAGGTAAGTATATGTACTCAGAAGAAAACTAACGTAGGCTAAAGGGACAGAATAGATTATTTTAGGGTTGGGTGATCAGGGAACGCTTTACTAAGAATGTAGCATTTGAATACAGACAAGTGATGAAATAAGCTAGGTAGACATCTTGGGGAAGAGCTCTTTAGGCAACTGCAGAGGCTCTTAGATTAGAATGAGCTTGATGCATCTAAGAAGTACTAACACAAGTGTGGTCGGAAACAAAGTGAAGCTAAGTGTGGGGGGAAGATGACAATATAATATCGGAAAGGCCCACAGAGGTGAGATCCTGTAAGTTCTTGCAGGCAATGGCAAGGAGTTTGGATTTTATTTTAAGAGTAGCCATGAATGAATTTTGAATAGGAGAGTGACATGATCTAACTTCCATTGGGGGGGGGGAAAAAAGACACTAGTAGCTATAAGGAGGCAAGAGTAGATGCAAGGAGACCGAGTCCAGAAGGCTGCTATACACTAAACAAGAAATGGCTGCTGGCCGGGCGCGGTGGCTCATGCCTGTAAACCCCAGCACTTTGGGAGGCTGAGGTGGGTGGATCACGAGGTCAGGAGTTCAAGACCAGTCTGGCCAACATAGTGAAACCTCATCTCTACTAAAAATACAAAAAATTAGCCAGGTGTGGTGGTGTGTGCCTGTAATCCCAGCTATTCAGGAGGCTGAGGCAGGAAAATCGTGTGAACCCAGGAGGCAGAGGTTGCAGTGAGCCGAGATCGGACCACTGCACCCCAGACCTGGCGACAGTGTGAGACCCCGTGTCAAAAAAAAAAAAAAAAAGAAATGGCTGCTTAGACAAGAGTGGCACTGGCCAAGGTGGTGAGAAGTAAATACATTTAGAACATGGTTTGAAGACAGACCAATAAGATTTGCTGATGGACTGAAGATTAAATATGAGGGACAAGAGAAACTAAAAGATTTTGGACTGAGAAATGGATGAAAGGTGATGCCAGATAGAAGAGCATATTTGGGGGTAAAAATCAAGGTATCTTTTGTCTGTGTAAGTTTGAGATATCTACTAGACAAATCCAACTAGCCAAGTAGACATCTTTCAGAAGAGAGAACATATATTTGGGAGTCATTAGCATATAGACGGTATTTATAGCCATAGTCTTGAATAAGATTGCCTAGATAGGAAACAAATATAGACAGAGGAGATTGAAGGATTGAGCCCAGCACTATACCCTAACATTTTGATGTCACAAAGAAAAGTATAGCTAGCAAAGGAGACTGGGAACAAACTGCCAGTAAAATTTAACAGGAAAACCAGCAGAGTGTGGTTTCTCCAGAAAAAACAATCAAAGTGTTTCAAGAAGTGGTGACTGATAATGTCAAATGCTACTGTGGGGTGTGTCAAATTCTTTGGGGAGATTTAGTAAGATTATGCTTCCTTTGCTGTTATATCATTTTTTGATGTTGTGAGTGCAGCTGCTCCTAGGAATCCTTCCTATCTCTTTCTAATTGTTTTTACTTCTATAGAATAGGAAATTATACAACCAAGCTTCTTAACACTATATGCAAAGTAATTGTAAATAGATTCTGAAAAGGATGCGAGAGGGTCTCCAATAAGCAAAGTGAAAGAGCTTTGTGAATGAGTTTTGTAACATTATTTATCCTCATCTATGATCAAGAAAGCCAAGGTTTTTGATAAATAAACTCTGAAAAATTATATAGAAGTTATATACAGAAACTGGAAAATGATGAAGAAAAAGAAGTCATACATGAGCAATGTTTTAGAGAATAACCATACCCAAATGGGGAAAAAACGCCAACAAAACAAACAACTAAAAAAAACCACATTTATAAGGACAAAAAACTTAGCCCTGATAGATTTATCTTTCAGTAGCTTTGGTAGTTGCATGCATAATTCCTTACAGAGGGGCAGAATATGACACAGGCATATTGGTAAGAATAAATTAATTCAAAATTTAAACTACTTACCGGCAAGCACAAGGGTAATATTCAGTACAATGAATATTCCACAAAATAGGCCAACTCTAAAAGTAGTCCATGCTGGTGCAGGCTGTGGACAGAAAAATAGTATTTGAGTACAGGACAAAACACTGATTGTATTTACTATATGCTGTAATAAAATAGTAGAATGAGTCTCAAAGTTCTACCATGAAAATAATATTTAATGTTCTAAATTTTTATAAATCTGAACCAGAGAATCAACCTTCATCATCCTATAATACTATTCAAGTTGCCAATTAATCAAGCTTTTTTTTATAGAAATCTGTGTCATGAAATAAGCAAGATTATAATCTTAGGCATTAAATTATAGTATGTGGATTCTACACTCGAGGAATCAACCGTGTATTGAAAATATTCAGGAACAAAAACCAGTAAAAAATAACAAAACAAGAAAAAGTAATACAAATAAAAGCACTGAGTATTAACAACTATTTATACAGCATTTACATTGTATTAGGTTTTATAAGTAACCCAGAGATCATTTAAAGTATTTAAGAGGATGTGTACAGGTTATATGCAATAGTATGCCATTTTATAAGGGACTTGAGCATCCACGGATTTTGCTATCCACAGGATCCTGGAACCAATCTCCAACAGATACTAAGGAACGACTATATATATACACACATATATATACATATATATACACATATATACATATATACACATATATATATACATATGAGTTTTGTAAATAGGAGAGAGTTAAGATGCAATTTCATTTTTACAATGAAATTGTAAATTTTTAAAGTCAGTATTACTCAGAGTTTGCACATTTGGTACAACAGATAAAATTAGAGACGATGACGGAGACAAGAACGCTTACTTTCTGATAGTACTTACATTATTATACTGAGGTAGCATTTTTTTTTTTTCTGAGACATGGTCTCGTCCTATCGCCTAGGCTGGAGCGCAGGGGTGTGATCACAGCTTACTGAAGCCTCAACTTCCCAGACTCAAGTGATTCCCCACTTCAGCCTCCAGAGTAGCTGGGACTACTGTGTGTGCCACCATGCCCAGCTAAGTTTTGTATTTTTTGTAGAGATGAGGTTTCACTGTTTTGCCCAGGCTGGTCTTGAACTCCTGGGCTCAGGCAATCCACTTGCCTTGGCCTCCCAAAGTGCTGGGATTACAGGTGTAAGCCACAGTGTGCAGCCCATACTGGGGTAATTTAAAGTAAATTTTTCAGGATATACGAGAGGTTCTTAAGAGACTGATATATCCAAATCTCCCGTGTATGTAGGCTCAAAAATATTATCTATTATAATTTAATTTTATATTTAGAAAGCGATTTTTGAAACTTCTGCTTTCTAAAATAAATATGTAATAGCAAGTGCCTAAGATTGTAAAGTGATGAGAAACACAGAGAGAGATAATCTTATAGACTTAAATATTTGCTGTGAATGTTATAAAATTTTTTGTTGTTAGAGATGATAGTACATTTCAGGTATTTTGTTTTCTAAAAACCTTCAAAAACAAAGCATTGAGACTCCCCTCTGTCTTATTATTACTTAATAGAGTAACAGATTCTAACTGTATTGTTAGTTTCTGACTGAAAGCATCCAAAAGATGGTCATTTGTCTTTTCCAAAGATAAAAAGTTACCTTTAGTTTCAAAAATTGTTTAATTTATCATATATACAAAAGAATGCATATAATTTATTTGGACTGTTAGAAATGAATAATAAAGTGAATCTATAACTACTATCCATATTTAGAAGCTGAACATTTCCATTAACTTTGAATTCCCTATTCCTCCCTGATCCCAAAACCTTCCCTCCGCACCAGAGATAACCACTTCCACATTTTCTTTAGCTTTACCATCTCTACAGGCATTCTTAAACACCCTAATTTTTTGAAACTAATTTTAAAATGTTTATTCAAAAACAACTGACATAAAAAAATTGCACATACTTAAAGTATAGAATTTGTGTCTTTTCTCTCTGGATGCTTTTAAGATTCTTCTCTTTATTTCCAAGCAGTTTGACAATAATATGCTTAGGATTTTTAAAAACTGCTTTACTGACTAAGTTGATATACAATAAACTGTATATATTTAAGGTGTACGATTTGATAAGTTTTGAAACTGCATAAACGTCTACAAAACCATCAGCATAATCAAGACAAAGAACATATCCACGACTCCCAAGAATTTCCCATGTGTCTTTGTAATCCTTTCCTCCCAGCCTACCCTACCCCACTCTATTCACAAGCAACCACTGATCTCCTTTCTGTCACTATTTATTAGTTTGCATTTTTTCTGGAGTCTTAGGTTAATGATATCATATAGTAGGTACCTTTTTTTTCTGCTTTCTCTCCACATAATTAATTTGAGGTTTATCCACATTGTTACATTTATCAATCAGTTATTCCTTTTTATTGCTAAGTAGTGTTTCATTGTATGGATATACCACAAATTGTTTATCCATTCACCTACTGATAGACATTTGGGTTGTTTAGATGCTATGAACATTTGTGTAGAAATCTTTATATGAACATATATTTGCACTTGTCTTGGGTAAATACCTAGGAGTGTAATAGCTAGACCATATGGCAGGTGTACACTTTTAAGAAACTTCCAAACTGTTTTCAAATGTGCTTATTCATTATACATTTTATATTCCACCAAAGCATATTAGAAAAGAGAGTTCCTACTCCTCCATCATTAGTATGATTAGTCTTTTTTAATCATTCTAACAGACAATGTATTATCTTACCGTGGTTTTAATTGGCATTTCCATAATGCCTAATGATATTGAGCATTTTATCACATGCTAATTTGCCACCTGTACATCTGTGAAGAACTGTTCAGGTCTTTTGCCCATTTTTAAAAGTTGGGTTGATTGTTTTCCTTCTATTGAGTATTGGAGTTCTTTATATATTCTAAATATAAGACCTTTAACAGATATGTTTTATAAATATTTTCTGCTAGTCTCTTGCTTTTCTTTTCATTCTCTTAATATGTCTTTTGAAGAGCATACGTTTTTTAATTTTGATGAGGTGCTTTTGGTGTCATTTCTAAGAAATCTTTGCATAACCCAAAGTCATTAGGACTTTCTTCTATATTTTCTTCTAGAAATTTGTAGTTTCCAGTTTTCATTTAGATCTATGGTACATTTAGAACTGTATGTTGTGAAGTATGGATGAAAGCTCATTTTTTTTTTTTTTTGGTATATGGAATTCAACTGTTTCAGCATCCTTAGTTGAAAATGCTACCCTTCTCCACTAATCTGCTTTATATCTTTATCAAATATCTGTTGTTCGTAATATGTTAGTCTATTTTTGGACACTCTATTCTGGTCCATTGATCATTTGCCTACCATGACACTATTACCACACTCTCTTGATTACTGCAGCTTTAATAAGCTTTCATAAGGTAATGTTAATCCTTCAATTTATGTTCCAAAGTTGCTTTGGCTATTCTAGGTCCTCTGCCTTTCCATATACTTTTCTTTTTTTGGAGACAGAGTCTTGCTCTGTCACTCAGTGCAGTGGCGCGATCTCGGCTCACTGCAACCTCCACCTCCTGGGTTCAAGTGATTCTTGTGCTTCAGCCTCTCAAGTAGCTGGGATTACAGGCATGTGCCACGAAGCCCAGCTAATTTTTGTATTTTAGTCGAGATGGGGTTTCATCATGTTGGCCAGGCTGGTCTTGAACTCCTGGCCTCAAGTGATCCACCTGCCTCAGCCTCCCAAATTTCTGGGATTACAGGCATGAGCCATCGTGCCTGGCCTCCATATAAATTTTTAAATCTGCTTATCAATTTTACAAAGAAGTCTTCTGAGATTTCTGAGCTGGAACGTATTATATCTATAAATCACCTCAGGAAGAAACAACGTATCTTTAAAATACTGGGTGTGTGCAATATACCCATGAACATAGCATCTCTCTCATCCAAGTCTTTAATTTTGCTCAGCAGTGTTTTGTAGTTTTCAATGTAAAGGCCTTACACATCTTTTGTCAGAATTATTACTAAGCATTGTATATTTTGATGATATTATAAACAGCATTGCTTTAACATTTTTTGATTTCCAATTGTTCTTGCAAGTATCTAGACAAATGATTTTACATATTGGTCTTGTATTTGGCAACCTTGCTAAACTCATTTGTTAGTTATAGTAGCTATTCTATAGATTCACTAGATTTTCTACATAGATCATCAAGTCACTGGCAAAACCCCACTGGTTTTACTTCTTCGTTTCTACCCTGAATGTCTTTTATTTCTTTTTCTTCCCTTACCGCACTGGCTATAATCTCCAGCACAATGTTGAATACAGGTGTTAAAAGTGAATACCCTTTTTTGGGCCAAGTCTTAGGGAGAAAGCATGCAGTGTTTACCATTGAGTATGATAATAATTGTAGAGGTTTTATTTTTTTTTTAATAGATGCCTTTCATTAGGCTATGGAAGCTCTGTTATTGATTTCTATTCCACTGTTGTCTGAAAATATACTTTGCATGACTTAAATCCTTCTATATTTATTGAGACTTGTTTTATGACACAGAAGATATCACTTAATAAATTTTCTTTTTTTATAACTACTGTGTAGATATCATTTAATAAATGCTTTTTTGGAGTAAGCTATATAGCAATCCAGTATATCTGAACCCACCAGATCATTTTTTTTAAATCACATCTTAATCATTTGATGATACCAGTAAGTTAACATGTCAGTAAGAATAAACAAGAAAGTACAGTATGAGAAGAGAAAGGTGGAAGACATTATAATTCAGAATGAAGTAAAATATAGCATATAATGTTTAAAAAACTAAAATAAGAAAAATAGCAACTACTTATAAACTTTGGCTGAAAATTTTTTTAAGATAATGGGGCCAGCTAAATACTGTGTTGATTATTAAATAGGTGAAACCAAACAAACTACTGGAACCAAATACTAACCTGAGCAGCTCCCAAAGGGGGGACACGTAAACGCTTCATAGCCTTTTGTCTGTCACCATCTTCAAGTTCATTGGTCACTACAGCCTAGAAAGACAAATTATTACATTTTGGTTAGGTTATACTAAACTTGAGTGATGCACAAATAATTCTGTACCATTTATATATATTATATTCTGACAACTTTTTGGTGAATATATACTGATAAAGAAAATGAAAAAAAATCACAGGTAAGGCATATATATTCAAAGCTAGCAACTAGTTACAAAATAACAGAAATAAGGAATTGCTTCCCTAAATATAAAACGTGTAACTGAAAATACGTTGTAAATAAACGAGATTATTGTACCTCAGTTTCAGAGATAAGCTGGTTGATTTTCTTGCATGTATAAAATGGGGCCACCTCTACGTGAGCCACTCGCCAATCTGCTCCACGAGATGTTTCCAGGATCTTGTCATGCTTTTTCAGGATTTTTCGAAACCCTGTAAAATTCAGATTCTACAGAAAGAAATGAGAAACACAACTATAATTTCTACTACCATCAAAAATGATGAAAAAGAATAAGCACTAAGCACTGACAGAGCTGGCTGGACAAAGATTAAGTACTCTAGGAAATGGCAAAGCTTTCATAAAAGCATCTACTACTAAAAGGATGACTCTTCTTTTTTATTCCTTTTATTCATTTCAAGGTAGTATGCTATTAGTAACACAAAGAAACCCTGAACTATGAACCCTATTATTTCTCTTTCAAGTAAATTAATGAAAGTCCTAAGCTCAAAATGTTTTTGTTTCCTGTTTTCTATGTATAATTATTTTCAAAATAGCTAATTTCTATTATTTTGCTGCTTTGGTCAAAAGAATTATTTTCAGAAAATGTTTTGCATTTGCCCATGCACTGAACACATTTATTTAGTTCTTTATTTTTGGAAGGACTGGTACAGGAGTATGTATCTCCCCCTGCCATGCAATCATGCATGTTCCAGTAAGGAAAATGGAAGATCATCTAGTGCTCTTAACTTTCATTTTCCTTTCACTCATTCTCAGTTTGGGTATGGGAGTGCTAAGAAGAGTAAGTAGAAAGGAGGAAGTGATCATACTTACAGGGTTCAGTTTATAATGGGTAGAAGTCCCTATTTTTCCTCAATTTCTACAATAACAAAATACTATACATTTCAACATCTCAAATTGTTGTTCTTTGCCCAGCATGCAAAAAAGCTAAAAACTCAATTTGCAAGGTTACATCTTTAAACCAGAGGTCTCCCAAATTTGCTGATTACATGTCCCCAACAGTAAGAAATTGTGCACTCACTCCAGAACAGGCTTTCCTTACTTATTTGTTTACATATTTTTCCCTCATGCTTTAATGTATGATCTTAAAGTCTGTGTGGGGTGCATACATACATCATGACTTAGAGATAGCTTTTAATCAATCTTCCTTTCTCCTTCATTCTCAAAATAAATGTATTCTTACAGAATAGATGACCCCCAAAGAATAGAAGATAAAGCAGAACTTTCATAATTAATTATTACTTTTGTTTTCCCAAGGAGCATTTTATAATGACTCCGAACAAAAGCTGCTAGGAAAGTTAATACAATAAAATTTAACAAAGATTTTTCCATGTAACACACAAACATAATTTATGAACTATAAAATGGTAATGTTGCTATACCATTATAGGAAAGAGGAAATACATTTTATTTTTGTTTTTTAAATTATAAAGCGATGAACAAATCTCAAAGCAAAGGAATTTATCACTATATAAATATATGTAATTATTTTTCTACTAAATTGTTTTCTTACTAGGTTTGTCTTCAAATGATAGAATATTAAATCACTAAAGAACAAAGTAGAATTATAGAAGAAAATGATAAACACATGCATTAACAATTTAAGATTACTGCAGATATGGGACTTTAACTACTTTTTATTTTAAAATTCTAATATTCCAGGTAATACTTTTGTTACATAATCTTTAGTTTTAATATGGTATATCATCCTATGATGATCCTAACCACTCATTATAAGTAATAATCACAAGAATAAAATAGAAAAAAAATAGTGCATAAGGTCTCTCTAAAGATTAGATAGATGCTTTTCTCAATAACTTTTAAAAAATATGATTTTATTGCAGCCCATGGACAGTAAAATTGGAAAGATTCTTTCAGCTGCAAGTTGAAAAGTCAGGGTCTTTGTTTTATTAGTGTCAGCTGCAGAAAAATTAACTATCTGATAGCTTTTGTAGAAATTTTGCTATTGGTTAGGAGGACTATAAAAGCCCTTACAGGCTGGGAGCATTGGCTCACGCCTGTAATCCCAGCACTCGGGAGGCTGAGGCAGGCAGCTCACTGAGCTGAAGACCAGCCTGGCCAACATGGTAAAACCCCATCTCTACTAAAAATACAAAAATTAGCTGGGGATGGTGGCGTGCGCCTGTAATCCCAGCTACTCAGGAGGCCGAGGTAGGAGAATTGCTTGAACCCAGGAGGCGGAGGTTGCAGTGAGCCGAGATCGTGTCATTTTACTCCAGCCTGGGTGACACAGTGAGACTCTGTTTCAAAAAAGAAAAAAAAAAAAGAAAGGAAAAAAAAGAAAAGCCCTTACATAGCCAACAGTGGCTGGAGAGATGTATTATTTCTATTCATGACTATCAGAGCTGCCTCTAAAAACAGGAAGCAAACTGTTAGTCCTTGAGTTGTGGACTATCCCTAAATATTAAATATTATAGGAAAGTTTTTGGAATATGAATCTTCAAAAACAGAAGTCTTGTTAACACAGTTTTACTGCCTCTGACACATGGTTTTTAGCCAGTAGGAACCCCAAGAATAACAACATGTTAAGGATTTTCCTTTTTGGAACTGACCCACTGGTAATACTTTAGGGTACTTCCATTTATTGAAATTTCTCATTTACTTAAAGGTGCCATTTTCTAGGGTAAGAATCTAAGTACCTGATAGTTCTGCAGCAGGATTAGACTGAGGTAGAACTCACTGAAGGCCAGTTTAAGGTCTTTAATATTTCTATGTTGGACACGTTCCTCATGGGACAAGTGGAAGACTGGCTTTCTGCGTTGTCGCAGCGTAGTAACACCAGTGCTTTCTTTCTGTGCATCCAGTGATGACTGAAGCTCATTCTGAAGTGTAGCAAACCTGCGCTGAGCCTCTGCGAGCTTCTCTATAAGAAATAGAACGGAACTGTCAAATCAGTAAGATAAAAAAGTTCCTACTGACTTCTGAATTTTTAATAATTCCCATTTGCTCCCTTAGAATTTCTAGAAGAAAACCGTTACATGTAATATTTAGAACTCTATAGGAAAAAATATTTTTGTGTAACACTCTCCTTTCATTTTACCCCCCATAAAACCTCATGTACCCTTTCTTTTTACAAATGAATAAATAAAATGTAAAGAGCCACTAAGAGTGAAAACGCAAAATGGTACAGCCTCTCTGGTATTTGGAAAATAGCTGGCAGTTCTCGAAAGGTTAAACATATGATTCAGCAATTCCATTCCTAGGCATATACTTAAGAGAGCTGAAAACATATGCTCACAGGAAAACTTGCATACATATACTAACTTGCATTTATAATAGCCAGAAAGTGGAAACAATCCAAATGTCCATCAATTGAGGAACAAATAAACAAAATGTGGTGTGCATGCATGTGTGTCTATATAAACACACAATAGAATCAGCCACTAAAAAAGAATGAAGTGCTAATTCATGCTCTGACATGGATGAACCTTGAAGACATTAAGTGAAAGAAACCAGACACAAAATACCCAATATTGTATGTTTCCATTTATATGACATGTCCAGAATCAGGAAATCCACACAGAAAGAAAGTAGATTACTGCTTGCCATGGGCTGAGTGGAAGGTGAATGGGGAGTGATTGCTAATGGGTACGAGATATGTCTTTAGGATGATGAAAATGTTCCAGAATTGGTAGTGATGGTTGTACAACCTTGTGAATACACTAAAAACCATGGAATTACAAACCTTAAGAAGGCAAATTTTATGGTATAGAAATATCTCAATTTAAAAACGCCATTAAGAAATGTTTCTGGTTATACAGTTCAGGTCAGAAACAGGATTAGAATTTGGGCTTTAGATCTGTAATCTCCTGTATTTCCCACTACCCTTCATTACTTCTCTAAACCAGGTATTACAAGAGATTAAGACTTGCAAATTATGTGTTAAAAATACTAGGTATATCTGAATATATGTGTTTGTGCTACACATACATTTAAAAATAATACTCTGTATTTTTCTTCCAAGGTCACAATTCAGTTCACTGGAACCAGGCAGATTTGGGTTCAAATCCTTGCCTCATTAACTAGCTGTATGATTTTAGTCAAGTTTTTTTTTTTTAATAACTCTTCTACACCTTTCATAGATGAAATGGAAATACCAACTCCCTCATAAAGTGGTTGTAAAGATTAAATGAGGCATAGAAATGCCAAGGGACCGGCTGGGTGCAATGGCTCATGCTTGTAATCCCAGCACTTTGGGAGGCTGAGGCAGGTGGATCACCTGAGGTCAGGATTTCGAGACCAGCCTGGCCAACATGGTGAAACCCTGTCTCTACTAAAAATACAAAATTAGCCGGGCGTGGTGGTGCATTCCTGTAATCCCAGCTACTTGGGAGGCTGAGGCAAGAGAATTGCTTGAATTCGGGAGGCAGAGGTTGCAGTGAGCAGAGGCTGCAGTGAGCCGAGATTGTGCCACTGCACTCCAGCCTGGGTGACAGAGTGAGACACTGTCTCAAAAAAAAAAAAATGCCAAGGGACATAGCACTCAATAAATAATGATAAAAATTATATAATAATAACAAAGAATTATTTACAACTTATGCTTTCTCATAATTCTCCTATTCCTTGCTTTATCTACTGCTATACTGTCTTGCTGTTGTCTTCAATCAATCTTTAGTATTTTTGTCCTGTCTGGCACTGCTTAATGATTCACTCTCTCTTTCTCCTAGAGAATTTCCTTCTATAGGATGTTTCCAAGATTCATCTCTATTCTTAATCCTTTACATGACCTTCATTTTCTTAACTTTTATAATCTATTTATATCTTCTTGTATTTCCTATGATCTAAGACTGTATTCAAAACAAAAATCATGTTTCCATTCCTCTTTCCAAATAAATTTCATCCATTTATGTGGGTCAACCCATCTGGGACCTGCTTTTAGCTCCTAGGGACCACTCTTACGCCTCTCCAACACCAATCACATCCCCCTGAGGGGGCCCAGAAAATACTCCCTTCATTAAGGCATCCAGAATTACGTTAGTGAGGAGAGCACCTGCATCCTTAAAAAGCTCTATGTTTACTCCCCAGTGAAGGCCAGGAATGGCCATGAGAGATGTATCTATTGAGATGGGTTCCCTGATTGCAATGCACATTCAATGATCCTTGGAACAGAAAGGCCAGATGGCAGCACTTAACTATCAAAACAAGGTGGGTGCATTTACCATAAAAGGCAACAGGACAGATGTTTTTGCACACAGAGATTTTGGCTGTGGTTAATTGATCATGGTTATCCCTAGGAAAGACAGAAATGGGCAACCTACTAGAATATTGCTTAATTGATGTAACAGAAAAAAACTCCAGGTCTGGTGGCCAAATACTTGATATTAGTCACTACAACAGAGAGTCACTACCTCTTACCAGCTTCCAGATCAACGCTAGTTCAAAAACCCAAGACCCCTGACTGAAGTGGAAGCTGGCCTTGCTTTCGGGTGGTTCCTGTAGCACTGCCACAAGTATATACTGTAGATCTTCCTCTAATCCTTCCTCAAAGGGCCTCGTGTCTATTTACTAGAGTGACTGTGCACTGAGGAAAAGGAAATATCCAGACTTTGCAAAGATTACTCGTCATTGGCTTTTGTATATTAGCTTTGCATTGTTGTATAACAAATTACCACACACATAGTGCCTTAAAGAAACCCCATTTATTAGCTCACCGTTTTGTAGGTTAGAAGTCCAAGCATGATGTGGCTAGGTTCTCTGTCAGGCTCTCCTAAGGCTAAACGCAAGGTGTTAGCTAGGCTGCTTTCTCAAGCTCACATTCAAGCTCACTTGGTTGTGGCAGAATTCAGTTTTTTGTAGTTTTAAGACTGTTTCCTTGCTGGCTCTCATCTGTGGTCTGCTTTTAGCTCTTCGAGACTACTCTTAACCCTATCTTCAAAGTCAGCAATGGAGAAACTTGCTCATTTCAAGTCCCTCTCATACTTTGAATCTTTTTCCCTAGGAGTGACAAACTTCTGGAGACTCCAGGCACCACTGTGGTTTAGCAATCAAACTATACATTTATGATATTCAGGTGACAGATGAAATATCAGCCCAGATGAGACTCACAAAAGACCCAGCTGGTCCACAGATTCATCCTATGATTCCTTTTTCAGTTCCAAGATGTATAATTGGAATAGACCTACTAGGCCACTGGTAGACTCTCTAGTGATTCTGAACCACAGGTAAGAAATATGATGAAGGAAGGAACATGATGAAGAAAGGGCTATAACAGTTCCTGGAACTTTTCCTTATCAAGATAGAACTGCAGAAATTAGTACAACAATCACAGACTTTAAAGACAAAGGGATAGGATACCTACCACATCCTCTCTTAACTCATTTGTTTACGCAAGTTGGATGAATCTTGGTGAATAACTGGATTGTGTAAACTAGGTGGTCTCTGTGATAGCAGCTGCTATTCCGGATATGGTATTTTCACTGAGGAAAATCAATACAACCTCTAGCCCCTGGCATGCAGCTACACATCTGATAATGCAGCTACTCACCAGGCAGCAGAGACTAGCACTGAACCCCAGAGTCACCCCTGGGACTGGCCAGCTACCTACTGGCAGGTTGATTGTGTTGGATGCCTTCTATTAGGCAGTGGGCAGAGATTTGTCCTCCCTGGAATAAAAGCATTCTTGATATGGATGTACCTTCTCCACCCATAATGCTTCTCCAGCACCACCATCTCCTGAAATGCTTTATCCACTATCATGGTATTCTATACAGCCTTGCTTCTGATCAAGGAACTCATTTCACAGCAAAGACAGTAAAGCAATGGGCTCATAGCCATGGAAGAAAATGGTCTTTTACTATATACCCAGAAATAGATGGCCTAATAGAAAAGCTGATCAATGGCCTAACAGAAAAGTTGGGAGACAAGACTCTGAAAGGATGGGGTTCTGTTTTACAGGATACAATAATGAGGCCATAAGTCCCCAACATAACCAAAATATCCAGTCTAGGAATCAAGGGGTAGAAGTAGGAGTGGTTCCTCTCAATACTGTAAGTAATAATCCACTCACATAATTTTTGCTTCCCAATCTACAACTTAAACTCTGACTGTTGGTTAGTTCTCAAGGGGAAAATGCTTCCATCAGAGGAATACAACAATGGTTCTACTGAATTGGAAGATGAAACTGTCACCTGGCCATTTTGGGTTCTTTGTACTAATGAAACAATGGCAAAGAAGGGGTTTACTGGCTAAAAGTAAACCCCTTGACTGATCCTGATTACCAAGGGAAAAGTGAACTGCTGAAACATAATAGGAGCAACAAGCTCTGGAACCCAGGAGATTCTGGAACACCTCCCATTACTTCCATGACCAATAATATATGTTAATGGAAAACTACAACAGGCCGGGCATGGTGGCTCACACCTGTAATCCCAACACTCTGGGAGGCTGAGGCAGGTGGATCACTTGAGGCCAGTAGTTGGAGAACAGCCTGACCAACATGGTAAAATCAGATCTCTACCAAGATTACAAAAATTAGCAGGGTGTGGTGCTGCACGCCTGTGATTCCAGGTGCTCAGAAGGCTGAGGCATGAGATTCACTTGAACTCAGGAGGTGGAGGTTGCAGTGAGCCGAGATTGTGCCACCACACACTCCAGCCTGGGTGACAGAGTGAGACTGTGTCTCAAAAACAAAAACAAAAAAACCCTACAGCAATTAATAAAAGAACTACTGAGATTCAGATCCTCTAGGAATTAAAGTCTAGGTCATCTCACCTAATAACCAGTTGGGGTTCTGGCTGAGGGCAAAGGAAATATGGAACGGGTCTTGGGAAAATAAAGATACCAATTATAACCCCTTGACCTTTTTACTTTGTCTCTTACAACTCTCATATTTTCTTCTCTTTATCGATTTGTGTTGCATTCTGAGTAAATTTTCAGCTCTATCTTCCAGTTTATAAATTGTCCCTTTAAGTCTACCTAAATCTACAGTTTGATTGATCTATTAAGATACTAACTTCCGTGATTATATTTTCATTTGTAAAAGATCTAATTGGTCCTTTAAAAAAAATGCCTAGTCAATTTTAATGATTTCTTCTTTGTTTATGGTTTTCATGCTCTCCTTTACATTTTTAATCATATTAGATATATATTTTTATTATTTTCCTGATAATTTTGTATTTTTTATGTATCACTTTAGTGTTTTGAAGTAAGAGATTATTAGGATTTCTTTCCAGTCTTCCATATTGTAAAAAACAGAACAATTCATATATTTTAAAATCTCTTATTTAAGTCAACAGAAAATGAATCTCAGGGCTCCTTTTACACATGTTAAACATTTCTATTGTAAATGTGTTTGTCTTATCATCCTTAGGATCAAAACAGTATAGAACTTCTTGGTTCTTTCTTGGTTCATGATGCCCTTAGCGTTTCAGTAATATTTTCATGATGCTTCTAGGCCAAAAGAAATAACTAATGCTTCTATTTATTAAGTAATCAGGTTCAAACAACTTAAGTATTTATGTCCTAATGACTTAGAAGCTACCTGAAAAAATACTACATACAATATGCACACAAACATAAAATGAAATAATACAAGGATTTATCTAAGGGCCACTATAAATTATTCTGCTGACTAAAAACTGCAGGTAAACTAGCCAGAAAACAGAATATCATATGTAATAAAATTGCTTAACTTTAATTGTTAAAAGATTAGTATATAAATTTGCTAATTGTTTAATGTCCTCAGTCAGAACTGTCAATACATTTACTCTTCTCATTACATGCATATTAAAAATGTAAGAAGCCCAAAAATGAAAAGAAAGAGGACCTGTTACTTCCTGTGTGCCAACAATAAGTCAAGACACAAATGCCTCTCCATCTGGAAAACTCCTTACTCGTTTTGCAAGGCTAATCTCAAACACTGCTTTCTATATAAAGTTTTTCATATTTAACAACTCTCTCAGTCACAAATGAAACTCCCACCTTAGGGCTTGTATGGGACCACATACATGCAGCCAAAGCACACTGCATATAATTCTTTGTTTATGTTTGCTTCACTGACTGACTGAACTCTAAAGGTAACAGTTCTAAAATCTTTATCTTTTTTTATAATGAAAATTTATTTTAAATAATTTGTTTGAGGTATAACTTACCTACCATAGGATTCATCTACTGTAAACATGCAATTCATTGACTTTCAGTAAATTTATAGAGTTGTGCAATCATCATAAAAATCCAATTTTAGAACATTTCTGTCACCTCCTATACTTCCATCATGGCCATTAGCTGTCAATCCCCACTTCCACCCCCTACCCCAGGCAAACACTGATCTGTATTCTGTCTCTGCTGATTTGCCTTTTCTGAACATTTCATGTAAAAGAATCATACAATATATAATCTTTTGTGTTTGGGTTCTTTAACTTAGCAGGATGATTTTGAGTTTCATCCATTTTGTATCATAATGTAAGTCTGTTATACTGAGTTCCTTTTATTGCCAAATAGTATTTCATTCTGTGGATATATATTTTGTTTACACTTGATCTTAGCCAAAAGGCCGAGAAGCGATTATATTTTGTTTAAATATCTTCAGTCTGCAGACATTTGAATTGTTTCTAGTTTTTTAAACTATGTAAATAATGCTGCTGTTAACACTCTCATACAAGTTTTTGCGTGGCCTATCATCATTATCTTTGTACCATAAAGAGCTTGCATACAGTATACTCAATCCATGTTTGCTGAATGAATAAATAGGTAAAAGTTCTCTCTAGTAGCCTACATTCCCATATAGAAATGATGAAGAAATCAACATTTCAGGTGTATTTTGCTACTTTCTTTAAAGTAATGACTCTCTTCCTTAAGGGCATAACTATGTAGAGGAGCCTATGAGAATCCGTAGGTGGGGGTAGGGGAATATAAACCATATGTAGTTTGAAAAAATCATATTCAATATTACTACAGCTATGGTATGAGATTTTCATATCTATCAAAGGGGTATAGGTTTAAAAAGAATAAGAAATACTGCTTTTGACACCAAGTATCCCAATCTATTTTGCAATGACACTTCAGTTTTCTAGAGCCAGATCGCCAGAAAGCTCAAACACATGGGACTGCACAGAACCTGGAAAAGTGTGTGTGTGTGTATATATAAAAGTGTATACTTTGATCTATGATGAAAATCTACAAATACACTTACAAAAATAAAAATGAGGCCAGGCGCAGTCGCTCACGCCTGTAATCCCAGCACTTTTGGAGGCCGAGGTGAGTGGATCACGAGGTCAGGAGGTTTAAGACCAGCCTAGTCAAGATGGTGAAACCTCGTCTCTACTAAAAATACAAAAAAATTAGCCAGGTGTGCTGGTGGGCACCTGTAATCTCAGCTACTCAGGAGGCTGAGGCAGAAAATTGCTTGAACCTGGGAGGCAGAGGTTGCAGTGAGCTGAGATCGCACCACCACATTCCAGCCTGGGTGACAAAGCAAGACTCCGTCTCAAAATAAATAAATAAATAAGTGAATGAGTGAATGAATGAATCTCAGGGCTCTTTTTACATATGTTAAACATTTCTATTGCAAATGTGTCTGTCTTATCCTCAAGACCAAAAACAGTGTAGAACTTCTAAGTTCTTTCTTGGTTCACGGCATACTTTGTGTCTCAGTAATACTTTCATGATGCTTCTAGGACAAAAGAAATACCTAATGTTTCTATTTATTAAGTAGTCAGGTTCAAACAACTTAAGTATTTATGTCCTAACAACTTAGAAGCTATCTGAAAAAATATTACACACAGTATTTCTAAGCAATTTTATAATATTGATGAAAACAGACTATTTTGCCAATAAACTACAATTTCTACTTATGCCAGTAAATCAAGTGACCTGAATATGAGAACAAATATTATTATTTTAATAATATGTTAACGCCATAAGCTCTCATACTAAATATTTGATAAAAATTTCCAATAACCATTCAAGAATTTTCAAAGCACCTATGTATCCCTCAAAGAGCTAGAATAAGGGTTAGCAATATATTTTGCTTTCACCAAATTCATCGTTCTTTTACTTTTAGAAAAAGTTATTTCAAGAACTACAAGCTATCTTCAGAATGGCAAAGCTGTTATGTTGTTATGCAATTGAAGAATAACTCTTTCTAAAATCAAATTAGTGTCTTAGAATATTTTTATTATTTGTTTACCTGTCTTACAATATTACCATCTTGCTAATTCAATTTATGGACCTTGGTGTTATTCAAAATATAAAGTAAGTTTATGAGAATGTTGACCCATCACAGATGATTCAAGATAGTTAACTTTGTTACATTACATGCATTTTTTATACTGCTTTTATCTTTTATCTGGAATTCTTACTACTTGAAACTGTGTACCTCAAATACCAAAGTCTGAAATCTGTATGTGAATAAAACATCTAATTTTTCCACTTTTCTCTCTAACCAGCAACTCACTCCTTAATATCTTACAACTTCAGCCTCAAAAGACTATTTGTTATTGTCTTCATCCCCAAATATGTCATGTACTTTAACACCACTGTGCATCTGGATAGATTTTTTCCCTTGCTCTGGAGCACTAAATCCCACCTCTCCCTACAGCCATCCCCAAACAACCTCCCTTAAGAGCATTTGGCTAATGCCTACACATTTTCAAAGACCCAATTTAAATTTCACTTCTTCTAAAGGCTTTTCCTCAATCCCACTTTCTTCCTCCAAGTAAATTCAAGGCTTCTTCATGTCAGTTTTCACAGTACTTTGCATAACTGTAAAATACTAAATGTCATATTGCACATAAACTTTAAAAAGTACATGTAATTTGTAAATACACACAACAGGTGTATTTAGTAAATAACACTGTGATACTTTCTATTCTACTATATTCTATCTATATTTTTTAAAAAATGCCTGTGATGACCCACGTACAGTCGTAGTGCCACAGAACAACGTTCTGGTCAACGACTGACAGCATGTACAACAGTAGTCCCATAAGATATAATACTTTATTTTTACTGTACCTTTTCTATATTTAGATACATAAATATTTACCATTGTTTTACAATTGCCTACAGTATTCTCTGTAGTAACATGCTGGACAGTTTTGTAGCCTAGGAGCAACAGGCTATACTATATATGCTACATGTGTAATAGGATATACCATCTAGGTTTGTGTAAGTACACATGATGTTCCCAAAATGAAATCACCTCATGACGCATTTCTCAGAATTATCCCTGTCATTAAGTGACACGTAACTATATTTTCATTTTCTGACCAATTTATTGGGTTGTGACCTACAATTTAAAAAAAACCCATTATTTACATGATATTGTGTTTGTTTGTGAAGATGCCATTTGGAAATTGTGTTACTCATGACCATAGACATTCCTCATCCTTTCTTTCAGTCTCAGAAAGAAAAAAGGAAAAATAGGAGAGAGACAGAAGGAAGGAAGGAAAGAGAAAAAAAGGAGAGAAAGAAAATGAGGGTGGTTTTCACGTGGCTTGTTTTTAATAGATGCTTATAAAACACTTTTTTTTAACAAAATAAAGAAAGGAAAATTTATTGTGGACAATATAAATATTGTAATTGTAATTTCCTTCAGATGTATTAACAACAAAGCAAGCAAGAGTGGCTGCTTTAATTTCACTTCCCCTACTACCCTCCCTGCTCCTTTAAACAGTTCTTAAGTAACTGATTCTACTGTAATGAACTCAAGAGAATCATGACACAGGAAGATACGTTAACACATGGGAATTTAAAACAATATACCAACCTATGACCACTCTCATTAAAAATACCTACTTAATCTACATTTTAACACACACATGAGCAAAGAACAAAACCAGCCATTAAGTCATAGTTTAAATACATGCATACTAGACACATGTATCATTTGTAAAATGAACATTTACTATTTCAGTGTAAAAGATTCTCATGATTCATTGCACACATTTAGTGGTATAACAATATTCAGTGCCTCAAATTCCTCTTGTATAAAAACAATATAAATCAATAATAAAAACATACAGCAAGACATTGTAAAACAGGATTACAGGAATAACAGGAATAACTATATAATAAGAATAGCTCTTAGTAACTATTATCTAATCGGTCTTGCATTTATATGAAACAAGAAAATATTCTACAGGCAAGATCCTACTAATAAAACACCAATGCAATTACCTTCCTTCTTCCCTCTCTCCCTCCTTTCCTTCCTTTTTAGTAAAGAAAAAGGATGTAACACTGCTATGACTTCCCAATGTAACCGAAGTCAAAAAAGTCACCCAGAAAAAAAAGAAGTTATTCAAAAACAAAGAAAAAGCACTTAGCTATTTCAAAATTCCAGCCAATAAAAAAGGCTTGACTGTTTTGTGAAATATTAGAAGCAACACATATATTCTGACTTTTTTTTTAACATTAGGCAAATAAACACTGTTTAGAAACTAAGTATTTTGAATAAAGAGAAAAGGCAAACTGGTTTGAAAAAAGTGATCAGTTGGATCACTTGTCCACTGGAAAAAGACATTACTGATCACCACAAAAAAAAAGGTTTCTAACGGTATAGCCTTCATGATTGATACCATTTTTAGTGACAGAAGAGAACTAAGAGACTTCTAGGTTAGGGATTAGCAATGTTTTTACCACAAAGGACCCCTCCCTTTCACAATTCCCTTCTCTTCCTATGATCTTCAAATACTGATTTTATCTATAAATCTAAATAAATGTCAATTTTTTAACCAAAGATACATAATAAACAATAAAGACTAACAAAGTAACTTACATCAGGTTTTCTGAATATTGAAAATAGCTTCTGATCCTAACATGTGGAACCCTAGAGGGTTGGGAATCAATCTGTTTGTTTTATAAGCAAGTGTGTGGAAGCCTAGGAAGGTTAAACAGTAAATAGCATCGGCAAGAAAAAAATTCCAAATTTTAGCAGCATTCATGCTATATTTTGATTGTTTGGCCTTTTTGATATGACTAGAAACAGACAAAATAAAATATAGCAATTTGTTTAGGGACATTGAAAGGTTTTAGTCAAAAATATCTCACTTAAAAATGGAGCATTTTTAGCTATTTAATGTGTGAGATATAAGTGGGTGGAGGTGAGTTATTAAGCTCAACTCACCCCATATTGTTTATAGTTTTTCTTGTGCCCTAGTGTCTGACAACTGCAGTCTACAATCTTCTGGGGAGAAGGTGGCTAAATGAGGGAAAAAAGATACTGTTGAGGACCAGAAACAAATTCTATTTCTGTGAATCATTTCTTCGTATTACCTACCACTTCCTGATCTGGCAGGAGTCACTCTAGAGACTACCAATTTGTACCAGTGAGGACATCAAGAGACGTGCCTCACTGGCCCTGCCAATACACACACAAAACAGGAAGTCATCAAATTACAGCACCAAAATTTTTAATAGTAGCTAGCCTAAAATTATTTTTGAGAAGCGACCTAACTTAAAGAAATCATGTTTCAAACTGAAGGTTGCAACCCAATATGAGGTCATAAAACCAATTTAGTGGATCATAATTAGCATTTAAAAAATCAAATAGAATAGAAAAATATAGAAAACAATATACTACAAGTACTAAAGATGTACTGTTTCATGAAAAAATATCTTAAATTATTTAAATATATTGTGTAGTCACACACATATAGATGCATACAAACATATATAAAACAAACATTTATCTGTATATGTGTGCTGGGTCATAATGTACATTTTTTTTTACTATAACTCAAAATAAAGTATCTACATGTCTGTAATCCAAGCACTTTGGGAGACCAAGGTGGGTGAATCACCTGAGGTCAGGAGTTCGAGACCACCCTGGCCAACATGGTGAAACCCCATCTCTACCAAAAATAAAAATAAAAAATTAGCCAGGTGTGGTGGTGCATGCCTGTAGTACCAGCTATGCTGGAGGCTGAGGCAGGAGGATCACTTGAACCTGGGAGGCAGAGGTTGCAGTGAGCCGAGATCATGACACTGCACTCCAGCCTGGACAACAGAGTGAGATCCTGTCTCAAAAACAAACAAACAAAAAAAACAAAGTATCTACTACCAAGAGTAGATATTTTTCTTCATAAACAAAGAAGCATTTTCTATTCTTTGTGATACAAATCATCCATTTAGAATTGAGCTTAGAGATCCTTCTTTTTCAAAAAATGTCATAGTAAAAGAAAAAAGCTAATAAACTTGATTTTATATATTCATAGTCTACAGCCTTACATCATTTCCAATACGCTTTCTCAATCTAGACATTTGTTTCACTGCAAATGCCCTCCTCTTTTAGTTTCCTCCTCCTCCTCCTGCTATATGGTCTTCTCTGTCTACATTGCTGGTTCCTCTTTATCTTTCTATCTCCTAATTATAGAAATTATCTTTCTTCTTGAGAACACTGAAATCCTTTCTGTATATTTTTCCCATACAGAAAATCTACCTGTTTGCATGGCTTTAAATAATATTTATATTTTGGCTGTGCACAGTGGCTCACACCTGCAATCCCAGCACTTTGGGAGGCTGAGGCAGGCGGATCACGAGGTCAGGAGATCAAGACCACCCTGGTTAACACGGTGAAACCCCGTCTCTACTAAAAATATAAAAAAAATTAGCTGGGCATGGTGGTGGGTGCCTGTAGTCCCAGCTACTCGGGAGGCTGAGGCAGGAGAATGACGTGAACCCGGGAGGCAGAGTTTGCAGTGAGCCAAGATCGCACCACTGCACTCCAGCCTGGGCGACAGAGTGAGACTCCGTCTCAAAAAAAAGAAAATGTATATTTTGTCTCTGTCTTCTAGGTGCCTGTATCCTGGTGAAAGAGACATGCATATATGCCATGTTCTTTCATGGCTCTTGCTTGTATATAAACTGTTCCCTCTGCCTAAGGAAAAAGCCCAGCTACAAATGAAAGATGAGGGGGAGGATATAAAGTTAAGAAATTTGCTTGCTCATTTTTTTTTTGAAGGGAATGACTTGCTAAGGAGATTGAATTGGTATAAAGGGAAGTTAAATATATTTATTTAATAATTCTTAGAGGAAATAATTACTGGAGCAAGGTCTTGAAGAGTTGAAATTTAGTCAGTAGTCGTAAAGATCTCCCGTGGAATAAAGAGGGATATCTCTTCTACAAAGATTGGAGGAAAATAAATAAGGATGAGAATGTCTATAGGCATTTGGGAGAGAGATGCAGATATAATACCATATATCTGCATGGTATTATACATCAACAGAAGCTGATGGCCTTTATTTTTATTTGTAAAGCTGGGGGTATAATGAGCATGACAGGGAAGATGGTGGGGTTAGAGAATTCTGGAGAATGATATAAGGTTTACAAAAGCACTTTGGAGCATGAAAAATGATATTGATTAGGACCCACAGGAAGCTTTGAGGGCACAGTTACAGGTGCAACAACAAATTTACAGTGGTTCCAATTTATTCTGCTGTTGTCCTACGCAGCCTCTGGGGTAGGCATGAAGAAGGTAAAGGATGAATTGGTTGAGTTTTACTAGGCAGATGCAACATAAGGCAATGAGGGTAAAGGGATTAAAAACACAGGGGTCAAAATGGTTAAAATGATTGATGGAGAAGAAAATAATTCTGGCTGGGTGTGGTGGCCATGTCTATAATGCTAGCACTTAGGAAGACAGAGGCAAGAAGACAGCTTGAGCCCAGGAATTCAAGACCTGCCTGGGCAACATAGCAAGACCCCATTCTCCAAAAAAAAAGGAAAAAAGAAGACAAAAAAAGAGTAGGAAATAATTCTAAGACATGTATGATAAACTGAAATAAAATGGGAGAGTCAAGAAACTAGAGCTCTGTGAGATGGAAAAACAGATGTTAAAGGAGTAGGGGAGTAAAAAGCTAAAAGGCTAGGAGACATGGTCATAGACTCGTATTAGGTTTTAGTATTTTAGAGGAGAGGAATTCTGGGTGATGGGTATGGCTATGTGTGTATGGGGCTAAAGTACAGTGTAACTGAAAATGACTGTCCACAAGGACAATGAAGTCATCCAGCATGATATGAAAAATTAAGATAGAGATTTATTCAGACTGGGAGCCAGGAGTCTAAGTTCACAGTGAGCAACCAAGAGGTCAGTAGATGCTAACAAATAGGAGTGGCAGAAATAGAACAATACTGATGCTTAGAAGAAGATTCATTTTTATAGAAATACACAGAAATACTGATTTGGAAGAACAATGATAGCTAAGAGAATGCTGGACTCAGTCTCTTGTCTTCTGGCAGCTGTTTCTCACTGACTCTTTTTACCTTTTTCCATCTCCTGTCTCCCAATACTCTATAAAAGAGAATGATCAGCCTCTAGTTGAAGGGGCTGCTGAAAAAGGATATCTGAGTAAGATGCTGAAAAAGGATATCTGAGTAAGATGCTTCCAGAAGTTGTGGACAAGCCAGGAAAAAAATCATCCGAAAAACAAATTAGTAAAGTCATGAAACTATTCATCTTTAGACTAATTCACACTAATACCTGGTTTATGATTGTGCTAGTTATAAGATTATGGTATTTCCAAAGTCTTTGCCAAGAGATGAGAATATATTCTCAATAGCAGGCATGTAATGTGCATATTAAATATGAAAATAAAAAATAGAGTAATTTTATATTTTGGATATTAAATAAAATTACAGACTACTTTTTTTTTCATCAATTACTGCTCAGGGAATAGATACATTACATTCAATAGGATAGGTATTCCAGCTATTAGGCTGTATATCTGGCGGTGTAACAGGAACTATGTGTAACATTTCCAGAGTCTAGATGAAATATCCTTCTGAATCTAACTCACTTTGTTCAGATTCTGTACTCATGAAACTATCTGATTATTAACTAGGTCTCACAGGACTCCTGATGTCTACGGTAGTGCTCTAAAGTTTCCAAAATTTTTCACTATAAAGACATTGTTTTACTAATGTATATTATGTACATTGCAACATACATGTACAAAAAATAAAGTTCAAAAGAGTCAGACATAAATATATATATAAGTTCCAATATTTTATTCTCACATTCGAGTGGCATACTGTAGATGCCACTCTGGAGGCCAGTGCTTTAGAGAAATAAGTATAAGTGTTCTAGGCAATGAAAAGGTATAAAACTGCCATCACTGATAAGCTGGAACTGTGTAATTCATCTCTGGCCAAAATGATAAAATCAAGTTTCTGACTCTTCAAGCTTTGAACTGGGCCACAGTGAAGCTCTACCGAGGTATTGCCTCTCAACGAAGTCCCAATATCCTTTTGACTGCAAGAGTTTCTAGGCAATGACCACAGAAAGCTTAAACATTGAGAAACCAGACGTGTTCTTATCCCAGCTCAAGAAAATCCTCTTAAGTGCAGTATAGTAAGGAAAACAAGACTCAATTTAAAAACATTGATCAGAAGTTTAAACAATGATATGGTACAATTTATCCTTCCCCGGCAGCAAAAAAAAAAGTCTCTTAATTACTCACCTGAATAAAATGTGTTGATTTTGGCAAGTTCTTTTTCACAGGTTTGGAAAAACTTCTCTTCAAACTTGGCAAAATACCTCTTTACTGTGTCCTCATCTGTAACTGAAAGACAGGAAAACAATATTTAAATTTAATGTCCAAAGGCCAATTGAGAAAACTAAGGAAACAAAAACTAAGATTACTTTTTGAGTTTTTAAAATGACAACTTTATATGTATTTCTCTGAAAAAGTGAACTGTGAACCATATTAAGAAAAGACTACTCAAAGACCTTTTCAGGCCGAGTGCGATGGCTCATGCCTGTAATCCCAGTACTTCGGGAGGCCGAGGCGGGCAGATCACTTGAAGTCAGGAGTTCAAGACCAGACTGGCCAAATGGTGAAATCACGTCTCTACTAAAAATATAAAAATTAGCTGGGTGTGGTGGTGGGTGCCTGTAATCCCACCTACTCTGGAGGCTGAGGTAGGTGGAGGTTGCAGTGAGCCAAGATTGCACCACTGCACTCCAGCCTGGGTGACAGAGCAAGACCCCGTTTCAAAAAAACAAAAACAAAAAAAACAAAAAAAAAACAAAAAAAACCTCTTTGTAAGACCACACACAAACCTTCTTTAAGTGAATGAGACTTTCCTAAAGCTCTACTATAATAAATTTACAATGTTGGAGAAAACAAGTGTTCTAAGACTTTAGAAGAGAAAAAAAACTGTAGACAGAATTGATCAAGTAAAATTCAAGGTACTAGGAGCTGAGCTGAGTAGAATTCATTCAGCAAGAGAATAAATATCTTAGGGAAGGAAAAAATGCAAAGCAAAGGTATGAAGACATGAATGTATAATGTGTTTCTGGGAAAAACGAGTTGATTTTGTTCTATGTTAAATGGCTATTTATTTTTACTTTAACTGTACCACATACAGAGAAAGAAGTCTGCACTGAAGAGTGTAAATTACAAGTTCCAAACCTTCAGGAGCTGGGAAGGTAACATAAATGTGTTGGGCAAGTAGATGATTGTGCAAATGTGGTGAGAAATGACAAAGTGACACCTTCAGGAGAAGGAGTGGTTGGGATTCTGACAAGCTGGAAAGCATATGTCTGTCTAGTTGCTGCCATGTGGTGATGTGGGCCCAGTTTGTCAAATCTTTCCATTTTTCAGGAGAAGCTATAAATCCAGATATTTTAAAAACACTGTGTGGGCCAATCAATACATGTTTCTGCAGGCTGGATCCACTTTCTCAGTTCTGTCACATAGCCTATCAACCTACTGAATCCCATATGTAGAGATATATGTAACTTCAGGAACCCCAAGCCTAAAAGGGTATGTTTCTCGGCCAAGTGAGATCTATTTAGACTCTCTAGACGCTAATAAAATTAATAATACAGAACTATCCTATTCCTGGATCTCTAAGGTACTCTAAGATTGAAAAGTGTAGAAAAAGTATAGATTCCTTTCTGAGCCCCGGGTCCCCCAAAACTCAGTGCAGACCCAGAAACTCTTAAAATAATCCAACTGTCTAGGAATAAGGAAAATGGTCCAAAAGTAGTATGTGAGACACATACACACATACATAAATTCATATTATTGCATGGTATAATTTGTAGTACCAGAGATATTTTAAAGAAAAACAAAAGCTTAAGGTTCTAAAAAGCATGCTGAATCTATTTATTTTATTTGAATAAGACTGCACAAAACTTTTATTTACACATACCTGCTTCTCTATTTCATGTGCTTTAGACCTGATCAGATAATGCAGGATGTTGTATTGATTCTAGAGTAAAACAGGATGGCCACTTTAAACTCCGCAATCTAGGTACAATAAGGGCTATAGCTGCCCAAGGTCACCGGGAATTATTTTTTTCAAAGCATGAAGCAGGTCACAGCTTTCTCTTTTTCTTTTTCCCTTGCTTTTTTTTTTTTTTAAAGCTGAGTTTGCGTTAAGGAAGCTCTATGGTAACAGATGCAGCTCTTATAATAACTAACATCTAGCTATAGCTGATATAAAATAAGAGTAACAGCTTATTCTACTTAATTATCTAATTATTTTTATTTTATTCTCTATTGTTAGGAAAGAAAACCCAAAAGCAAAACATGGGCTTGGTCGTATTTACTGTGTTTTCCTCTTAACAGACAAGTTTTATTAACATAAAGCAATAGAAATACAATTGTTCAGCAAAATGATTCAAACATAGCTTCTCTTCTAAAATAATTTTTAATATATATTAACGTTCACATAGGTTGTATATTCAACATCAACTATTTATAGTATCACCAAGAATTCAGAAACAAAAAATCCAGGCCTCTGAGAAACTAAAATATACATAAACTTCATGTGTTAAAGCATGAATATTCTACCCATGAATCAGTCTCCTAAGAATTTATTTCTTTGCTTTAAAGATTGTTTTATCTGGCTGGGTGTGGTGGCTCATGCCTGTAATCCCAGCATTTTGGGAGACCAAGGCAGAGGGATCACCTGAGGTCAGGAGTTCGAGACCAGCCTGACCAACATGGTGAAACCCTGTCCTGTCTCTGCTAAAAATACAAAAATTAGTTGGGCATGGTGGCTCGTGCCTGTAATCCTAGCTACTCGGGAGGCTGAGGCAGGAGAATTGCTTGAACCTGGGAGGAGGTGGAGGTTGCAGTGAGCTGAGATCCCACCACTGGACTCCAGCCTGGGTGACAGAGCAAGACTCCATCTCAAAAGGAAACAAAAAAGAGAGAGAGAGATTGTTTTATCTAAAATACTGGCAGTTTGTTTAGTTTTCTAGTTCAGACATAAAATAGCCATTAATCAGAAGAAGGTAGAGTAAGGTTATAGTAACACACACACACACACACACACACACACACACACAAACACACACACACGAAAAAAACTAACAGGCGAAAAAATATAAATAAAACAGCAAGAATTGTGTGCAAAATAAGCTAAATGAAGGACAATGTTTTTGTTTTCTCAGATTTCAAAAGACTTGGTAAACTACTGTAATTAAAAGTATACTTTTAGTAAATAAATGAGAAAAACACAGCAAAAAGAACAGAATACAGAGTCTAGAAGTAAATCTGCATAATGTATACAAATTTAGATTACAATAAAGGAGGCTTCAAATCTCAGTGAGAAAAGAATGAATTATACATCAATAGGGCTGGGTGAACCAGCCATCAATTTAGAAGAAACTCAAAATGGAGTTAAAGAGATGATATAAAATACTATAAAAAATAGAACATTTCAATAATTCCACATGGGGAAGGCCTTCTTAATATTACACAAAACACAGAAGCCATAAAGGAAATGATTGACACTTTCAGAAAATAAAAAATTTCCATTCCATAAAACACCACAAGCAAAGTTAAAAGAGAAGCAGCATAAATATATATCTACAACATTTAAAATAAATGATTAACATGCAAAATATATTTTTAAAAATTATTACAAGTCAATATTAAAAAGATATTTGATTCCATAAGTAGGTAAATTACAGCATTTCATAGAAAAAGAAATATAAATGGCCAATGAACCAATGAAAGGATGCCAGATGTCATATAAATGCAACTTTTTTAAAAAAGGAAATATAGCTTTTCAACCATCAGGTTAGAAAGAGTTTTAAAACAGTGGTATCATGTGGCAATGGTAATGATAAATGAACACACTCATTCCTTGTTGATGGAAATGTAAATTTTAGGAAGACAATTTGGCAATAGCTATTAAAATTTTCAGTGTTTAATCCCACATGTAGGAAATGTATTCTAAAGGAATCTCTATACAAATGGCTGTATTTCCAAGGATATTCATTCACCATTTGTTTTTTTTTAAGACAGAGTCTTGCTCTGTCACCCAGGCTGGAATGCAACAGCATGATCTCGGCTCACTGCAACCTACACCTTCCGGGTTCAAGAGATTCTCCCGTCTCAGGTTCCCAAGTAGCTGGAATTACAAGTGCCTGCCATCATGCCCCGCTAATTTTTGCAGTTTTAGTAGAGATGGGGTTTCGCCATGTTGGTCAGGCTGGTCTCAAACTCCTGACCTCAGGTGATCCACCTGCCTCGGCCTCCCAAAGTGCTGGGATTACAGGTTTGAGCCACCACGCCCAGCCTTACCATTATTTTTAATAGTGAAAAAGAAACAAACTGATGTCCAAAAGGGGAGTGGTTAAGTACATTATGATATTATGTAACATTAAGCATTTAAAAAATAATATACATACATCCTGGTGTGTATAAAAAATCAAGAAACATTGTTGAGGAAAAAATAAATAACAGAATATATATAGCATGATCCCATTAATGGAAAATATGTACATAAGTTAATATTCATATGTACATTCATAGAAAGATTGCAAGGATGCATAACAATCTGTTGTGGTTACCTCCTTTGAAAGGGGAGTAGGTATGAGAAGGATTCTCACATTTTGCTATCTTCACTTATTAAATTGTTTGAACCCATCAAAATGAAAAGGTATTCATAAAGGATAAATTATACTGTATAAATAAAGGATATTATTAACTGGAAGAAAAAAAGAAACATACCATATCCAGACCTTTAAATTATACATAATAAAAACTAAACAGCCCAGCATAGCTAGTTGAATAGAGTTTTTGTTTGTTTGTTTGTTGAGACAGCACCTAGCTGTGTCACCTAGGCTGAAGTGCAGTGGCACATTCATGGCTCACTACAGCCTCAACCTCCCAGGCTCAATCGATCCTCCCACCTTAGCCTCCCTAGTAGCTGGGACCACAGGAAATAGATTATCTATACCAGTATATAGAATGATTAAGCCTTTCACTTCAGTTATGAGAAGCTTATAGAATGCTCATTTACAGAACATCAATTTCTATTATAAGATGTTTCCTATAATGTACCTGCTGAATAATGTTAGAAATCAGTAACTCTGAATTGGAGAATCAGAGAATTTCAGCATTCAAAAATCAACGAGCCCAATATTGTTATTTTATAGATGAGAAAACTGAGGTACAAAGAGCCTAGGTGACATGAGTTTTCCCCACCCCAATATCAATATAAGTTTTATAGAAAAATCACTGTATTTTATTATCAAATAAGGAATATAAACATATTAACTGTATAAAAGTGACTACTACGTGCTACATGGGTATTATGAAGTGAACTGTGTACCCAAAATCATATGTGGGAGCCCTAACCCCACAATGTGACTTGTATTTGGAGACAGGGCCTTTAAAGAGGCAACTAAGGTTAAATGAGGACTTAAGGCTAATGGAGCCTTAATCCCACAAAACTAATGTTCCTATAAAAAAAGAGACACCAGAGATTCCCCCACTGCCCCCGCCCAACACACACGTATGTTCTCTCTCTTTCTCTCTCTCTGTCTCTTTCTCTCTCTGCCTCCCTCACTCCAATCACACACAGAGGATAGGCCATGTTTGGGGAAATGCTTGCAAAGAAGAAAAGAGGCCTTACTAGAAACGAATTCTGCCTGAATCTTGATCATGGACTTTCAAGCCTCCAGAAATACGAGAAAACAAATTTCTGTTGTTTAAAGCACCCAGTCTGTAGTATTCTGCTATGGCAGTCTGAGTAGACTAATACAATGGGCTAAATATGTCCTGAATTCAATAATTAGTCACAAAAGACTAAGCCTAGTTCAGAGAGAGCAAGCATAAATAAGTACAAATCTTAGAAAGATATATCAACAATTGTAAGATTAGCAGTAACAGAAAAAAGGAAGTCAAACGAGAGAAAAAAAATAAAAAACAGGTAAAGAATGACTTTGAGAACACTGTCTTAGAGATTCCTTTGCTCTGAGTTAAATAAATATTAAATCAGTGAGTTATACTAAAATAGAGACACACAGTTACACTGAGAGAGAGAGAAAGAGAGACTGATTTCTTTGTCATCTCTATAATTGTCTTATCTCCACCTTGCATTTGTGGATGACAGACAATTGCTTTCTCATCCACCCCGCAAATTACTGTTAATAGAAAATGATTCTTCGCTTGAACCTAGGAGGCAGAGTTTGCAGTGAGCCGAGTTCGTGCCACCGCACTCCAGCCTGGGCATCAGAGACTGTCTCAAAAAGAAAATGATTCTTAGGAGATATACCTAATGCTAAATGACGAGTTAATGGGTGCAGCACACCAACATGGCACATGTATACATATGTAACAAGTCTGCACGTTGTACACATGTACCCTAAAAGTTAAAGTATAATAATAATAAAATTTTAAAAAAAAGCAAACAAGTGAGAAAATTGGAGTGAAGGGAAAATAAAACCAGGGGTGTTTAAAAAAAAAAAAAGAGTACCAATCAAGGTAAAATACTCCTATTGCATAGCAGCCACCATCAAGTGCTTTTTACAGCAACATTCAGGAATATTTTTATTTTTATACTAATAATGTCATCAAGCTTTTTCATGCAATCTTTGGGTTAAATACATAAAAGGCCAATCTTCTCAAAAACCATTTATTTAAAACCACTATCAACACCATCAAATATCTTTAATGTTCCATTCAAATTTTCATTACTATTCTCAATTTTCTTAATTTCCAGATCTGTGAGACATGGAGGATGGGGATTATGTCTTTTTTTAAATCTGTATAGACGACATACCCAACATAATGTCTGGTACACAGTATGTGCTCCACACACTATTTTTAAAATTGTAAATGTTGAAACAATGTTCATATTTTGTGAAAAATATGATACTTTATTAAAGTAAAAAAAAAACAACACTCCAACAATTGGATAGTCACATGCAAAAGAATGAAGTTAGACTCCCACACGGATACAAAAATTAAGTCAAAAGTGATCAAAGACCTAAATGTAAGAGCTAAAACTACATGAGCTCTTAGAAGAAAACACAAGTATAAATCTTCCTGACCTCAGATGGGGCAATGGTTTCTTAGATATGACACCAAACACATAAGCAACAAATAAAAAAATTGATAGATTGAACTTTATCAAAATTAAAAACTTTTCTGCTTAAAAGGGCACTATCAAAAAAGTAAAAAGACAAACACAATGGGAGAAAACATTTGCAAACCCATATCAGGACTATCTGACAAGGGTTTAGTATCCAGAATACAAAAGGACTTTCAACTCTTGCATCTCTTTTTTTTTTTTTTTGAGACAGAGTCTTGCTCTGTTGCCCAGGTTGGAGTGCAGTGGCACGATCTCTGCTCACTGCAAGCTCCGCCTCCCAGGTTCACGCCATTCTCCTGCCTCAGCCTCCCCAGTAGTTGGGACTACAGGTGCCCACCACCAAGCCTGGCTAATTTTTTGTATTTTTAGTAGAGATGGGGTTTCACCATGTTAGCCAGGATGGAACTCTTGCATCTCTTTTAGAAAATATGTCAAAAAGACTCCTCTAACTCAACAATAAGACATATAACCAAATTTTTAAAAATGGACAAAGAATCTGAATAGACATTTCTCCAAAGAAGACACACAAATGACCAATAAGTACATGAAAATATTTCAACACATCAGTCATTAGTGAAATGCAAATCAAAAGACAATGAGATACCATTTCATACCCACTAGAATAGCTATAATTTAAAAAGGCAATAACAAGTGTTGGTAAGAATATGCAGAAATTAGAACCCTCATATATCACTGGTAGGAATGTTAAATGATGTAGCCACTTGGGAAAACAGTTCGGTAGTTCCTCAAAAAGTTAAAAATAGATTACCATATGATTCAACAATTCTACTTCTAGGTACATACCCAAGAGAAGTAAAAACATATGTTCACAGAAAAACTCATATATGAATGTTCAGAGCAGCATTATTTATAATATCAAAAAGTAGAAACAACCCAATGGATAAATGGATAAACAAAATGTAGCATATCCATACAATTGAATATAATTCAGCCACAGAAAAGAATAATGTACTGTTCCATGCTACAACATGGATGAACTCTGAAAATATTATGCTAAGAGAGAAGCCAGATAGTTAAGATCACATGTTGTACGAATCCATTTATATGAAATGTCCAGAATATGCAAATCCATAGAGACAGAAAGTAGAGTGGTGGTTGGCAGGCAGGGGCTGGGGGTAGGAGGAGCGGGGAGGGATGAAAATGTTCTTGAATTAGATAGTGGTGATGGCTGCACAAACTTGTGAATATATTAGAAACCTATGAATTATATCTTCCTTTTTTTCCCTCTCCCTCTCCCTCTCCCCCTCCCCCTCTTTTCTTTCCTTTCTGCCTCCCGGGTTCAAGTGATTCTCCTGCCTCAGCCTCCTGAGTAGCTGGGATTATAGGTGCCCACCACCACACCCAATTTTTGTATTTCTACTAGAGATGATGTTTCACCATGTTGGCCAGGCTGGTCTCTAACTCCTGACCTCAGGTGATCTACCTGCCTCAGCCTCCCAAAATGCTGGGATTACAGGTATGAACCACCATGCCCAGCCTTGAATTATACACTTTAAAAGAGTGAATTTTATATGTGAATTATATTAATAATATGTATTTATTCAACAAATAATAATTGTACCTATTAGATGCCAGGCTCTCTATTAAATGCTAGGGATATGATGAATGAGATAAATGTAGGTCCTGCCCTCACACAGTTTACATTCTAGTGACTGAGACAGAAAGAAATCTACACAAGTAAACAAAGAATTATAGACTATAAAAAGTGAATGAAGACAACAAATAGGGTGATGAGATAGAGTGTAAGAACTGGGATGGATGGCTATCCTTTCTGGCAGAGTAAGAAATGATCAGAAAAGATCTCTTTTTAAGAGATGACATTTAATCTAAGACTGAACCTAAAGGATAAGAAAGAACAAGGATAAAATAATTCCCAACAGAGGGAACAGCATGTTAGAAAAGAAACTGAGATGCCTAAAGAACTGAAAGCAGCTCACAATGTTACTGCCACCAGGTGGTGATAGGAGGTGAGGTCAGGGAGGCAGGTAAAGGCCCTTTCACGCACAAAGCCCATGTTATGAAGTTTGAACTCTATTCTAAGTGCCATGGAAAATATTGATGAGTTTTAGGGGGAAGCCTAAATAGGAGAATTAGTTTCTGTTTTATTAAATGATAATTTTAAAATAGCAATTCCCAGGAAATTAGGTGTGCAAATGAAGGAGGAGGAGAAATATTCTATCCTCAAATAAATCTGGGAATTATGAGTATAAAGCACGATCAAACTGATTTTTTTTAAGGTAGTAGTTCTCACTCTTAGGTGGGTTGTCTTTCAGGGGACAAAGGGACATTTGGCAATATCTGGAGATACTTGTGGTTGTCACAGCTGGACAACCACGAGTATGTTAGTGTTACTAGAGTCTAATGGGTAGGGGTCAAGGATGCTGCTAAATATTCTACAATTTCCAGGACAGCAATCCTTCCCACTACCTGCTCCAAACACAGACTTATCCGGTCCAAAATGTCAACAGTATCAAGGCTGAGAAACTCTGCTTTAAGGCAAAAGGAGCTTTACTATGCTAATATACACTGTTATTCTATGAGAAGTGGAACTAATACATTGTGTTTCCCAAAGTTATTTATAAGAATATAGTCCTTGGTGTAAAGGGGATATGACAGCAGAAAGATGAGGAAAGGGTTGTAGAATACCTATTAAAATCTGCAGGAATAGGTCAGGTGTGGTGGCTCATGCCTGTAATCCCAGTGCTTTGGGAGGCCGAGGTGGGAGAACTGCTTGAGCCCAGGAGTTGGAGACCAGTCTGGACAACTTAGGGAGACCCAGTCTCTAAAAAAATTTTTTTAAAAATTAGCTGGGTGTGGTAGCGTGCACCTGTGGTCCCAGCTACTTGGGAGGCTGAGGTGGGAGGATGGCTTTAGCCTGGGAGATGAAGGCTGCAGTGAGCTGTAATCACGTTATACTCTAGCCTGAGTGACAGACTAAGACCCTGTCTCAAAAAATAAAATTAAAATAAAAAAACAAGATCTCCTGAAACAGTATTCTGTGGAACACCAGTTTGAGAGGCACTAACTTTACTATCACCACTACCTCTTTGCATTTTAATTATATTCCCTACACAATAGTTTCTATGATTTCTTAGTTTCTCCTGCTTATGAGAGCAGATAAATAAAAATTAAATATATGACCATGCTCCATCAAATATAGAAAGAATATTTAGCACTACTGTTTCATGCTTGTACCAAAAAAAGGTGTGTGTTTTTTTAAGAGTGTGATTTATAAACTGAGAATAACTAACTTGAAATTCTTTTTTTCCAGATGCTATTACATCAACAGATGGGTAGATGAATTATATAAAGCATATGGCAAAGATTTCAAAGATAAAAAATGTTACTCTAAAATCACTGGTGTAGTAGAAATAGAGCTAAATCAGGAGTCATTCATTCAACAAGTACCAAGTCCCTCCTATGTACCAGGCAATGTGGCAGGGGTAGGGATACAGCGATAAGCAAAATAAACATAAATTCTGCCCTTTGACATTACAGTCTACAGTCTATCTGAGGAAAAAAACTTTAATCAAATAATCTCACAAATATACAAAGGGTAGAATAAAGGACTAGCCTTCTTCCTGAGACCAATGAGACATTTTTGAAGGATTTTAAGCAGAGAGAATAGTATGATCAAATATGCTTTCTAAATAAGGTTGTCGGGAGACCAGTGAGACGTAGTACAGTAGATACCACGGGAGAGATCACAATAGCCTCAACTAGGGTGAGGGCACTGGAGACAGAGAAGTGAAAAAATTCAAAAGATATTCTGGAGGTAAAATCAGTAGGTTTTAGTGCAGACTAGATATGGTTCTGTTGCCAACTACCTATATTAGCTTGAGCAAGTAACACTCTAGGCCTGTTTTCACTTTGAAAAATAAGGGCATTTGAATAGGTAATCTCTAAGTCTTTTCCTAATTGCAAATTTCTAACTAAAACTGCTAATTTCTGCAAAATGATTCTGAATATAACTAGGCTTAAGTAGTCCCTACACAAGATTTTCTGATCTGAGTCTATCTTAAGGTTTTATCAGGTGAGGTTTAACTAAATGTGTTTAAAATATTCTTGGTAGAACACACACAAAAAAGTCTTTTCACTTATAACAGTGACATGTAATTGAGAAAAAAATCAATCTCACTGGCACTAGATACAATACAATCCAAGCTATTTATTATCCCAATGAGTATTTACCTAATGTCTGCTAGGTAAAGAACAACAATAAATGAAATATCAATAAATAATTCAAACAAGGGCATAATTCATTAGTAAAGTGGGAGGAATGTAACAGTGGTTTTCAAATGATTTTTGCCCTTGTAACTTCTAAAATAATTTTGAATAACTATCTTGCAATTGTTAAGTCATGATAACTGATTTTGAACACATTTAAATAATTATAAACAATGTAATTTCTGGTACCCTGCAATCATTTACATTTTAAAATACAAGGACTTTGTTTTAATTGTATAATGGAAATTGTATAATTTCCATTATACAATTATTCCATTATACAATCCAATTGTATAATTATACAATTATACAATTTCCAAAATTATAATGGAAATTAAATGCCATAATAATTCAATAACTACTTGAATTAATTCAATAACTACTTTATGTATTTGGTTTCATCTTATAGACATAAATGTTAAGAAATATTGTTAACATAAATAAGTAGATCAGAATGAAAGTTTGTTGCAGCAATGTCAATCTTTGAATGCCTATGTATTTTCCAAAAGCCACATGGTGATTATTGAAAATTAATTTTAATGATAAATAAGCTTACAATTAAGTCTTCTTTCAGTTTCAGTGAAAACAAAAAACTGGACTTGCAAAGGATTTGTTACCCTGTTACTCACTTTCTTAATACCTACAATGAGTATTTGAGTATTTCAGAGAATTCCTTTGTTTGGGATCCAAAATGGCAACAACGTATCACAGCAAAATTTAGATTGCGTAAGAGACAAGCCTTTCTTTTATAAAGTCAAGGAAAGGCAATTTGAAAGAGGACTTCTTGACTGTAGACTAATTATTCAGACCAATCAATTTCAGGAATTAGTACATATGTAAATGAATATATCCACATATATCTGGATATAAATCTGGAAATGAATTCTCTTAAAGGACAATAAAAAGGGGATTTTTTTTTCCAGCACTCTTCTCCATTTAACAAATATGACAAAATACTACTTTGTATACAGATGACAGTTTCAAGAGAATTAGGTATTTTTAACTGAAGGCCTTTTATTTTCTAATTCTGTTAGCTAATTAATCACTTTATATACCACAAAGTATACCATTATTTAAAGTCATTTTGTTAAGTAAATCTATCTAGTTAGATCCACTTTTAACTAAACTATTAGTAATCCTAGTTCTTTTTCACTCTTGCAAAGCAACAGATCAAAATTATTATTAAGACTGAAGTTACAATAAACAAAGCAAACAAAAGATATCTGAGGATAATCCAAGATGAATACTATTATTAACTTAACTGAATTCTCAGTCTTTTTTTCAATTTTTTTTCATTTTTATATAGAGACAGGGTCTTGCTTTGTTGCCCAGTCTGGTCTCAAAACTCCTGGGCTCAAGGGATCCCCCTGCCTCAGCCTCCCAAAGTGCTGGGATTACAGGTGGGAGCCATGGTGCTCGGCCCTGACTGCTCAGTCTCACTGTTGCAAAGATGAGTAAAACAATGAACCATAAGAGTCTTAACTACTCTGGTGACTTACTCCAGGGAAAAAGCTTTCAAAGAATGATAGGCAGGTAACCATCTCATTTCTCTCCAAACTGCCAAGCATATATGTAATGTTGTGGTTTGAATGTGTCCCCCCAAATTCATGATAAAGCTTAATCACCCATGCCATAGTATTTAGAGGTGGGGCTTTAAGAGGTGTTTAGGTGAATGGGATTAGTGACGTTATAAAAGAGGCTGAAGAAATCTCCCTAGTCCCTTTCATCCTTTCTGCCATGTAAGGACATAGTGTTGGACCCCTCCAGAGGACACAACAACAAGATGCCATCTTGGAAGCAGAAGGCAAGCCTTTATCAGGCACTACGTCTGTTGGTGCCTTGATCCTGGACTTCCCAGCCTCCAGAACTATGAGAAATAAATTTCTATTATTTATATATTACCCAGACTAAAGTATTTTGTTATAGCAGAAAGGATGGACTAAGACATATAGCTAAAGAGAAAACACATTTATGATGAACATCAATATTGGTCAGATATAAAAAGATAGGAAAGACAGGCCAGACGTGGTGGCTGACACCTGTAATCCCAGCACTTTGGGCGGCCGAGGCAGGCAGATCACGAGGTCAGGAGATTGAGACTACCCTGGCTAACACGGTGAAACCCCATCTCTACTAAATATACAAAAAAACAAACAAACAAAAAAATTAGCTGGGCATGGTGGCGGGTGCCTGTAGTCCCAGCTACTAGGGAGGCTGAGGCAGGAGAATGGCATGAACCCGGGAGGCGGAGCTTGCAGTGAGCCGAGATCACGCCACTGCACTCCAGCCTGGGCGACAGACCAAGACTTCCATCTCAAAAAAAAAAAAAAAAAAAAAAAGATAGGAAAGACAGATTTCTTTTTTTAAAAAAAGTATTAAAAAATCCAGATATGGGTTATCCTTTGTTAATTCTTTAACATCCATAAACTACATCTTTGTTGCAAAATTCCTGCAATATTCTCTTTTATTCTGATTTCACAGCAACATAACCAAATAAAGAAAATTAAGTTCTTAGCTCAAATTCCCTCAAAGCCAGGGTTTTATATACTTCTCTCTTCCTCTATATTCTGGGACATTTCAGTATTCTTCAAATTAGACCAGAAATGCAGCCACTTGTTTGTCTGATAAAGACACTCTTCCAATGACTAAAAGAAAATTGATAAAATACATCACAGAATCATACTGAGAAAGATGACAGAACAAAGCAAATGTATATAAAACAATGAAATTAAGGAAACAACTGACTATGAAAATGCAATTTTTAAAAAAAGTTTAGTGATTATATATTTAAATAGAAGATCTGGACAAGTGGTAAAATCTCTATTTTCTTGAGGAAAACAGAACACATTCTATTCGATTAATAAACCTTAACTAATTTCTAATGTAAAATCACAGTTTTGGCTCTTAATTACATATAGACAAATTTATCATCTAAGCAACTGAAGCATACTTTATAGCTGCATTGCTCTTAAAGCAAAACATGGAGGGAAAAAGGAAAAGAAAACATGCCATCTTAGAAAAGGGAGAAAGTAATCCTGAGTATTTCAATGACACACATTCACTGACTCATAAGAATGACTAAATTCCTTTCCTTGGGACTCTCCTTCAAAGAAAATGTTATGTCAAAACCTTTGTAGCATTATATGAGATACAAATAAGTATGAGTACAATTTTACATTTTAAGTCTAATAACAAAGAGTTATGCTAAAAATGGTTTTCCATTGTGAAAGGAAAGGGAATATAATTATTTAGCTTAAAATAGTAACTCTCTGTTGTTCTTAGGATACTGTTCATACCCTGCAACATAGTTTATAAAGTCTTACAAGAGTCAGTGCTACTTCTCTTCAGCTTTAATTCATCTGATATCTCAACCTATATAGCTATCCTGAGCAATTTTCAGTTCCTGGGAGCAGCCATACTTTCCTTATCTCTGGACCTTAATACATGATGTTTGTTCTCCCGTCTGAACATTTTTTTTCCCCAAGTATCCCCAAACCATCTCTTTTCCCAAATCCCAACATTCATAGTCACATTTTCTCCCTAGTCATCTGCCACCCTCTTAAATAACCCTTTTCAGAGACATTACTGACCAACATAACCCTGAGCATATTCAACACATTAAATGATTGACTATTTACTAGTCTCTATCTCTTGATACAAGGAATATCAGGTAAATTTCAAGTACAGAATAGGAGAAAGGGTACTGGGGAACTGTACCCTGGGGAGCTACAATAAAATTTGTATGATAGAGTGATAGAGTAAAATCAGAGGTTAACAGTGTGAACTCATGGTTGTTAATATATATGCAAATAGATATAGAAATACAGATATGTGTATGTATTAGTCAGTTTTCATGATGCTGATAAAGACATACCCAAGACTGGGCAATTTACAAAAGAAAGAGGTTTATTGGATTTACAGTTCCACATGGCTGAGGAGGCCTCACAATCATGGTGAAAGGCAAGGAGGAGCAAGTCACATCTTACGCGGATGCCAGCAGGCAAAGAGCGGTTGTGCAGAAAAACTCTGTTTTTTAAAACCATCAAATCTCATGAGACCCATTCACTATCATGAGAAGAGCATGGGAAAGACCTGCCCTCAAGATTCAATCATCTCCCACTTGGTCCCTTCCATAACAAGTGGGATTTATGGGAGATACAAGATGAGATTTGAGTGGGAACACAGAGCCAAACCTTATCAGTGTGTATACAAAGTTCATACACAAAGACAGACAGACAGACACACACACACACATATTTCTTAGCTCCTCTGCTGGTAGAGTCTAGCAGCAATAATAGTCTAGTAACAATAAGTCTAGCACTCAGATCTTGGTTCCTAAATAACATTCTCCAAATAAAAGGAGTCAGGGGTCTTAGGAGACGAAGTTGATTTCCAGGGCTGGGTCAGGGAAAATACAAGGTGAGCCTGGAATACCTTAAGATACCAGAAAATAAGAAACTTTCCCAAAAGAATGGTGGCAGATCAAAATGACATAAATTCTTCCAACTTGAAGAAGCTCCCAATGACCAAAGCAATAAAATAAATGACAGTAACAGTACTAGATTATAATCCATAGAATAAAGCACATATTCAAAGGCCCATGTTGATATGAATAAATAAATAACTGAATAAATGTGTGAGAAAGAACAGCTCTTCCTTATAGAATAATTCTAATTAATAAATGTAGAAGAAATGAGAAAAATATAGAATTACCACTAGGCAAATACCACAGTAGTAACCCTTGCGAGCAAGATCCATCCATAGATAATAGAAATCAATGGGTCAAAGTTTGAGGAACAAGAAGATATTTATCAATCCAAAGGGAGAAACAGTAACTTTACCATGGAGAAACTTGGCAGACACCACTTTAAACAAGTAATCAAGGTTAATACTACCAATAAAATAAGACATAGCAACTACAGGTACCCCCTGAAAAAAATGCACTATGAAGGACACAACATCACTTCTCTGGTATTCTTGACAAAAAGGCACAACCTGAATCCAAAAATGAGAAAACATCAGGCAGAAATAAACTTAGATATTGTACAAATCAATTATCAAAGCACAATACGCATCAAAGTGTTAAAGTCATGACTAAGGAAGTGTCACAGAGTGAAGGATACTGAAGAGTCACAACAACCAAATGCAACGTGAGATCCTGAATTGGTTCCTGGCACCAAGAAGGACATGAAGAAAAAAACCTGGTAAAACTTGAGTAAGGTCTGTAGTTGAGTCAGTAATACTATACCAACATGTTAATCTCCTAGTTCTGGTAATTGCACTACGATTGAGTACGTTTTAACATTAAGGAAAGCTGGGTAAAGAGTATATATGAACTCTTCTGTAATATTCTTGCAACTTTTCTGTAAGTTTAAAATTATTTCATACAAAATCAGATTAATTCAAAATGTCTAGGGCCTAAAGACAAATTAAAAAAAAAACCAATTCAAACTTAATCAAGAGAATGACTTAATTGTAATACCACTACCTGAGCTACTTAATTCATACGATAGGGTAATAATGAATCTTAAATATCAATGTTATATATTCAACAGCAAATATTTTTAAAGTGTCTACTATATGCCAGGCACCATGCTATTTATTAACTAAGGATATAGTGATGAAGGAGGCAAACACATTCCCTGTGCTTTGAGAGAAAACAGACGTAAAGAAGTAATTAGAAGAACAATCAATGTATGTAATAAATAGGAAGGCACAGAATGCTAGGGGAGCACATCGACAGGCACTAACCCATTATAAAAAGATCCAGAAAGTCTCTGAAACACTTCAGTTGAGATATAAAGAAGGAGCTGAGGGATGTGAGGCAGGAAAAATAATAATAAGCGGGAGTTGAGAGCAAGGTTGACTTGGGAAAGAAAACCAACAGTGATTAACAATACCAAATGAAAGAGAAAGTAATGTAAAATGAGGCTGAAGAGAGAGGGACCGCCAGATGAAGGGGCCATGTAACACTTTAAAAGATAGTAAGCAGGGGAGTAAAATAATCTGGTGCATTTTTAAACAAAGTTATTTTTAGTTGAGGTTGAAGAGACTGAGACTTTCATTTCTGGAAACAAAGTAAATTAGATACTCTGAGCAACCTTCATAGCACAAAACATCTAAAAATGTTGGATAAAATTTAAAAACCATCTGCTGCAGACTAAATGACTGTGTGTCTCCCCAGCCTCCCTTCATATCTTGAAGACTTAATCCCCAATATGATGAGATTTGGAGGTGGGGCCTTTAGGAGTTATTTAGGTTTGGATGAGGCCGTGGGGATAGAGCCCTTATGATTAAATTAAAAAGAGAAAAACACATGAGATCTCTCTCCACATGCACAAATCAAGGAAATGGCATGTGAGGACATAATCAGGAAGGAAGCCCTCACCAGAACCAACCATGCTGGCACTCTGATCTTACACTTCCAGACTCCAGAACCATGAAAAATAACTGTCTGCTGTTTAAGCCAACCTATCTATGGTAATCTGCTGTAGAAGCCCAAACTAAAACATCATCTCTTTAAACATGTAACTGAAAGAAAGGGAAATTTTCAGAAGACAAAAACATAAAACAAAATACAGGAAGGTAGCTGAGCACTGAAGCAAAAGGCTATGTCAAAGACAACTACAGAGATATGCTGACTAATGAAATAATGAAACTATCAAAATTAACCAGTATTTATGTATAAACACAGTAATAAGCTCAAAACCAAAATAATTATTTAAGAGAAAAAATACAGACTCACCCCAGTTAAAAGGGCTTATATCCAAAAGACAGGCAATAACAAATGCTGGCAAGGATGTGGAGAACAGGGAACCCTCATACACTGTTGATGGGAAAGTAAATTAGTACAACCACTACGGAGAACAGTTTGGAGGTTCCTCAAAAAATTAAAAGTAGAGTTACCACATGACCCAGCAATCCCACTGCTGGGTATACCCAAAAGAAAGGAAATTAGCATATCGAAGAGATATCTGCACTCCCATGTTTGTTGCAGCCGTTCACAATAGCCAAGACTTGGAAACAACCTAAATGTCCATTGACAGATGAATGAAGAAAATGTGGTACGTATACACAATGGAGTACTATTTAGCTATAAAAAAGAATATGATCCTGTCATTTGCAACAACATGGATGGAACTGGAGATCATTATGTTACACAAAATAAGCCAGGCACAGAAACACAAACATTGCAGGTTCTCACTTATTTGTGGGATCTAAAAATGGACACAGATGAACTGAGAGAGAGAGAGAGAGAGAGAGAGAGAAAGGATGGTTACCAGAGGCTGGGAAGGGTAGTGGGGGAGGTTAGGGGGTGGTGGGGATGGTTAACTGATACAAAAAAAAAAAACACAAAAAAACAGAAATAATGAATAAGACCTACTATTTGATAGCAAAACATGGTAACTATAGTCAATAATAATTTAATGGTACATTTAAAAATAACTTAAAAGAGTATAATTGGATTGTTTGTAACACACAGGATAAATGCTTGAAGGGATGGATACCTCATTCTCCATGATGTGACTACTATGCATTGCATCCCTGTATGAAAGCATCTCATGTACCCTATAACTATATACACCTACTACATGCCCACAAAAATTAAAAATGTATGTTTTAAAAAACGAAAAAATATTGAGTTAAAAAAAAACAGATATAGATTTTTTTTTGCTGCAGACAATTTGAGAAACATTCTTCCACAAATAAGTTCATGCATTGCACTGCTGGGAGCACCAAAGTTGACCTACTTTTTTCTTTTGAATTGATCTGAATATTCTGTTCTTTCAATTCTATGTGCCACCATAACATCCTTCAATAAATGCCCATTTTACTTTGTCATCCAACTTCAGTTGCTTGCAATGAAAGAACCCAATAAGCATTTCTATAACCTAAAGTAGTACATGGAGGTGAATTAATTTCTACCTACATTTAGGATATCTGTTACCAGGTAAAACACAACATGTGTTTAGGGGAGTTGAGATAGTAAAACCTTAGTTAGGCAACTTTATTATACAATTTACAGCTAAATGCAAAGGAGTAAACTTCTTAGCATAAATGAAATTCTCTTCAGGTGCTTATGTGCTCCTCAGACTCACTAGCCCTACACTTAATATTTTCTACTTAACTTTGGTAAAGGGTGGCATTCCTAAATCCTGCAGAATGCAAGGGCTGATTATTATCATTTCATTGTACAAAATCCTCCTCACAAAAATCCTTCTCACAGTCACAGAGAATTACATAAATCTAATTGTACTCATGTTTTCAATCTAAATGCCACTCACGTGGCATTCCCCAAAAGATTATAATAGAAATAAATGCCATTATGGGACTTGAGGGTCTCCTACAGAAGCATCAATTCTGACCATTTATTTTTGGTACATAAAGTTCAGAAACCTATAAATCGTCTATGAATGAAGCAAATCCTCCTAGAAAGATATGAACAGGACATAATATGTAGTCTCTAGAATTGACACAGCACTCAAACTAAAAAAAAAAAACTCTATAGTAAATCTTAGTTTTAGGTCAAACCTCTACTCATTCAGTTTAACTGAAAATTTGTTTAAAAAGTTTCTTGTGGGCCGGGCACGGTGGCTCATGCCTGTAATCCCAGCACGTTGGGAGGCCGAGGCGGGTGGATCACGAGGTCAGGAGATTGAGACCATCCTGGCTAACACAGTGAAACCGTGTCTTTACTAAAAATACAAAAAATTAGCCAGGAATGGTGGCGGGCGCCTGTAGTCCCAGCTACTCGGGAGGCTGAGGCAGGAGAACGGTGTGAACCCGGGAGGTGGAGCTTGCAGTGAGCCGAGATTGCGCCACTGCACTCCAGCCTGGGCAACAGAGCAAGACTCCGTCTCAAAAAAAAAAAAAGTTTCTTGTGATAAGAGTAATAAACCTTCATTATATAAAAACATCAGTGCTCCTAATCCTCATGACAATCTCAGCCACTATACTGGCGTATTTTTTCTATTAATACATATGCATGTGTACGTACTGTACAGAATCAGGGTAATAATCTGTGTGTAAAATATCCTTTTATGTAATATTTTGTGAGGTATACTTTCCCAGATTATATACTCTTTAAAATCATAATTTTAACAGCTTCATAATGTTCTTTCACCTACATGTTCTAGAGTTTATTCCATTTCATATTATTTAAAATTTACTTTTTTTTGCTACTTTAGACAATGTTAGAATAAACTATTTTACCCATGCTATAGGAATCCTGCAAGAAAAGAGAATGCACTAAGGATCACCAGTTTATGTATTTTAAAAATTCCTACACTATCAAAATGACTGAACAGATCCATCCTTCAACAGTTTATTCTCGCTTGAAAACAGCAATTAATTCCTGTTACTATTCTAATGAACAAAATTTCAATTATTTTCTAACAGTTATGCCTATGATATCTAAACTCAGCTTCCTACTATAATGGTTTTATTTTGAAGGGAGTGAGTGGGAGCTTTTACTCATTATTAAAACTCTTCTGATTATATTGCTTTTAAGCTGGAAAGTTTACTACAAAAACTTCTTTCTTACTGAAAAGTAACAAACAGAACTTGTCTGGAACTCAATTAGTAGGATTCCCCTCCCCCTTTTAAATCCAAATAGCCATTTGTAGGCTCTAACAAGAACTTGGTCAAGTGAGGAATGGAGAGAGCGAGAAAAGAAGGAAAAAGAGGATGTCCTTCAGAATTTACTTTTTGTCTTTTGAGCTGAGCATGTCTTTATAGCTTCACCATCAGAAGTTTTATGTAGCATCATGACTATGGTCACCATATATGGGACAAATGTAATTATCTGGTAACAAAACCTACATTAAGCCAGGGTATGAATAAAACTTTTGTCAAATGGAGTTAGGAAGCAAAAATAATAAATTTATAGATCACTGTTTCACTATTTCACCCCAAATGTAAGAAATAATAAGGCATAAAAAATAGATGCTAAGTTAGGGATACAAAATGAAAATGTACTTATTGTTGATTTTCATTTGTACTTTTTCTCCCTGAAATCATTTCTCCTCTCCAGAACAAATACATGTTTTTACTTTTAAGCCACCAGAACTCTGAACTTATTCTCCACAATTTATTTTAAATTACAATTTCACAAAAGGTTTTTTTTTAATGTTAGAAATACTTTACAATAACTCACTTATGATTGTGACGACAATTTCTTCTAAAATACTTTTTGAAATTATATTTCTTCCCTTTAGTTTACATCTCAAGCCTGGGCTAGAAGCACAAAAGTGTATTACTACTTAGAATTATATTTGATAATCAAACATACCCAAATAATGTCTACTGCATGTTTATTATGTACCAGATTCAGCATTTCTTTCCTTAATGACATCAAAATACACTCTGTGCATCAGAAAAGTAATGTGATTTACCAAAACTATCTTCATTCTTGCTAATATTAATTTCAATCCTTCCCATCAGCACCAATCTGTACAGAAAATATCTCTTACTTGCCTAGGTTGCATTTTTTTGGAAATGTGCACATTATTGCCTCATTGGTCTCATAGCATTAGGGTATGTCTATATTACCAACAAATGCAGATATTAAATAAGACAACAAATACTGAATCAAAATTTACTAAATTGGGAGGCAGGAGGGAATGATGACAGAGATAGTGGACCAGGAAAAGAAAAGTTAAGTTCTACTTTAAATCCATTAATGATAACTTATAAGACCACAGCCAGTTAAACTCTATATATCTCGGTGTCTTTTGTTTTTTCTTTTTTCCTACTGTCTCTTAAATTTCTGCACCAAAGAACTGACTGTCTTCTTGAAAAATATGTTAGCACCATAAAGAAAATGAGAATGATGAAATGGTAAAACTCACAGTACTACCAATACACTAAAAAGTTCAGAAAAAAGGGAGCATATTCAGTCAGCCCTCTATATTCATGGGTTCCCCATCCTTGGATTCAACCAACCTCAGATTCAACCAACTGCAGAACGAAAATATTTGGAAAAAAAAGAAAATAAAAAATAATACAAATTTAAAAACAATACAACTATTTACATAGTATTTACATTGCATAAGGTATGATAAGTAATCCAGAGAAGATTTAAAACATACAGGAAAATGTACTTATGTTATATGTAAATACTATGCCATTTTATATAAGGAACATGGGCACCCACAGATTTTGATAGATATCTGAGGGGAGTCCTGAAACCAACCCTCAACACATACCAAAGGACAACTGTATTTGAAAGTAGTTGTAGATGGAACTTGACCTAGATTTTCGGAGGCTAAGAAAGATCTAGTAGTCAGAGAGAAGAGATATAAACAAATAAGGAAAATAGTTTGCATAACTGACTTAGAACAGAATACTGAAATCAGTCCAGCATAATGCATGAGCAAGTTAGTAAGAAGATTAGATTGGCTGGCATTGAGGCAAATGTAAAGTTAATTTGGAATTTGGCAGACTATACTGTGGATATAAAAAAATGACTAGAGCCAGACCAGCCAGGTTTAAATCCTAGCTCTTCCATTCACTGAGCACTCACACAAGTCACTTACTCTCTGCACTTACCTCATCCATAGCACTGTTGCGAGGATTAAAGGAGGCAATGCTTGTAAAATTCTTATAACAGTTCCTGCACATAAAAAATTATCCATAAGGGCCGAGCGCGGTAGCTCACGCCTGTAATCCTAGCACTTTGGGAGGCCAAGGCGGGTGGATCACGAGGTCAGGAGATCGAGACCATCCTGGCTAAAACAGTGAAACCCCGTCTCTACTAAAAATATAAAAAATTAGCTGGGTGTGGTGGTGGGCGCCTGCAGTCCCAGCTACTCAGGAGGCTGAGGCAGGAGAATGGCGTGAACCCGGGAGGTGGAGCTTGCAGTGAGCCCAGATTGCGCCACTGCACTCCAGCCTAGGCGACAGAGCAAGACCCTGTCTCAAAAAAAAAAAAAAAGAAAAAAAATTATCCATAAGGCTGGGCACGGTGGCTCATACCTGTAATCCCAGCACTTTGGGAGGCTGAGGCGGGTGGATCACTTGAGCTCAGGAGTTTAAGACCAGCCTGGGCAACACGGCAAAACCCCACCTCTACAAAAAATACAAACATTAGCCAGGCATGGTAGTACATGCCTGTAGTCCCAGCTACATGGGAGGCTGAGGTGGGAGGATTGCTTGAGCTCAGGAAGTCGAGGCTGCAGTGAGCCATGATCGCACTACTGCAATCCAGCCTGGGTGACAGAGTGAGACCCCCATCTCAAAAAACAAAAACAGAAACAAAAATAACAAGAAAGTTTTAACAGTTTAAAAAAAAAAAAGATTACAGGTTTAGTACCCTCTTCCAAAATGCTTGGGACTAGAAGTGTTTCAGGTTTGGAATTTTTTTGGATTTTGGAATATTTGCATATATATAATGAGGTATCTTGGAAATAAAATCTAAGTCTAAACATGAAATTCACTTATGTTTTATATATACAACTTACACACATCGGCTGAAGGTAATTTTATACAATATTTTTAATAATTTTGCGCATTAAACAGCTTGTGTACACTGAACAATCAGAAAGCAAAGGTGTCACTAGCTCAGCCACCCATGTAAATGATCTGTGGTTGTTTGGCATCACCATCAATCCCAACTTTGAATTTATACACTATAATGACAAGCAATCACTCTCTTACACATATTCACACATAAGTACTTATCAGGAAAAATTAAGGCATACCATTAACAAAGTGAAAAATAATGCATTCACGGTAAAAACACAGTAGCATCACCAGAATATCTGTATCAGCTGTTAGACAACAGCAACAACCTACAATTCTATGTTTTGATTAAAGGGTTATTGTGTACACAGTATTTTATTTTTTTAGGTGAGATAAAATATTGGAAGCAACTGAGGGACCAGGAAGTGGGTCCTCTAGGGATAAGGACACATCTGCTGGATGGCTTTTTAAAGTGTTTCCTCCAGAGTCATCTGCTTCATTAGCAACAGTTTTTGATTTAGAAGTCACTCTTTAATTTTATAAGCTGACCAATATATCTTGTTCTGTTATGAATGCATGCTGCTCTAGTCCTTCAATAAGCCCATCACATATTTTTGCCATGTCACATATGGGCACTTTTTCTACTGTGTTAAACATCATCATCTTCATCATTGCTCTTATCACAATCACCTTGATTCAGAAACATTTATTTCACCACTGGTCAACAAATGAACAACTGGAGTCTCAGTACTGATGTTAAAAATGTCTTCAATATCCATTTCTTCCAGCTTACCCACAGACTCCGAGGGTATACTTTTTGCATATGTAAGGAGGTCAGATATCATTTTTTCCTCACTTGACATACAAAATCCTTCAAAGTCACCACCTTGTTCATCATCATCATTGAAAATAGTCACAGGCCAGAGATTATGCCAAGTATGCACAACTGTGTCTTTAGTCACTGTGTTCCCAGTATTGGCAACAGCATACACAGCATCCTTCATGCTAAACTCCTTCTGCAAACCTTCCACATCCATGCCTCTGTTCACTGTTTCTAGCATGCTGTTCAAGACAGTGTTTTTATATTTATTCTTCATTAATCTAAATATACCTTGGTCACATGGGTGAATTAATGAACATTTGAGGGGAATTCCACGGCATAAACACTATTTTGATGACAATTTCAGCTGGAGGATGAACAGCTGTCAAGGAATAACAAAATCTTCCGGTTGTCATACAGTCCAGCTTCCCAGTGAACGCAAGTCATTCGTGTAAAATGTTTGTGAAACCAATCAGAAAAAATGTCGCTGGTGATCCATGCCTTTTTGTTGCATAAGAATAGACTGGCAAGAAATTCATTCTTTAAAAAAAGTGTAAAGATGCAAGCTTTTTACTATCACAGCAAGTTTATAGTTATACATGTCTGCTGTATTAGTACATCCCAGTAGAGTTACTCTGTCATAGGCATCCTTAATTCCTATAGGAACTATCTCATCAGCTGTAGTCAGTGTCTTTCTGGGGCAATAACACCAAACAGTAATGTTTCATTAGCATTATAGACTTGTTCTGGTATCTGATTTTCATCAGCGATCCCTTGGAAAACTAGTCAATTTCTCTGCTGCTTTGTGATCAGCAGATGCTCATTCACCACAAATCTTTAAAAAGTTAAGGCCAGCCTGTTCCCTTAATTTTTTGGTTCACAGTTCCCTTTAATTTTTAGTCCACCATGAAAGATCTTTGCTTGTTTTATGAACAGCATACCATTAAATGGCATGTATTCACTGGAATGCTGATGGGTCCACTCTTACAATGTATGATCAAGATAATTCATTTTTAGCTTTATGCAGTTTTTCTATTTTTAATTAACTTCTGTTCATAACGTTCACCACAGAACTTCAACAGTTTATATTTCTGTTTCTTCTTCATGTTTTATTGAGGTAAAATATACATACATAATTTGCCATCTTTACCTTTCTTTTTATTTATTATTATTATACTTTAAGTTTTAGGGTACATGTGCCCAATGTGCAGGTTTGTTACATATGTATACATGTGCCATGTTGGTGTGCTGCACCCATTAACTCATCATTCAGCATTAGGTATATCTCCTAATGCTATCCCTCCCCCCTCCCCCGACCCCACAACAGTCCCCAGAGTGTGATGATCCCCTTCCTGTGTCCATGTGTTCTCAGTGTTCGATTCCCACCTATGAGTGAGAACATGCGGTGTTTGGTTTTTTGTCCTTGCGATAGTTTGCTGAGAATGATGGTTTCCAGTTTCATCCATGTCCCTACAAAGGACATGAACTCTTCATTTTTTATGGCTGCATAGTATTCCATGGTGTATCTGTGCCACATTTTCTTAATCCAGTCTATTGTTGTTGGACATTTGGGTTGGTTCCAAGTCTTTGCTACTGTGAATAGTGCCGCTATAAACATACGTGTGCATGTGTCTTTATAGCAGCATGATTTATAATCCTTTGGGTATATACCCAGTAATGGGATGGCTGGGTCAAATGGTATTTCTAGTTCTAGATCCCTGAGGAATTGCCACACTGACTTCCACAAGGGTTGAACTAGTTTACAGTCCCACCAACAGTGTAAAAGTGTTCCTATTTCTCCACATCCTCTCCAGCACCTGTTGTTTCCTGACTTTTTAATGACAGCCATTCTAACTGGTGTGAGATGGTATCTCATTGTGGTTTTGATTTGCATTTCTCTGATGGCCAGTGATGATGAGCATTTTTTCATGTGTTTTTTGGCTGCATAAATGTCTTCTTTTGAGAAGTGTCTGTTCATATCCTTCGCCCACTTTTTGATGGGGTTGGTTGTTTTTTTCTTGTAAATTTGTTTGAGTTCATCGTAGATTCTGGATATTAGCCCTTTGTCAGACGAGTAGGTTGCGAAAATTTTCTCCCACTTTGTAGGTTGCCTGTTCACTCTGATGGTAGTTTCTTTTGCTGTGCAGAAGCTCTTTAGTTTAATTCGATCCCATTTGTCAATTTTGGCTTTTGTTGCCATTGCTTTTGGTGTTTTAGACATGAAGTCCTTGCCCATGCCTATGTCCTGAATTACCGGTATTGCCTAGGTTTTCTTCTAGGGTTTTTATGGTTTTAGGTCTAACATTTAAATCTTTAATCCATCTTGAATTAATTTTTCTATAAGGTGTAAGGAAGGGATCCAGTTTCAGCTTTCTACATATGGCTAGCCAGTTTTCCCAGCACCATTTATTAAATAGGGAATCCTTTCCCCATTGCTTGTTTTTGTCAGGTTTGTCAAAGATCAGATGGTTGTAGATATGCGGCATTATTTCTGAGGGCTCTGTTCTGTTCCATTGATCTATATCTCTGTTTTGGTACCAGTACCATGCTGTTTTGGTTACTGTAGCCTTGTAGTATAGTTTGAAGTCAGGTAGCATGATGCCTCCGGTTTTCTTCTTTTGGCTTAGGATTGACTTGGCGATGCGGGCTCTTTTTTGGTTCCATATGAACTTTAAAGTAGGTTTTTCCAATTCTGTGAAGAAAGTCCATTGGTAGCTTGATGGTGATGGGATTGAATCTATAAATTACCTTGGGCAGTATGGCCATTTTCACGATATTGATTCTTCCTACCCATGAGCATGGAACGTTCTTCCATTTGCTTGTATCCTCTTTTATTTGATTGAGCAGTGGTTTGTAGTTCTCCTTGAAGAGGTCCTTCACATCCCTTGTAAGTTGGATTCCTAGGTATTTTATTCTCTTTGAAGCAATGGTGAATGGAAGTTCACTCATGATTTGGCTCTCTGTTTGTCTGTTATTGGTGTATAACAATGCTTGTGATTTTTGTACATTGATTCTGTATCCTGAGACTTTGCTGAAGTTGCTTATCAGCTTAAGGAGATTTTGGGCTGAGACAATGGGGTTTTCTAGATATACAATC